>NC_000019.10:40877237-41180267 GCF_000001405.40 Homo sapiens | reverse complement strand
AGGGGCTCCTCACTTCTCAGATGGGGCGGATGCTGGGCGGAGGGTCTCCTCACTTCTCAGACGGGGCGGCCGGGCAGAGACGCTCCTCACCTCCCAGACGGGGCGGCGGGGCAGAGGCGCTCCCCACATCTCAGACGATGGGCGGCCGGGCAGAGACGCTCCTCACTTCCCAGATGGGATGGCTGCCGGGAAGAGGCGCTCCTCACTTCCTAGATGGGATGGCGGCCGGTCAGAGACGCTCCTCACTTTCCAGACTGGGCAGCCAGGCAGAGGGGCTCCTCACGTCCCAGACGATGGGCGGCCAGGCAGAGACGCTCCTCACTTCCCAGACGGGGTGGTGGCCGGGCAGAGGCTGCAATCTCGGCACTTTGGGAGGCCAAGGCAGGCGGCTGGGAGATGGAGGTTGTAGCGAGCTGAGATCACGCCACTGCACTCCAGCCTGGGCACCATTGAGCGCTGAGTGAACCAGACTCCGTCTGCAATCCCGGCACCTCGGGAGGCCAAGGCTGGCGGATCACTCGCGGTTAGGAGCTGGAGACCGGCCCCATTTTTTTTATTCTTAATAGAATTGGGGTTTCACCATGTTGGCCAGGCTAGTCTCGAACTCCTGGCCTCAAGTGATCCACCCACCTTGGCCTCCCAAAGTGCTGGGATTACAGGCGTAAGCCACTGCACCAGGCCTAAAAGTTCTTTTCTAAGTACTACTCTTCGTAGCTGGGTGAGGGTGCAAGAAGAAAAAAATAAGGCACTGCTCCTACAAATTCATATCAGGAAGGCAACCATAAGTTGAGAAAAATAAAATTTCGGGTCTCCTGGGGGACAGCTTTTGCTTCCTTTCCTTCATCTCCCTCTGTATCCAACTATCACCTGGTTCCACCCCCTCCAGTCCCCTTATTAAAAAAAAAAAAAGGTATTTCAAAAGTATATATATATTTTTTGAGACGGAGTCTCGCTCTGTCGCCCAGGCTGGAGTGCAGTGGCGCGATCTCGGCTCACTGCAAGCTCCACCTCCCGGGTTCACGCCATTCTCCTGCCTCAGCCTTCTGAGTAGCTGGGACTACAGGCGCCCGCCACCACACCTGGCTAATTTTTTTGTATTTTTAATAGAGACGGGGTTTCACCGTGTTAGCCAGGATGGTCTTGATCTCCTGACCTCGTGATCCGCCCGCCTCGGCCTCCCAAAGTGCTGGGATTACAGGCGTGAGCCACCGTGCTCAACCAAGTATACGTTTTTGAGACAGGATTTCGAACCGTTGCCCAGGCTGGAGTACAGTGTTTTGGTGGGGTCATTACACCCTCCACCTTCCCGGGTCATGTGACCCTCCCATCTCAGCCTTGTAGATAGCTGGGACTACGGGTGCATGCCACCATACTTGGCCAACTTTTAAATGTTTTGTAGAGATGAGGTCTCACTATATTGCCCAGGGTTGTCTTGAACTTCTGGCTCAAGCCATCTTCCCTCCTTGGCCCCTCAAAATGTTGGGATTACAGGCGTGAGCCACTGTGCCCAGCCTCCAAAATATATGTTATTTTAAAAATAATAATAATTACTGTTTTTTGAGACAGAGTCTCGCTCTGTCACCCAGGCTGGAGTGCAGTGGAGTGGTCTCAGTTCACTGCAACCTCTGCCTCCCAGGTTCAAGCAATTTTATATTTTTAGTAGGGACAGGGTTTCACCATGTTGGCCAGGTTGGTCTCAAACTCCTGACCTCAGGTGTTCCGCCCACTTCGGCCTCCCAAAGTGCTGGGATTACAGGCGTGAGCTACTGCACCCAGCCAAAAATAATTATTCCTTTTTCTTGAAATGGAGTCTTGTTCTGTCGCCCAGGCTGGAGTGCGGTGGCATGATCTCAGCTCACTGCAACCTCTGCCTCCGGGGTTCAAGTGATTCTCCTGCCTCAGCCTTCCCAGTAGCTGGGACTACAGGCACACACCACCATGCCCAGCTAATTTTTGTATTTTTAGTAGAGACAGGGTTTCACCATGTTGGCCAGGCTGGTCTCAAACTCCTGGCCTCAAGTGATCCACCCGCCTCAGCCTCCCAAAGTGCTGGGATTACAGGCGTGGGCCACCGCGCCTGGCCTTGAAAATAATTATTTCAAATACAGACATGGAGAAAGGATTAGAGGAATTACCACGATTATACATACACACCTATCTTTACAATATCTTAACATTTTTACCATTATTTATTTAGAGAAATAAAATACTCATGACCGGGTTTGGGGTTCCCTGTATCCCTTCTGAAACGTCACATCCTTCTCTCCCTCCTACAGGGGAAGCACTGTCTTTTTTTTTTTAGACGGAGTCTCGCTCTGTCGCCCAGGCTGGAGTGCAGTGGCGTGATCTTGGCTCATTGCAACCTCCGCCTCCCAGGTTCAAGCAATTCTCCTGCCTCAGCCTCCAGAGTAGCTGGGATTACAGGCACATGCCGCCATGCCTGGCTAATTTTTGTATTTTTAGTAGAGATGGGGTTTCACTATGCTGGCCAGGCTGGTCTTGAACTCTTGACCTTGTGATCTGCCCACCTCAGCCTCCCAAAGTGCTGGGATTACAGGCATGAGCCACTGAGCCCAGCGGGAGGCACTATCTTATAATTAATATTTCCAGGTACGTTCTGATTGTTTTCCTGCATATTTGTGCAACCACACACAATTATTTGGGAAAACGTTCTTTATTTTTATTTTTATTTTTTTGAGATGGAGTCTTGCTTTGTTGCCCAGGCTGGAATGCAAAGGCATGATCTCGGCTCACTGCAATCTCCGCCTCCCAGGTTTAAGTGATTCTCTTGTCTCAGCCTCCCGAGTAGCTGAGATTATAGGTGCCCACCACGCCTGGCTAATTTTTGTATTTTTAGTAGAGATGGGGTTTCACCATATTGGTCAGGTTGGTCTCGAATACCTGGCCATGTGATCTGCCCACCTAGGCCTCCCAAAGTGCTGGGATTACAAGCATTAGCCACTGCACCCAGAGAACAAGTGGATTTTTTTTTTTTTTTGAGATGGAGTTCCACTCTGTTGTCCAGACTGAAGTGCAGTGGCAAGATCTCGGCTCACTGCAACCTCTGCCTCCCAGGTTCAAACGATTCTCCTGCTTCAGCCTCCTGAGTAGCTAGGACTACAGGCACCCACCACCAAGCCTGGCTAATTTTTGTATTTTTAGTAGAGACAGGGTTTCACCATGTTGGCCAGGCTGGTCTTGAACTCTATTACCTCAAGTGATCTGCCTGCTTCGGCCTCCCAAAGTGCTAGGATTACAGGTGTCAGCCACCGTGCCTGGCCTGGGAAAACATTCTTTTGCAGGCTTAAAAACTTTATGCACTCTGCGAGCAGTGGGTCACACCTGTAATCTCAGCACATTGGGAGGCCCAAGTGGGTGGATCACTTGGGGTCAGAAGTTCGAGACCAGCCTGTCCAATATGGTGAAACCCCATCTCTACTAAAAATAAAAAAATTAGCTGGGCGTGGTGGCAGGCGGCTGTAATCCCACCTACTTGGGAGGCTGAGGCTAGAGAATCGCTTGAACCTGGGAGGCGGAGGTTGCAGTGAGCCGAGTTCGCACCATTGCACTTCAGCCTGGGTGAGAGAGCAAGACTCTGTCTCAAAAAAAAAAAAAAACAACTTTATGCCCAGGACAGCACACAGTCCACATCCCTTCTTCTGCAACTGGCTTTTGTCCTTCAGCTTTTAAGATTCATTCATATCCATACAGCTGGCTCTGGATCACTAATTTTAATGCCTGGGAGGTGTTTCAGAGAAGGCTTTGGCACACCTCTCCATCCATTTAATTTCCCATCTGATCAGATCTCTAGGTTGTTTCTAATCTTTTCCTCTTAGAATCAGTTCTGCATCTATCTGGGTTGAGAATTTCCTCATTTCAAACGCCTGAGTCATGGGGTTCTGTTTTCTTCTGCCTCTAGCATTTGGCTTTGATCTGCCCGCTTCTGCCCTCCACACATTCTATTCTGGCTCTTTCCCCTCCCATCTAGGCCCCACCCATTCTCCTCTCAGAGCCCCAGGCCTCCAGGTTCCGCTCCCCTCCACCCTCCCCTCTGCAGCCAGAGGATCTTGAAACAGCGGGCATCTGAGATTATTTGTCTGAGCTGGTTTCCTCTCCTAGCCCAAAGTGGGGCGAGTGCAGGGACAGGGCTTGTCTGCCTTCCCTAGGCCTGTGTGCCCGTGCCTCACACTGCCATGAGATGAGGAAGACACAGTCATTAAACGGGATGAAAGTGTACCTGTCTCAACAACTGGCTTCCTGCTCACAGGTCGAGAGCGATCTTGGCTGTTGAAAATATGTGGATCGGCAGGTTAGTGGAGACAGGGGGAGTAGAAGAGGGGTGGTGGGTAAGTGGTGGGATAGGCAGGAACTGGAGCTTAACAGTTTAGCAGGAACATGTTTGGGGGATGGGATGGAGAGGAGTGTGGAGGCCCAAGCTTGAGGTCTGGGGGTTGGAAACCCAGGGGAACCGGAGTTACTGGAATTCAACTCATTGCCCTGCTAACACCACTGCCTCTTTCTTTTCCTTCCTTTTTTGTTTTTTGAGACAGAGTCTTGCTCTGTCGCCCAGGCTGGAGTGCAATGGTGCGATCTTGGCTCACTGCAACCTCCGCCTCCTGGGTTCAAGTGATTCTCCTGCTTCAGCCTCCTGAGTAGCTAGGATTACAGGTGCGCACCACCACACCCAGCTAACTTTTGTATTTTTAGTAGAGACGGGGTTTCGTCATGTTGGTCAAGCTTGTCTCGAACTCCTGACCTCAGGTGATCCATTTGCCTCGGCCTCCCAAAGTGCTGGGATTACAGGCGTGAGCCGCCGCTCCCGGCCTCAAAACAGACCAATTTAACAGCATTCCACCGATGTCCATGCTGAACCATGGGAATGGCGGCCTGTTCTTTCTCCTGGAGTCCATCCTCCTCTGCAGCCAGAATTCTTAGCCGGAGAGTGGTGCTGAGGGAGCACCCCACTGCGTCTTTTATGTGACTGGCCAAGTTGTCCAACCTCAGTTTTCCTCATCTGTAAATGAAGCTTATAACTGTACCTAGCATCCATTAATACTCTGAGGGAGATACTAACATATCATCTCCATCTTCAGATGAGGAAACTGAGGTTCAAGGACCCTAGGTCACCTGCCCAGAGTCACACAGCCCCTAAGTGTCTATGGCTCTGGGATGCTCCTTCTCTCCTTCTCCCACTGCTCTCTTCGTCTGGGGGCATTGTTTTGCTCCACTCCTACCCCCCAACACTCCCAGAACAGAGTGGACCCTCTGGGCTGTGATGATGAAGAAATGAATGAGTGCACTCTACTCTGATACCCACCTTTCCATATCTCGGTGGGACCCAAACCACCCCCACACTCTCACCTGCCTCCACCCTGTACCGCCCTGACTTTCTGCACTCGGCACACAGGCACCAGGGGGTGCCCCCAGCCTGCAAGTCACCCCATTGGGCTTTTGGAGAATGGGGCAGGGGGAGAGAAGGAGAATGGTCCAGAGACAGACTGAAAACCCTGGAGGTGAGGGGTGTGCAGAGAACCAGAGAGAGACGGACAGTAATCCTTTCTCTTCTTCTTCTTCTTCTTCTTCTTCTTCTTCTTCTTCTTCTTCTCCTCCTCCTCCTCCTCCTCCTCCTCCTCCTCCTGCTCCTCCTCCTCCTCCTCCTCCCTGGATTCCACTTTTACGCTGGCTCGGGATATGTGACCTTGGGCCTATAACTGAACTTCTCATCAGCAGATCGGGGATGACATGTGAGTGCAGCCCTCAGAGGTTTATGGGGATCATATGATGAATACCTGCGCAGCGTTTAGGCGAATACTTGCACGTAGCCAACGTGTGCCAGCTGGCGTTCACTGCCCTTCTGCTCTCCATGCTTTTTCTGTGCTAGGTGTGGCACCGAAATCTTACAACAGCCCGAAGTCGGCACCTTTATGATCTCCACTTTATTATGCTTTTCATAGGAATTCAGTTACATAAGTAATAGATGATTATGGGTTGATTACAAATTTCAGCCGGGTACGGTGGCTCAGGCCTTTCGGAGGCCAAGGTGGGAGGATCGCTGGAGCTCAGGAGTTCGAGACCAGCCTGGGCAACATAGCAAGGCCCCCATCTCTAGAAAAAATTTAAAAAATTTAAAAATTAGCTGGGTGTGGTGGCAGACGCCTGAAGTTCCACCTACTTGGGAGGCTGAGGAGGGAGGATCGCTCAAGTTCGAGGCTGCAGTGAGCCATGATCGCGCCATGGCCCTCCAGCCTGGGCAAAAGAGCAGGACCTTGTCTCCAAAAAAGGAAAGAGAAAAATAAAATTTCAAAGACTACAGAAAAATAACTCCCTTTCTCCCTTCAACCCACTATTCCCTGGCTGCTGTCTATTTCAGTCCCACCCCCAGCTGTCCATCGCCGGCCACTCCTGCCATTACTATTGTTCTAAAGCTGCCAGAGTCAGCCTGGCCTGGTTCTATTCTTTTCTATCTTTCTAGAAGGTAAGACCCACTCTGGGTGGGTCAGGAGGTTAGTGTGTTACTTTTTTTTTTTTTTTTTTTTGAGACGGAGTCTCGCTCTGTCACCCAGGTTGGAGTGCAGTGGTGCGATTTTGGTTCAATGCAACCTCTGCTTCCTGGGTTCAAGTGATTCTTCAGCCTCAGCCTCCGGAGTAGCTGGGATTACAGGCATGTGCCACTATGCCCAGCTAATTTGTGTATTTATAGTGGAGATGGCGTTTCACCATGTTGGCCAGGCTGGTCTCGAACTCCTGACCTCAAATGATCTGCCTGCCTCGGCCTCCCAAAGTGCTGGGATTACATGCGTGAGCCACTGCGCCCGGCCTCTATGCGTTACTTTGGAGAAGTCACGTTCCTCTTTACACACCCATGTGTCCAAATGTGAAGTCCATTCCATCTCCATTTAGTTCCAGTTTTTATTTCAACATGCTGCAGCTTCCAGAATAAGGAGTAGCTGGAGAAGATCCAGAGTGTGGCATGCAGAAAGCCCCTCCACCAGTGCCAGGCACTGAGGCCCCAGGGAACTCCTGACCTCCGCTCCTTTATGCAGAGTTGATGCCAGGCCTGCATCCAGGCCTGACTGGGTGATGCTGGGGAGGCAGTAGAGACAGAGACAGCCCTACCCCCATGGGGCCCACAGTCCAGTTGAGGAGGCAGGTTAGTCACCAGACCTTGACTGCCCAGAGTGGTCGGGGCTGGGATGGGGGAGGCCAGGGGGCCTGTGGGAGCCCAGAGTAAGTGCCTGCCCTGGCCGGAGAGTGGTGAGTATCAGGGAGGGCTTCCTGGAGGAGGGGATACATGGATCTGAAGAATGACTCGAGAAAGATCATGGGGAAGAGTGTTCCTGCAGGGGGAATAGCATGTTGGGTGGCTGAGAGGGTAGCAGGAGGGATTGGAGGAGACCAGGGTTTTTGATGATGATTTCAGCACAGAGTGCTGGGGCTGTGGGGGAGGTGGGGGAACTGATTTCTCACCTCAGGGAGGGGCAGGACTTTGGAGGAGAGAGGAGAGCAAACATTCCAGGTGGGGAAACACCTGTTACAAGCCATAAGAGGGAGTGTATGGCGCTGGAGGCCCAGCAAGGCCAGTGTGGTTTAGCACAGATCCTTGCTGTGGACACAGAGTTGGGAGTCCTTGGCAGACAGACAGCAGATTCTGCAGCTCTGTGAGTGACCAGGCTCACCTGGGAGAGAGGGTGAGAAGAGGACCTGGTTTCTAGCATGTGGAGGTGGGGTGGGGGAGAAGGCAGAGCAAGGGAGACTGAGGGTGGGGACCCAGGAGGTGGAACACCGCCACCACCAGGAAGCTGGAGGAGGGGCTCTCAGCCAACTCCCCACCAGAATTTGTATTGTATAATTCTAAAAACGATGTCTGGTTAACATTTATTTTTATGTTCAAATGTATCTTTTTAGAATATTGTGCCAGTCTTGAAGATCACTGGAGATACTTCTACCTTCACCTACAATTTTCTTTCTTTCTTTTTTTTTTTTTTTGAGACAAGGTCTCACTCTCTTGCCCAGGCTGGAGTGCAGTGGCACGATCTCAGCTCCCTGCAACCTCAACCTCCCAAGCTCCAGTGATCCTCTCACTTTAGCCTCCCAAGTAGCTGGGACTACAGGCGCATGCCACCAGACTGGGCTAATTTTTGTATTTTTTGTAGAGACGGGGTTTCACCATGTTGACCAGGCTGGTCTGGAACTCCTGGACACAAGTGATCCGCCCGCCTTGGCCTCCCAAAGTGCTGGGATTAAAGGCGTGGGCCTCCGTGCCCGGCCCTGTTTTACTCTTTTCCTGGTGCCTTTTTTTTTTTTTTTGAATTGGAGTTTCGCTCTTGTTGCCCAGGCTGGAGTGCAATGGCGCGATCTCGGCTCACCGCAACCTCTGGCTCCCAGGTTAAAGGGATTCTCCTGCTTCAGCCTCTGAGTAGCTGGGATTACAGGCATGTGACACCACACCCAGCCAATTTTGTATTTTTAATAGAGATGGGGTTTCTCCATGTTGGTCAGGCTGGTCTCAAACTCCCCATCTCAGGGATCTGCCAAACTCCCCATCTCAGGGATCTGCCGCCTTAGCCTCTCAAAGTTCTGGGATTACAGGCGTGAGCCACTGCGCCCAGCCCTTCCTGGTGTCTTTGATGAACTACATTTGAATGTAGTCCAATTTATCAATCTTTTCAGTAATGTTTGTGCTTTTTTGTGTCATTTTTAAGAACACTTTTTCTCTCTTGGGGGCATAAAGATACCCTTCTAGATTATCTGTTAAAGCTTTTATTGTTTAGCTTTTCACATTGAGATATATGATCCATCTGGAATTAATATTTGATGTGATGTCAGGTAGGTTTCGAATTTCCTTTTTCCCCGTAAAGGTATTCAATGTCTCAGTCTCATTATGGAAAAGACCACCCTTTCCTCATGGTTCTGTAATACCATCCTTGGCATCAACCAGAAGTGGGTTCTTATTTTGGGCTGACTAATCTCTTCCATTGGTCTCTGTTCATGTTTGGGTAATTCTACACTGTCCTAATTACCATAGCTCCCTAGTAAGTTTGATATCAGGTAGAGTAAGTCCTCTTATTTAGTTTTTGTTTTTTCGGAGTCTTGCTCTGTCACCCAGGCTGGAGTGCAGTGGCGTGATTTCGGCTCAGTGCAACCTCTGCTTCCTGGGTTCAAGCGATTCTCATGCCCTAGCCTCCCAGGTAGCTTGCATTACAGGCACCTGCCAGCATGCCTGGATAATTTTTGTATTTTTAGTAGAGATGGGGTTTCACCATGTTGGCTAAGCTGGTCTTGAACTCCTGACCCCAAGTGATCCACCCACCTTGGCCTCCTCAAGTGCTGGGATTACAGGCATGAGCCACTGTGCCTGGCTGCTATTTTATGTATGATTTTTACATCCAAGTTTGGTAGTGAGACTGGCCTGTAATTTTCGTTTCTTATATTGTCTTAGGCAGGTTTTGGCAATTAAGTTTCTGCCTGCCTTATAAAACTGTGCTTTTTCTATACCATAAAAGAGTTTATGTGAGATTGGCATTATTTCTTCCTTAGATATTTGGTAAATTTCACTAGTGGGTTATCATAAACATTGGAGGGAAGATACTTAATTTTAGACTTGATTTCTTTAATCATTTTAGCATTATTCATATTTATTGTTTCTCCTTGTGTCCATTTTGGCAAGTTGTATTTATTTTTCTTTCTTTTTTTTGAGGTGGAGTCTCGCTCTGTTGCCCAGGCTGGAGTGCAGTGGTGCAATCTCGGCTCACTGCAATGTCTACCTCCTGGGTTCAAGCGATTCTCCTGTCTCAGCCTTCCAAGTAGCTGGGATTACAGGCGCCTGCCAACACGCCCGGCTAATTTTTTGTATTTTTAGTAGAGATGGGGTTTTGCCGTGTTGGCCAGGTTGGTCTTGAACTCCTGACCTTAGGTGATCCGCCCACCTCGGCCTCCCAAAGTGCAGGGATTACAGGAGTGAGCCACCGCACCTGGCCTATTTTTCTAAGGAATGTGTTCACTAATCTTCAAACTTTTGACATAAAATTGTTGCTGGTTTTTTTTTCTTTTTTCTTCCTGTCAAGCTGTTCTTTATTTCAGGGAGAGGGCAGGGGAGGGGGCTCAGTCTTTCTAGGCAGCAGCTTTCCTCATGGTGGCCAGCACCTTGCTCAGCTCCTTCCGCTTCCTCTTGGTGCGGATGTGCGTCCCCATCCTTTTCTTGATGAACTTGAGGGACCGTTTGTCCTTGGGGACCTTCAGCAACTCCATGGCGAGCCGCTTGTACGAGACGAAGCTACACACCTCCCGGATCATGTCCCGCACAAACCTGGTGTGTTTGGTCAGACGTCCGGGGCGGCAGCTGTGCCTGGGCTTGCTCACGTCCTTGGTCACCTTGGGGCCCACGGCCACAGGGTCGCGCAGAGCCATGGCTGCTGCTCTCCAATGGCAGCCGTGGCGGAAGCGCTGGTATTCTTTAAGTTTATTTTTATTGAAAAATTTTCGGCCGGTCGCGGTGGCTCATGCCTGTAATCCCAGCACCTTGGGAGGCCGAGGCGGGCGGATGGAGACCATCCTGGCTAACACGGTGAAACCCGTCTCTAAAAATGCAAAAAAAATTAGCCGGGCGTGGTGGCGGCCGGCGCCTGTAGTCCCAGCTACTCGGGAGGCTGAGGCAGGAGAATGGCGTGAACCCCGAGAGGTGGAGCTTGCAGTGAGCCGAGATCGCGCCACCGCACTCCAGCCTGGGCGACAGAGCGAGACTCCGTCTCAAAAAAAAAAAAAAGAAAAAAAGAAAAACTTTCATTGTCTACCCCCCTGGTGATGCAAGCTTGGAGAAAATGTGTTCACATAATTAAATAGATGGGAATCCAAAGAATATCAGTATAGCAATGTCCCTTAATTCTTTTAACTCCTTCTAAGCTATATGCCAAAAATCAATGGTCACCTATCTTCAAAATATAGTTGAATGACTCCTCAGCTGGCAATTGCTCTAGGTCCTCTTCTAGTTTTGTTGACTGCAAAGTATTGAAAACAAAACATTGAAAAGCAAAGACTTGAAGGCGGATTTATTACCCAGTCAATTGAATTCCTCCTAACACCACTATTAATGTTCTAGATGTCTCTATTTGGTCACCAGAGGATTTCAGCACTGAGAGCATGTACTGAAAATGGAAGAGAGGTAGGATTTTTTTTTTTAAGTGGGAACAAACAAATGAACAAAAAAGTGAGTAAAAAGTGGGGCCAGGCATGGTGGCTCACTCCAGTAACCCCAGCATTTTGGGAGGCTGAGGCAGGAGAATCACTTGGGCCCAGGAGTTCAAGACCAGCCTGGGCAACATAGTGAGACACTGTCTTTACAAAAAAAAAAAAAAATTAGCCAGGTGTGGTGGCACGTACCTGTGATTCCAGCTACTCAAGAGGCTGAGGTGGGAGGATTGCTTGAGCTTGGGAAGTTGAGGCTTCAGTGAGCCAAGATTGAGCCACTGCATTCCAGCCTGGGCAACAGAGCAAGACCCTTTCTGGCAAAAAAAAAAAAAAAAAGAAAAAGAGAAAGTCTGGGCACAGTGGCTCACGCCTGTAATCCCAGCACTTTGGGAGGCTGAGGCAGGCAGATCACTGGAGGTCAGGAGTTTGAGACCAGCCTGGGCAACATGGTGAAAACCCATCTCTACTAAACATACAAATATTAGCCAGGAGTGGTTGTGTGCGCCTGTAATCCCAGCTACTTGGGAGGCTGAGGCGGGAAAATCACTTGAACCTGGGAGGCGGAGGTTGCAGTGAGCTGAGATGGGGCCACTGTGCTCCATCCTGGGCGACAGAGCAAGACTCTGTCTCAAAAAAAAAAAAAAAAAAAAAAAAAAAGAAAGGAAAGAAAAAGGAAAAAGGAAAGAAAAAGAAAAAGTGAGTGATGGGTGAAAAGTGAAACAGGATATGGGTAAATCATTCCTATACAACTGGGGCATTTTCAGGCAGGTCTCCTCGGGGAACTGTTCAATTGAAAGGTGAGGATTTGGGCATTAATTTCCTTTATTTATTTATTTATTTATTTATTTATTTATTTATTTATTTTGAGACGGAGTCTCACTCTGTCGCCCAGGCTTGGCGTGCAGTGGCGCCATCTTGGCTCACTGCAACCTCTGTCACCTGGGTTCAAATGATTCTCCCGCCATCAAGCCCAGCTAATTTTTGTATTTTTTAGTAGAGACAAGGTTTCACCAATTCAGTCAGGCTGGTCTTGAACTCCTGACCTCATGATCCACCCGCCTCGACCTCCCAAAGTGCTGGGATTACAGATGTGAGCCACCACGCCCGGCAATTTCCTTTAACTTATCTCTGTATCCATCTCTCCCATGGAAAATGTTCACGGACCCTTCCAGGTGTACATACCTAGACTAAGGAGCAGTCACCACCCTGAAGAGTAGCTGATGTTTTCTGTGTTACACTCTCTTGCCTATTCTGACGTGCAATAATAAAGGAGTTATTTTACAGCAGTTACTACCACAACCTAGAGTGTCTCGGACTGTGCGTTCTGCTGGATGCTTGGTCCTACGTAGCTACGTATTGTCAGCACAGACTTAATTATATATAATCATTACAAACTCAACAGCAATGGCATGGACTGTATGCCATGCCAGGGGCTGTGCCAAGTGTTTGAGAGGCATTGCCTTAGTTAATTCCCATTTTACACGTGAGGAAACCGAGGCTTGGGAGTGTTCCGTCACTTTCCCACGGCCAGCCAGTCAGTAACTCCCAGGCTTTGGGCTCAAACCTGGGTCTCTCTGAATCCAGAGCTGGTACCACACTGCCTGGAGACTCTAGACACTCAGAACTGTGAAATTTTAATCTTGGGACCCCATTAGAGACCCTCTGACCCATGCCCTTTGTTTTACAAAAGAAGTTTTAGGGCCAGAGTCAGGAAGTGACTCGCGCAAAGTCATCTGCCCAACAGGTGCAAGGTGCAAGCGGAAACGGGAGGCCTGGGTGGGAACCTCTCCCTGTTGACATTCTGATATCTAGGACTTTGGCACAATTTATTTTGAAGATAAAGAAGTACCTAAGGCAACCAAGGTATGTGCCAAGTTGAATGAGTCCCTTAATCTCTTGAGAAATTTCTCTAGGAGACAGGGGTATGGCTGAGATGACCTTGAGGAAACCTAAACCAGAGGCTCCAATAGTTTGCATTCTCTTCCAGCACCTGAATGAGCAGGGGCCGGACAATGTCACAGGATCAGTAGACATTCCAGGAAAGTAAAAGTTATCAGTTTGTGTCCTGACCACAGGTACAGACTGACTGCTGTTCCAGGCCTTGGAACGAATCTTAACCCTGGACCAAGAATGAACCCTAACTGCAACCACAGAGGGAGCAGGGAGAGCCTGGGCAAAGACTAAGAGAAAGACAATATATAGTATGTTGTGGGAGCCTGAGCTGTTTAGGACAGAAGGATTTCTAACTCCTGTTGCCACATAAAAGCTACTCCAGGGCCGGGAGCGGTGGCTCATGCCTGTAATCCCAGCACTTGGGGAGGCTGAGGTGGGTGGACCGCTTTAGTCCAGGAGTTTGAGACCAGCTTAATCAACAAGGTGAAACCCCATCTGTACTAAAAATACAAAATTAGTTTGGCGTGGTGGCACCTGCCTGTAATCCCAGCTACTGGGAGGCTGAGGCAGGAGAATTGCTTGAACCCGGGAGGTGGAAGTTGCAGTGAGCCGAGGTGGCACCATTGCACTCCAGCCTGGGCAACAAGAGCGAAACTCCATCTTAGAAATAAATAAATAAATAAATAGGCCAGGCACAGTGGCTCATGCCTGTAATCACAGTGCTTTGGAAGGCCGAGATGAAAAGGCAGGAGAATCGCTTGAACCCGGGAGGCAGAGGTTGTAGTGAGCCGAGATTGCACCACTGCACTCCAGCCTGGGCAACAAAAGCAAGACTCTGTTTCAAAACAAACAAACAAACAAACAAACAAACAAACGAAAAAAAACAGGGGTCTGGGCGCGGTGGCTCACGCCTGTAATCCCAGCACTTTGGGATCAGCTCACTGCAACCTCCACCTCCTGGGTTCAGGGGATCCTTTGTCTCAGCCTCCCGAGTAGCCGGGACTACAGGCATGCACCATCACACTGGGCTGATTTTTGTATTTTTAGTAGAGACAGGGTTTCACCGTGTTGGCCAGGCTGGTCTCGAACTCGTGGCTTCAAATGATCTGCCCACCTTGGCCTCCCAAAGTGGTGGGATTACAGGCGTGAACCGCTGCACCCGGCCGATGGTGTTATTATTTTTCTATTGCTGCCATTAACAAATTTCCACAAACTTAGTGGTGTAAATCAACACAGATTTATTATCTTACAGTTCTGGAGGTCAGAAGTCTGAAGCTAACCTTAACGGGCTAAAGTCAAGTGTCAGCAGGGCTGGATCCTTCTGGAGGTTTCAGTGGAGAATCTGTCACTTTTTTCTCCCAGCCTCTGGAGGCTGCCTCCATGCCGTGGCTTCTGACTGCATCACTCCAGTCTCTGCTTCAGTGGTCACATCTTCTCTGACTCTGACCTTTCTTTCTTTTTTTTTTTTTTTGAGATGCAGTCTTGCTCTGTCACCCAGGCTGGAATGCAATAGCACAATCTTGGCTCACTGCAGCCTCCACCTCCCAGGTTCAAGTGATCCTTGTGCCTCAGCCATTTGAGTAGCTGGGACTACAGGCACACGCCACCACACTGGCTAATTTCTGTATTTTTAGTAGAGACAGGGTTTTACCATGTTGGCCAGGCTGGTCTCGAACTCCTGACCTCAGGTGATCCGCCCACCTTCGCCTTACAAAGTGCTGGGATTACAGGCGTGAGTCACCGTGCCCAGCCTGACTGTGACCTTTCTGCTCTCCTGTTAGAAGGATGCTTGTGATTACCTTGGGTCCACTAGCTAATCCAGAATGACCCTTCCATCTCAAGATCCTTAATCACTTCCGCAAAACCTCATTTACCATGTCGGGGAATGTGTTCGCAGGTTCTGAGCATTAGGGTGTGGACATCTTCGGGCGGGGTGGGGTGGCGTTATTCAGCCTACTATGCCTGGATCTAGGAGATTTAGGGACCTCAGTCTTGTATAGAATTCCTCCAAGAAGCAGACTTTGGGAAACCTTTGGGGAGAACTCCCTTTAGTGCTCATTTTCTTCCTCTCCCACAGTTGCTCTGTTTAGCTTCCCTCCCTCCCTCCCTCCCTCCCTCCCTCCCTCCTTTCTTTCTTTCTTTCTTTCTTTCTTTCTTTCTTTCTTTCTTTCTTTCTTTCTTTCTTTCTTTCTTTCTTTCTCTCTGTCTCTCTCTCTTTTCTTTCTTCTTTCCTTCCTTTGTTTTTTTGGAGTCTCACTCTGTCGCCCAGGCTGGAGTACAGTAGCGTGATCTCAGCTTACTGCAACCTCTGCCTCCCAGGTTCAAGTGATCCTCCTGCTCAGCCCCCCTAGTAGCTGGGATTACAGGCACACGCCACCATGCCCGGCTAATTTTTGTATTTTTAGTAGAGACAGGGTTTTGCCACGTTGGCTAGGCTGGTCTCAAACTCCTGACCTCAGGTGATCCACCCACCTCGGCCTCCCAAAGTGCTGGGATTACAGGTGTGAGCCACCACGCCTGGACATTTATCACTATGTCTAGTTAAATCAATGTTGAATGCTTGCATGACGATGACTCTGCAATAGATAAGAGTCCACAGTTAGGCCGTGTAGTGAACTATTCAGTGATGGCATTTCCTTTCTCATACGGGCTTGTTTATCCTGAAGTCAATCACTGTCTTGTCTTTCATTTACTTACTCTTCCAAGCACTTGTTAGTATTTTATCCCTAGATTCTGACATAGCCATGATCCAACATGTCAGGGAATCAGCATCTTTTTTTTTTTTTTTTTTTTTTGAGAGGGAGTCTCACTCTGTCGCCCAGGCTGGAGTGCAGTGGCATGATCTTGGTTCACTGCAACCTCCACCTCCCAGGTTCAACCGATTCCCCTGGCTCAGCCTCCTGAGTAGCTGGGATTACAGGCATCCACCACCATGCCTGACTAATTTTTGTATTTTTAGTAGAGACAGGGTTTCACCATGTTGGCCAGGGTTGTCTCAAACTCCTGACCTCAAGTGATCCACCTGTCTTGGCCTCCCAAAATGCTGGGATTACAGGTGTGAGCCACAGTGCTCTGCCAACATCTTGATACTCAAAAGAACCGAACCTCACAGGCCACTTTTGAAGGACACTAAGGAACCAACTCATTATTGTGAAAACTAGTAAGTAAAGGAAAGAATCAGGCATGTCTCTTGCTTTTTTTTTCTTTCTTTCTTTTCGTTTTGTGACAGGGTCTCACTCTGTCCACCCAGGCTGGAGTGCAGTGGCGCAATCATGGCTCACTGCAGCCTCAACCTCCCAGGCTCAAGTGATTCTCATGCCTCCGCCTCTGTAGTATCTGGGACTACAGGTGCTCACCATCATACCTGGCTAATTTTTAATATTTTTTGTAGAGACAGAGTCTTGCCATGTTGGTCGGGCTGGTCTTGAACTCCTGGGCCCAAGCAATCTGCCCGGCTCAGCCTCCCAAAGTTCTGAGATTACAGGCATGAGCCACCATGCCCAGTTGTCTCTTGCCTTCTCTATAAAAACTGTACATTAGGACCCCATTTTTCCCAAGCCGAAGATCTCAGTAGTTAAAGAATTTTTTTTTTTTTTTTTTTTTTTTTTTGAGACAGAGTCTTGCTCTTTCGCCCAGGCTGGAGTGCAGTGGCGCGATCTTGGCTCACTGCAAGCTCCGCCTCCTGGGTTCACGCCATTCTCGCGCCTCAGCCTCCTGAGTAGCTGGGACTACAGGCGTCCACCACCATGCCCGGCTAAATTTTTTTTGTATTTTTAGTAGAGATGGGGTTTCACCGTGGTAGCCAGGATGGTTTCGATCTCCTGACTTCATAATCCGCCCACCTCGGCCTCCCAAAGTGCTGGGATTACAGGCGTGAGCCACCACGCCGGCCAGTAGTTAAAGATATTAACATAATTATGTGTCTGCTTTTTCCTGTCTGTATCATCTATATCCATTTCTATATTCATATCACGTCTATACTATATTTATATCATCTATATTTGAATCATCTATTTACCATTTATGTCTATATAATTTATCTTTATATCTATATTATCTATCTAAATAATCATTTTTTTTTCAGATGGAGTCTCGCTCTGTCACCCAGGGTGGAATGCAGTCGTTTGATCTCAGCTCACTGCAGCCTCCGCCTCCTGGGTTCAAGTGATTCTCCTGCCTCAGCCTCCTGAGTAGCTGGGACTACAGGCATGTGCCACCACACCAGGCTAATTTTTGTTTTTGTTTTGTTTTTTGTTTTTTTTTGAGATGGAGTCTCTCTCTGTCACCCAGGCTGGAGTGCAGTGGTGCGATCTCGGCTCACTACAAGCTCCACCTCCCAGGTTAAAGCGATTCTCCTGCCTCAGCCTCCCGAGTAGCTGGGACTACAGGCACCTGCCACCACGCCCAGCTATTTTTTAAAAATATTTTTAGTAGAGACGGGGTTTCACTGTGTTAGCCAGGATGATCTGGATCTCCTGACCTCGTGATGTGCCCGCCTCCGCCTCCCAAAGTGCTGGGATTACGGGTGTGAGCCACTGCGCCCAGCCGATAATTTTTGTATTTTTTGTGGAGACGGGGTTTCTCCATGTTGGCCAGGCTGGTCTCAAACTCCTGACCTCAGGTGATCTGCCTGCCTCGGCCTCTCAAAGTTCTGGGATTACAGGCGTGAGCCACCAGGCCCAGCCCTAAATCATCTTTCTATTGTATAAGTATACATCATTTATCTGTACATCTATGCTAATATATTCATATTCTATATTTATATCTAATATTTCAGAATAACCTACCCCTGTTATACTGCTGAGGGACTCATGCACAACCACTCTTTTTCATTCTCCAAAGACTTCAGGTTCCAGATTTCCAGTCATCCCAGACTTTTAACTGCCCTTTACCTACAAACACACACAGAAGTACCCATGCAGATATAACTCGCACAGGGGCAACCCCTCACCCCCCATCAGGCTAAATGTGCCTTTGGTCTCCTCCAGTGAGAACAGGTAACATCCCAGGGCTCTCCAGCCCTCTCCAGCCCAGCACCCTGCCCCTTATCCACTCTCCCATTCTTGCGCCCCCTCCAAGGATCAGACCCTCCAGGCCTCCAGGAGGCGCTGTGAGCTGTAGCTGAGGTGGGAAGGTTTAGGAATTGCGGGAGCAGGGAGACAGAAATGGCTTGAGTGGAAGAGAGAATAATAATATGATTCTATTTAATTCTCAGAAATCCCGAGAGAAATATGATTCCCACTTTACAGATAAGGAAACTGAGGCTCAGGAAAATGACACAATTGCTTAAGTTCACACAGCTCGGAAGCAAATGAACTAGGACTGAACTTACATGTTGTGGCAACAAAGCCCTTTCTCTCTCTCTTTTTTTTTTTTGAGAGGAAGTTTTGCTTTTGTTTCCCAGGCTGGAGTGCAATGGCCCAATCTCAGCTCACTGCAACCTCCACCTCCCGGGTTCAAAGAGTCTCCTGCCTCAGCTTCCCGAGTAGCTGGGATTACAGTAGTGTGCCACCACACCTGGCTAATTTTGTGTTTTTAGTAGAGTTGGGGTTTTTACATGTTGGTCAGGCTGGTCTTGAACTCCCGACCTCAGGTGATCTGCCTGCCTCGGCCTCCCAAAGTGCTGGGATTACAGGCGTGAGCCACCGCACCCAGTCAGCCCTTTCTCTCAAGCACTGACAATACATTGCTCTGGGTTAATGTGTGTGGAGGTGGGTGGTGCTTTCAGTTGATCAAAAATATCTGTGTGAAAGTAATGCTGATATCGATAACAACAATAGCTAATATTTGTTAAGGGCGTCCTATAAGGACTTGTGTTCAGCTCTTTGCCTACACGTCTTGCTAAATCTTCACATACCACTGAGAAGTAGGTAACATTTTCTTTTTCTAAAATTTTTAAATTTTTTCCTTGTATCCACAAATTATTTTCATTTCACTTAATTAATTAATTTATTTCATTTCTTTTTTTGATACGGAGTCTGACTCTGTCACCCAGGTTGGTTTGCAGTGGCGTGATCTCGGCTCACTGCAACCTCTGCCTCCTAGGTTCAAGTGATTCTCTTGCTTCGGCCTCCTGAGTAGCTGGGATTAGCAGCACCATGCTGGCTAATTTTTGTATTTTTAGTAGAGATGGGGTTTCACCTTGTTGACCAGGCTGGTCTTGAACTGACCTCTTCTCCTCCCCTCCCCTTACCTCTCCTCCCTCTTTTCTCTTTCTTTTCTTTTCTTTGTTTCTCTTTCTTTCTTTCTTTCTTTCTTTCTCTTTCTTTCTTTTTCTTCCTTCCTTTCTTTCTCTTTTTCTTTCTTTCTTCCTCTCTCCTTCCTTCTTTCTTTCCTTCCTTCCTTCTTTCCTTTCTTTTCTTTTCTTTCTTTCTTTCTCCTCTCCCTCCCCTCTCCTCCCCTCCCCTCCCCTCCCCTCCCAGCCCTTTCCTTCCCCACTGCCCCCTTATCCTCTTTCACAGGGTCTCACTCCATCACCACAATCACAGGCTCACTGCAGCCTCTAACTCCTGGGCTCAAGCAGTCCTCCTGCCTTAGCCTCCTGAGTAGCTGGAATTAAGGTGCACCACCACACTTGGCTAATTAAAAAACTTTTTTTTTTTTTTTTTTTTTAAGAGAGGGATTCTCACTATGTTGCCCAGGCTGGTCTTGAACTCCTGGCCTCAAGTGATCCTCCTGTCTTGGGCTCCCAAAGTGCTGGGATTACAAGCATGAGCCACCTTGCTTGGCCAATCTTTTCCTTTGTTTGGTGAGATGCCCCATGGTTCTGGTGTGCATTCTCCCTCATTGAAATGGGTCAGTGAACCTGGCTTTGTTAGACTACAAGTTAGTTCCTGGTCACCTTAGATTGATGGGTGAAGGGGTTGAGAGTGTGTTACCTCAAATTTGCCACCCCAGCATAAGCATTATTTTGAGCTGAAGACAGTTGAGAAAAAGCAGACACATGAAAGAACTCTGCCCTCCCCTTCTCTACCAAGAAGGGCAGGATGATTTCTTAATAGCCAATACAATCTCTAGACTCTTATCAGCCCACAGATGGCAGGAGGGGAATCTATATAACAAACCTTATGAGCCAGCCCTTATCTTCCACTAGTTGCCCAATATATTTATCTTCCCACAATTTGCTGTGCCCGGAAGCTCAAAAGTTCTTTTCCTGTGTCTTGTCATTCTCTACAAATTTATTGTTCTTTTTTTTTTTTTTTTTTTTTTTTGTTGTTGTTGTTGGTGTTGGTGTTGATCTGGAGTCCAACTCTGTCACCCAGGCTGGAGTGCAGTGTCATGATCTTGGTTCACTGTAAACTCCGCCTCCTGGGTTCAAGCGATTCTCCTGCCTCAGCCTCCCAAACAAATTTATTGTTCTTTATTAAGATGCTATGGCCAGTCACGGTGGCTCACGCCTGTAATCCCAGCACTTTGGGAGGCCAAGACGGGCAGATCACCTGAGGTCGGGAGTTCGAGACCAGCCTGGCCAACGTGGAGAAACCCTGTCTCTACTAAAAAATACAAAATTAGCCAGGCATGGTGGCACATGCCTGTAATCCCAGTTACTCGGGAGGCTGAGGCAGGAGAATCACTTGAACCCAGGAGGCGGAGGTTGCGGTGAGCCGAGATCGTGCCATTGCAGTCCAGCCTGGGCAAAAAGAGCGAAACTCCATCTCAAAAAGAAAAAAAAAAAAGATGCTACGTAAGCTCCAAGTTCATTGGCAGAAGTAGGGCCACGTGCAGTAAAGCCTTAACTCTGCTGGCATGGGTCCTTAAGTATTGAACATTCCAAAGAAAAAAACTGGCCCTTGACCACTCCTTAAGCTCTAAGCCTTTGGAATATCCTGCCTGATAACAGTATCTGTACACATCTGGGCCTTGGGTGGGACAGAGGGATAGTTTATGCTAACACCATGACTCATGGTGTCTGTTTTTGCATACCTGGGGCTTTGGGCAACACTGTGTTAGTTTGACCTCTGTGGGCTGGAGACTGAGGAGTTGTCACTTGGGTGCTCTCTGCCTATGTAACTGACCCCCAGTGAACACCTTGGACACCAGAGCTTGGGTGAGTTTTCCTGGTTGGAAGTGCTCCATGCTTGTCATGGCTTCTTGCTGGGGAATAAAGCCCTCTCCACACAAGTCCACTGAAAGAGGACAGGTGGCAGCTCATGGGATCTCCCTCAGACTCCGCCCTGTGAGCCTTTTTTTTTTTTTTTTTTTTTTTTTTGCTGATCTTTTTTTTTCTGTTGCCCAGGCTGGAGTGCAGTGGCATGATCTTGGCTCACTGCAACCTTTGCCTCCCAGGTTCAAGTGATCCTCCTGCCTCAGCTTCTTGAGTAACTGGGATAACAGGCACCTGCCACCATGCCTGGCTAATTTTTGTATTTTTAGTAGAGATGGGGTTTTATCATGTTGGTCAGGTTGGTCTCAAACTCCTAGCCTCAAGCGATCTGCCCACCTCGGCCTCCCAAAGTGCTGGGATTACAGGCATGAGCTAACACGCCTGGCCCAAAGGTTCTTTATGAACCTTAATGTGGCCCTTAATGAGAACTTGATTTCCTCTGAACCTGTTTATCTCCCATGCATCTTGGTAAGTGGTATTACCATACCCTGATTGCTAGAATTAGAGATCTAGGAGTCATTCTTTTTATTTTATTCGAGTCTTTTTTTTTTTTTTTTTTTTTTGAGACAAGAGTCTCACTTTTGTCATCCAGGCTGGAGTGCAGTGGTGCAATCTCAGCTCACTGCAACATCTGCTTCCTGGGTTCAAGCAATTCTTGTGTCTCAGCCTCCCAAGTAGCTGGGACTGCAGGCACATGCCACCATGCCTGGCTGATTTTTGTATTTTTAGTAGAGATGGGGTTTCGCTATGTTGGCCAGGCTGGTCTTGAACTCCTGGGCTCAGGCGATCCTCCTGCCTTGGCCTCCCAAAGTGCTGGGATTAGAGGTGTGAGCCACCACGCCCAGCCTGTTTCTAACTTTATTATGAAAGTGACATTCAGATATCTACAAAAGTAGGGAGAAGAATGCAATAAACTCCTATCACCTAGTTTCACCAATTATCAGCATTCTCCTCAGCTTATTTTATGTATTCCTGTTTTCCGAAGCATTTTAAACAATCCCAGATATTTGCCCCATAACTATCTCAGTATGCATTGCTTAATGATAAAAAGTTTAGCAGTACCATCATGCCATTATTCCAGCTAGCAAAAATAATATTCCTTTAATTTCATCTAACACTCAGTCCATATTCATACTTCTCCAATGATCTCAGAAAAGTCATTTTTGGTTACTTTGTTCAAAACAGAATGCAAAAAAGCCCTGAGACTGTGTTTGGTTGTTATATTCCCAAAGTCACTAAAAAAAACTTTATCAAGGTATAATTGACATAAAACAAATGGCTCATATTTATTTATTTATTTATTTTGATTCTCTCACATCAGCCTCCCAAGTAGCTGGGACTACAGGCATGTACACCATGCCTCGCTAGTTTTTTTGTTTGTTTGGTTTTTTTAGAGACAGGGTTTTGCCATGTTGCTCAGGCTGGTCTCAAAACTCCTGGACTCCAGCAATCCTCCCCACTTGGCCTCCCAAAGTGCTGGGATTACAGGTGTGAGCCACCACGCCCTTCCACTGCTCATATTTAAATGAGCATTTCTGTAATCTCAACATTTCCTTGTATTTTTTTGTAATCTCTCCCACCCACTTACACTCCCATCCCTATTTTTCAAGCAACCTCTGATTTGTTCTCTATTGCTATAGATTAGTTTGTATTTTCTTGAGTCTTATATAAACGGAATCATATAGTATGTTCCTTTTTGGGGGGAGGAGTCCAACATAATTATTCTGAGATTGATTCATGTTGCTGTATGTATCAATAGTACATTCCTTTTGATTGCCAAGTAGTATTCCATTGTACAGATGTACCACAGTTTGTTTATCCATTTACCTGTTGATGAACATTTGGGGTGTTTTCAATTTTTGGCTATTAAAAATGCAGCTTCTATGAACACTTGTATACAAGTTTTTTTTTGTATATTTATTTTTGAGACAGAGTCTCGCTCTGTTGCCCAGGCTGGAGTGCAGTAGTGTGATCTTGGCTCACTGCAAGCTCCACCTCCCGGGTTCATGCCATTCTCCTGCCTCAGCCTCCCTAGTAGCTGGGACTACAGGCTCCCACCACCACGCCTGGCTAATTTTTTTTTTGTATTTTTAGTAGAGACAGGGTTTCACCATGTTAGCCAGGATGGTCTTGATCTCCTGACCTCGTGATCCACCCACCTCGGCCTCCCAAAGTGCTGGGATTACAGGTGTGAGCCATTGCGCCCAGACTACAAGTTTTTGTTGTTGTTGTTGTTTGAGACAGGGTCTTGCTCTGTCACCCCAGGAGGAGTGCAGTGGTGCAATGACAGCTCACTGCAGCCTTGATCTCCCAGACTCAAGTGATCCTCCTACCTCAGCTTCTTGAGTAGCTGGAACTACAGGCGGGCGCCACCATACCTGGCTAATTTTTAAATTTTCTGTAGAGATGAGGGCTTTGCCATGTTGCCCAGGATGGTCTCTTGAGCTCAAGCGATCCACTCGCCTCATCCTCCCAAAGTGTTGGGGTTATAGGCATGAGCCACCTTGCCCTGCCACAAGTTTTTATATGAACATATATTTTCATTTCTCTTGACTAAATAGGAGGGAAGGGGCTGGATCATAAAGGTATGTTTAACTTTTTGAGCAACTGCCATACTGTTTTCCAAAAATGGTTGTACCATTCATTGTACATTTCCACCGGCAGTGCATGAGAGTTCCAGTTCCTCCCTCTCCTGGCCAACATTTGATATGACCAGTCGTTTGGATAGTTATGTAGTGGTATCTCATTGTGGCTTAAATTTGAATTTCCCTAATTACTTGTGATATTGAGCATTTTTACATGTGCTTTTTGCTATCTGTGTGTCTTGTTTGGTGTCTGTCAAATCTTTAATTTCCTATCTTTTGTCCTGGAATGTGCCATTCCAGTTGGAATAAGGGAACCCATTTCAATGGCTGAAATGAGCCATCTGAATTTTTTTACCTCTATACCAGCCGTTACAGGGCTTTTCAAAGATGCTAGTGCTTCTGATGCCAGTATATTTCTCAATGTCATTGTGAAAGGCATGTTTCCTTAGGAGATATTGTTAGGGTGTGTATGATCTTCTAAACTTAACAGGTACTCTCCAACATTTATTATATCAGTCTTTGTTTATTTGTTTGTTTTGAGATGGAGTCTTGCTCTGTTGCCCAGGCTGGAGTGCAGTGGTGCGATCTCAGCTCGTTGCAACCTCCACCTCCCAGGTTCAAGTGATTTTCCTGCCTCAGCCTCCTGAGTAGCTGGGATTACAGGCACGCGCCACCATGCCTGGCTAATTTTGTATTTTTAGTAGAGATGGGGCTTCTCCATATTGGCCAGGCTGGTCTCGAACTCTTGACCTCAGGTGATCCACCCACCTCAGCCTCCCAAAGTGCTGGGATCACAGGCGTAAGCCACCATGCCTGGCCTCAGTCTTTGGATTTCTTCCTCTACATTACATCAACAAATCTATGATATCAACTATATATTATATCAACAAAACTAAGCTTCATTTAGTTTAGTCCAACAGAGCCAATAATTTGAACAACTTCTAGAAAGTTGATCTAGCAATATATCTAGGATCTCTGTTAGTGTTTCCATACCGATACACATAGCCTTACAAAGCACTATGTGACAAATTATCTGGTTTAGCATGTGCAGAATCCTTTCCCACTTATAATCAGCTTTCTTAAAAGGGTATAATTTACATTCCATGAAATCCACAGGTTTACAGTTCAGTCAATTATGACAAAGGCATACACCCATGTAACCCAAATTTCTCTCAAGACACAGAACGTGTTCATCACCATAGAAGCATTCATCATGCCTTTTCCCAATTCATAAGCACTTGAAAAGCAAGCACTGTTGTGATTTCTAGAACCACAGATTAGCTTTGCCTTTTCTAGAGTTTCCTGTGACTAGAATTCTATATAATACACCCTTTTTTGAATCTCACTTAGCAAAATGTTTGAGATTCACTCACGTTATTAGTGTGTTAGTAGTTCATTCCTTTTAGTAGTTTGAATTAGTAGTTCATTCCTTTTCAATAGTTGAGTAGGAGTCCATTGTATAAATAAAGCACAGTTTGAGTTTGTTTATCCATTCTCCTGTTGATGGACATCTGAGCTGTTTACAGTCTCTTGCCAATAATAGAGCTGGGATAAACATTCCTTTTTTTTTTTTCGAGACGGAGTCTCGCTCTGTCACCGAGGCTGGAGTGCAGTGGTGCAATTTCAGCTCATTGCAAGCTCCGCCTCCCGGGTTCATGTCATTTTCCTGCCTCAGCCTCCCAAGTAGCTGGGACTACAGGCGCCCACCACCACGCCGGGCTAATTTTTTGTGTTTTTAGTAGAGATTGGGTTTCACCGTGTTAGCCAGGTTGGTCTCTATCTCCTGACCTTGTGATCCACCTGCCTTGGCCTCTCAAAGTGCTGGGATTACAGGCGTGAGCCATCGCACCCGGCTGGGATGAACATTCTCTTACAAAGTTTTATGTAGACATAAGTTTTTATTTCTCTTGGATAAATACCAAAGGGAGAAATAACTGGCTCACAGAATAGATGTTACTTTCTCCCAACACTATTAGGAAAAAATTTCAAACATAAAGAAAAGTTTAAAGAATTGTATAATAAACACCCACATACTCATCACTTAGATTCTACAATGAACATTTTCCCATGTTTGTTTTGTCATATCTATCCTTCTACCCTCCCACCAAACCACCTTATTATTTATTTTATTTGTATTTCTTGCTTTGTCACCCAGGCTGGAGTGCCATGGAGTGATCACAGCTCACTGTAACCTCAAACTCCTGGCCTCAAGCAATCTTCTCATTTCAGCCTTCCAAAGCACTGCGATTACAGGCATGAGCCACTGCACCTATTTATTTATTTTGAGATTGAGTTTCGCCCTTGCTTTTTTTTTTTTTTTTTTTTTTTTTTTTGGGATGGAATCTCGCTCTGTCACCCAGGCTGGAGTGCAATGGTGCGATCTTGGCTTACTGCAGGCTCTGCCTCCTGGGTTCACGCCATTCTCCCGCCTCCGCCTCCTGAATAGCTGGGACTACAGGACCCCGCCACCACGCCCGGCTAATTTTTTTTTGTATTTTTAGTAGAGATGGGGTTTCACCGTGTTAGCCAGGTTGGTCTTGATCTCCTGACCTCGTGATCCGCCCGCCTCAACCTCCCAATGTGCTGGGATTACAGGCGTGAGCCACCGTGCCTTGCTCTTGTTGCCCAGGCTGGAGTGCAATGACGTGATCTCAGCTCACTGCAACTTCCGCCTCCCTAGTTCAAGCAATTCTCCTGTCTCAGCCTCCCGGGTAGCTGGGATTACAGGCGTGTGCCACCATGCCCGGCTAATTTTGTACTTTTAGTAGAGATGGGGTTTCACCATGTTGGTCTAGCTGGTCTCGAACTCCCGACCTCAGATGATCTGCCTGCCTTGGCCTCCCAAAGTGCTGGGATTATAGGCGTGAGCCACCGCGCCAGGCCTTTTTTCTTCAAGCGATTCTCCCATCTCAGCCTCCCGAGTAGCTGGGACAACAGGCATGCACCACCACGCCCGGCTAATTTTTGTATTTTTTGGTAGAAACGGGATTCATCTTGTTGGCCAGGCTGGTCTCGAACTCCTGACCTCAAGTGATCCTCCCACCTTGGCCTCCCAAAGTGTTGGGATTACAGGCATGAGCCACTGCACCTCGCCTATTTTTCTGATGCTTCTTGATAGAAATGGCAGACACCAGTACATTTCACCCCCAGACACTTGAATATCAATATCATTACCTAAAATTGAATCTTTATGTTTTCAAGGTAAAATTGACATAGAATAAAATGCATAAATCATAACTATATGGTTTGATGTGCTTTGAAAAATGCATGTACCTGTATAATAAAAACACCCATCAAGATAGAGCACTATCATCACCGCAAAAAGTCCCCTCATGTCCCTTCTCAGTCAGTGTCTCAGAAACAACAACTCTTTTGTCCCACCTCCCCACATAAGTTAGTTTTGTCTGTTATAGAACGTTAAATAACCAGCATTTCCTTTTCTTTTTTTTTGAGACAGAGTTTTGCTCTTGTTGCGCAGGCTGGAGTGCGGTGGTGCAACCTCGGCTCACTGCAACCTCCACCTCCTGGGTTCAAGTAATTCTCCTGCCTCAGCCTCCCGAGCAGTTGGGATTATAGGCATGTGCCACCATGCCCAGCTAATTTTTTGTATTTTTAGCAGAAATGGGGTTTCACCATTTTGGCCAGGCTGGTCTGGAACTCCTGGCCTCAGGTGATCCACCTGCCTCGGCAGCCCAAATAACCAGAATTATACCATAAGTACTCTTGTGTGCAAGACTTGCTTTACTCAGCACAATGTTTTTGAAATGTATCTATGTTGTTGCGTGATGCTAATTTTATTTTTTTTGAGACAGGGTCTTGTTCTGTTGCCCACGCTGGAGTGCAGTGGTGCAATCTCTGGCTCACTGCAGCCCTGACCTCCTGGGCTCAAGAAATCCTACCACCTCAGCTTCCCAAGTAGCTGGGTTACAGGTGCACACCATCTCACCCGGCTAGTTTTCATGTTTTTGTAGAGACAGGGTCTCCTGATGTTGCCCAGGCTGGTCTTGAAGTCCTGGGCTCAAGTGATCCTCCAAGTGCTGGGATTACAGGAGTAAGCCACCGCCTCTGGCCTGCCAAACTTTTTTGTTTGTTTGTTTTTTGAGATGGAGTCTTACTCTGTCACCCAGGCTGGAGTGCAATGGTGTGGTCTCAGCCCACTGCCACCTCCACCTCCCGGGTTCAAGCAATTCTCCCGCCTCAGCCTCCTGAGTAGCTGGGATTACAGGTGCCTGCCACCACGGCTGGCTAATTTTTGTATTTTTAGTAGAGACGGGGTTTCACTGTGTTGGCCAGGCTGGTCTCGAACTCCTGACCTCGTGTTCCACCCGCGTCGGCCTCCCAAAGTGCTGGGATTACAGGCACGAGCCACTGCGCCTGGCCTGCTAAACTTTTAAGAAATTTGCAGAAACTTTTTCTAAGCAGTTGTACGTTTTATACACCCATAGTCATGAACGAGAGTTCTGGTGATCCTTGCCAGCACTAGGTGCTGTTTGCATATTTCCATTTAGCCTTTCTTATGGGTGTGTGGTGGTATCTCAGTGTGGTTTTAATTTGTGTTTCCTGTTGGCTAATGACATTAAACACCTTTTTATAGCCTGTTGGCCATTTTTTGGTTGGGCTTTTTTTTTTTTTTTTTTTTTGGAGACGCAGTCTCACTCTGTCGCCCAGGCTGGAGTGCAGTGGCGCGATCTCGGCTCACTGCAAGCTTCGCCTCCCAGGTTCACGCCATTCTCCTGCCTCAGCCTCCCGAGTAGCTGGGACTACAGGCGTGTGCCACCATGCCCGGCTAATTTTTTGTATTTTTTTAGAAGAGACAGGGTTTCACCATGTTAGCCAGGATGGTCTCGATCTCCTGACCTCGTGATCCACCCCACCTTGGTCTCCCAAAGTGCTGGGATTACAGGTGTGAGCCACCGTGCCCGGCTGGTTGGGCTTTTTTTTTTTTTTTTTTATTGAGCCATAGGAGTTGTTTAGATATTTCAGGCACGGGTTATTTTGTGAGATATATGTGTTGTGAATATTTTCTTCTGGTCTGTGCCTGGTCTATATATCTTCTTTTCTTTTCCTTTCTTTCCTTTTTTTTTTTTTTGATGGAGTCTCTCTCTGTTGCCCATGCTGGAGTGCAGTGGCACAATGTTGGCTCACTGCAACCCCTGCCTCCTGGGTTCAAACAATTCTCCTGCCTCAGCCTCTTGAGTAGCTGGGATTACAGGCGTGTGCCACCACACCCGGCTAATGTTTATATTTTTAGTAGAGATGGGGTTTGGCCAGACAGGTCTCAAACTCCTGACCTCGGGTGATCTGCCTGCCTTGGCCTCCCAAAGTGCTGGAATCACAGGTGTGAGTCACCACGCCTGGCCGGTCCGTATATTTTCTTAATGCTGGTTTTGGATGAGCAAAAGTACTACTATTATTTATTTATTTATTTTAAATATAGAGACTGGTTCTCACTACGTTGCCCAGGCTGGTTTAGAACTCCTGGGTTCAAGCAATCCTCCCACCTTGGCCTCCTAAAGTGTTGGGATTAGAGGCATGAGCCACCGTGCCTGGCTGAAAGTATTATTTTTGACTAAGTCCAGTTTGTCAATTTTTTCCTTTATGATTAGTGATTTTTGAGTCCCATGTTAAAAAAAAAAAAAGATCTACTTCAAGGTTTTGAAAATATGTTTTTAGAAGTTCTTTAGCTTTAGTCTGTACTTTTAGATCTCTGACCTATTTCAAGTTAATTTTTGTGTATGATGTGAAGTAAAAGGCAGGGTTCGTTTTGTTTCCATGAGGCTATTTAGTCATTCTACCATTTGTTGAAAATACTGGCCAGGTGTGGTGGCTCACACCTGTAATCCCAGCACTTTGGGAGGCCAAGGTGGGTGAATCACAAGGTCAGGAGTTCGAGACCAGCCTGGCCAACATGGCGAAACCCCGTCTCTACTAAACATACAAAAATCAGCTGGGCATGGTGATGCATGCCTGTAGTCCCAGCTACTCGGGAGGGTGAGGCAGGAGAATTGCTTGAACTGGGACCCGGGAGGCAGAGTTTGCGGTAAGCCAAGATTGAGCCACTGCACTCCAGCCTGGGCTACAGAGCAAGACTCCTCAAAAAAAAAAAAAAAAAAAAAAAAGAAAAAAAAAGAAAAAGAAAATACTGTCTTTTCTCCACTGAATTATCTTAGCATCTTTGTCAGTAATCAATTGAAAGCAGGTGAGGGAGGCTGAGGCAGGAGGATCGCTTGAGTCCAAGAGTTTGAGACCAGCCTGTTAAACACAGTGAGACCCCCAACTCTAAGAAAAAAAAATTCTATTGACCACATATTTATGGACTTCCTAGTTTATTCCATTCATCTCTTTCTATCGGAATCCCAGTACACCTTGCCTTTATTACTGTAGTGTGTGTGTGTGGTTTTTTGTTTTTTTGAGACAGAGTCTTGCCCTGTCACCCAGGCTGGAGTGGAGCAGTGCCATCATGACTCACTGCAGCCTAGACCTCCTGGGCTCAAGCGGTCCTCCCACCTCAGCCTCCTGAATAGCTAGGACCACAGGCACATGCCATCATGCCTGGCTAGTTTTTTAAGTTTTTGTAGAGATGGGTTCTCACTATATTGCCCAGGCTGGTCTTGAACTTCTAAGCTCAAGTGAACTTCTGGGCTCTTGCATTGGCCTCCCAAAGTGGTGGGATTACAGGCATGAGCCACAGTGCCCAGCCTATTACTGTAGTTTTATTATAAATTTTGATATTAATATAAATCCTTCCATTTGGCTTTTCTTTTTCTTTTTTTTTTTTTTTTTGAGACGAAGTTTCACTCTGTCCAGGCTGCTGGAGTGCAGTGGCGCGATCTTGGCTCACTGCAAGCTCCACCTCCTGGGTTCACGCCATTCTCCAGCCTCAGCCTCCCAAGTAGCTGGGACTACAGGCGCCCACCACCACGCCTGGCTAATTTTTTTGTATTTTTAGTAGAGACGGGGTTTCACTGTGTTAACCAGGATGATCTCCATCTTCTGACCTCGTGATCCACCCACCTCGGCCTCCCAAAGTGCTGGGATTACAGGCATAAACCATAAACCACTGTGCCCGGCCTCTTTTTTTTTTTTTTTTTTTTTTTTTTTTGAGTGGGAGTCTCACTCTGCCACCCAGGCTGGAATGCAGTGGTGCAATCTCAGCTCACTGCAACCTCTGCTTCCCGGGTTCAAGTGATTCTTGTGTCTCAGCCTCCCAAGTAGCTGGGATTACAGGCACAAGCCCCCACACTCGGCTAATTTTTTGTATTTTTAGTAGAGACGGAATTTCACCATTTTGGTCAGGCTAGTCTCGAACTTCTGACCTCAGGTGATCCGCCCGCCTTGGCCTCCCAAAGTGCTGGGATTATAGGCATGAGCCACTGTGCCAGCCTGGTTTTTCTCTTTTTTTTTCTTTTTTTTTGAGACAGGGTCTTGCTCTGTCTCCCAGGCTGGAGTGCAGTGGTACCATCTCGGCTCCCCGCAACCTCTGCCTCCTGGGTTCATGTGATTCTCCTGCCTCAGCCTCCTGAGTAGCTGGGACTACAGGCGTGCGCCACCACACTTGGCTCATTTTTGTATTTGTAGTAGAGATGGGGTTTACCATGTTGGCCAGGCTGGTCTTGAACTCCTGACCTCAGGTGATCTGCCTGCCTCAGCCTCCCAAAGTGCTGGGATTACAGGTGTGAACCACTGCGCCCAGTCTGGTTTTTCTTTTTCAAGATGTTTGGCTCTTGTTGATCCTTTACATTGCCATATAAATTGTAGCCTCAGCTTGACAATTTCTATAAATAAATAAATAAATAAATAAAGCTTGCTGGTATTTCAATTTTGTCTGGGATTCATTTACTCTACAGATGAACACTATTATCTTTTATTACTATTATTATTTTTTGAGATGGAGTTTCACTCTTTGCCCAGGCTGGAGTGCAGTGGCGCTATCTCTGCTCAATGCAACCTTCATTTCCCGGGTTCAAGCTGTTCTCCTACCTCAGTCTCCCTAGGGATTATAGGTGTGTGCCACCATGCCCAGCTAATTTTTTTGTATTTTTAGTAGAGATCGGTTTCACCATGTTGCCCAGGCTGGTCTCGAACTTCTGACCTCAAGTGATCCACCCGCCTCGGGCTCCCAAAGTGCTGGGATTACAGGTGTGAGCCACTGCGCCTGGGCTGGAGCACTAATATCTTAATATTGAGTAATCTGATTCTTGAACATGGTGGATCTCGCCCCTTACTCAAGTCTTATTCTGTTTCCTTCTTTAATGTTTTGTGGTTTTCAGTGTACTGGTTTTGCACATATTTTATTAAATGTATCTCTTAGTATTTCATGATTCAGATGTGATGGGAAATTTTATATATACATATGTATATATGTGTGTGTGTGTGTGTGTATATATATATATATATATATATATATATATATTTTTTTTTTTTTTTTTTTTTTTTTTTTTTTTTTTTTTGAGATGGAGTCTCACTCTGTAGCCCAGGCTAGAGTAAAGTGGTGCGATCTTGGCTCACTGCAACCTCCGCCTCCCGGGTCCTGGTCCAAGCAATTCTCCTGCCTCAGCCTCCCGAGTAGCTGGGATTACAGGCATAAGCCATCATGCCCAGCTAATTTTTGTATTTTCAGTAGAGACAGGGTTTCACCTTGTTGGCTAGGCTGGTCTTGAACTCCTGACCTCGTGATTCACCCTCCTTGGCCTCCCAAAGTGCTGGGATTACAGGCATGAGCCACCGTGCCCGGCCGGGGAATTATATATTTTTAAATGTCAATACAAAAAGGGCATACAACAAATGAATATAGCTCAATGAATTGATACCAAGTGTACACCCAGGTTAAGAGACAGAATGTTGCCTACATGCCAGATGCCTGCTACTGTTTCTCCCATGACTATCCCCTCCCTTCTTCCAATGGAAAGGATTTTTTTTACACTTTTATAGCATTTTAGCATTTCATGATTGGTTTAGCATTTCACTTCCTAAGTATGCATAATTAAATGCCTGTTTTGGGGCACTTTGCACAAAAGGAACAAGTAATACGTATTGTTTTACGTCTGGCTCCTTTGCTCAAAATTATGTTTCTTAGATTTATCCTGTTTATTGTATATTGTTCATTCATTTTCCTTGCTTTATACTAATTCGTGTTATGAATATATGACACTTAATCTGTTCTCCTTTGCCTTCATTTTTAGGTATCACCTACATACAGTAGAATGCAAAGCTTTTAAGCACACAGCTTACTGAGACATGTCCATAATAGATATAGGCATCCAGGCATGGTGGCTCATGCTTGTAATCCCAGCACTTTGGGAGGCCGAGGCGGGTGGCTCACTTGAGGTCAGGAGTTTGAGACCAGCCTGGCCAGCATGGCAAAACCCCATCTCTACTAAAAACACAAACAATTAGCCAGGTGTGGTGTCTGGTGCCTGTAATCTGAGCTGCTCAGGAGGCTGAGGCAGGAGAATCGCTTGAAACTGGGAGGTGGAGGTTGCAGTGAGCCAAGATTATGCAATACAGTGAGACCCTGTCTTTCCAAAAAAAAAAAAAAAAAAAAGACTCTCATCTAAGATTCCAGAGGCATCAAGACAGTCAAAGGCAAGGGCTCTAGAACCAGAGAGCTGGGCTTTGATCCTGGCTCTGAACTCCTATCAGAAAAGTGACCTTGATTAAGTTATGTGATTTCTTCATGCCTCAGTTTCCCCAGTGGTAAAATGGGATAATTTTAGAGATATGTGGTGAAAACATTTATAGGTGAATTTATGCGAGGTCTGGGCTTTGCTTCAAAATAATCCCAATTTTTGGGGAGTTGGGGAAGGAGGTTGTTGGGAGCACAGATGAAACAAGATTGGCCATGAGTTGATCATTGTTGAAGCTGGGTGATGGATATACTTTTCTTTGTTTTGTTTTGAGACTGAGCCTCACTGTATCACCCAGGCTGGAGTGCAGTGGCGCGTTCTCGGTTCACTGCAACCTCTGACTCCCGGGGTCAAGCGATTCTCATGCCTCAGCCTCTCGAGTAGCTGGGATTACAGGCACGTGCCACTGCACCCAAATTATTTGTGTATTTTTAGTAGAGACGGAGTTTCATCATGTTGGCCAGGCTGGTCTCGAAATCCTGACCTCAAGTGATCTGCCTACTTTGGTCTCCCAAAGTGCTAGGATTATAGGTGTGAGCCACTGCGCCCGGCTGCATGTAGTCTTATATCTACTCTTGTGTATGTTTGATATCATCCACAAATAAAACAGTTTTTTCAAATAAAAGTAAAAAGTGAAGGACATGAATAGACGATTCTCAAAAGAAGATATACAAATGGCCAGCAAACCTATGAAAAAAATGCTCACCATCACAAATTATCAGGGAAATGCAAATGAAAAACACAATGAGATACCACTTTACTCCTGCAAGAATGATCATAATTAAAAAATCAAAACATATAGATGTTGGCCATGGATGTGGTGAAAAGGGAACTTTTACACGGCTGGCGGGAATGTAAACTAGTACAATCACTATGGAAAACACTGTGGAGATTCCTTAAAGAACTAAAAGTAGAACTATCATTTGATCTAGCAATCCCACTACTGGGTATCCACCCAAAGGAAAATAAGTCTTTGTATGAAAAAGACAGTTGCATGCACAGGTTTATAGCAGCACAATTTGCAGTTGCAAAAATATGGAACAAACCTAAATGCCCATTAACCCTCGAGTGGATAAAGAAAATGTAGTGCAGGCGCAGTGGCTCATTCAAGCCTGTAATCCCAGCACTTAGCGAGGCTGAGGTGGGTGGATCATGAGGTCAAGAGATCCAGACCATCCTGGCCAACATGGTGAAACCCTGTCTCTACTAAAAATACAAAAATTAGCTGGGTGTGGTGGCGCGTGCCTGTAGGCTGAGGGAGGAGAATCACTTGAACCTGGGAGGTGGAGGTTGCAGTGAGCTGAGATGGCGCCACTGCACTCCAGCCTGGTGACAGAGTAAGACTCCGTCTAAAAAAAAAAAAAAAGTAGTAGGTATTCACCAAGGAATACTACTCAGCCATAAAAAGGAACAAAGTAATGACATTTGCAGCAACCTGGATGGAGTTGGAGACCATTATGCTAAGTGAAGTAACTCAGAAATGGAAAACCAAATATCCTATGTTCTCACTTATAAGTGGGAGCTAAGCTATGAGGATGTAAAGGCATAAGAATGATATAGAGGACTTCGGGGACTCAGAGGGGAAGGGTGGGAGGGGGGTGAGGGATAAAAGACTACACATTGGGTATAGTGTAAACTGCTCGGGTGACGGGTGCACCAAAATCTCAGAAATCGCCACTAAAGAAATTATCCATGTAACCAAAAACCAAGTGTTTCCCCAAAAAATATTGAAATGAAAAAGAAAAAAAGGGTGAAAAGTGGAAGGGGTGCCGATTATAACTTACCTGCTTTAGCGGGTTGTTAAGGGGAGGGATTAAATAAATTAATTTAAATTAAATGGGCCGGGCGTGGTGGCTCATACCTGTAATCCCAGCACTTTGGGAGGCCAAGGCAGGTAGATCACGGGGTCAGGAGTTCAAGACCAGCCTGGCCAACATGGTGAAAATGCAAAAAATTAGTAATTTGTATTTTGTAAAAATACAAAAAATTAGCCTGGCGTGGTGGCAGGCGCCTGTAATCCCAGCTACTCGGGAGGCTGAGGCAGGAGAATCGCTTGAACCCGGGAGGCAGAGGTTGCAGTGAGCCAAGATTGTGCCACTGCACTCCAGCCTGGAAGACAGAGTGGGACTCCATCTCAAAAAAGAAAAAAAAAAAAAAAAAGCTAAATCTAAGTAAAGCACTTAGAACAATGGCTGGCCCATAGTAAATGCCGTGTTAGTGTGTTAGTTGCTGTTCTTCCACGTCAGAAGAGGCACAGACAAATTACCACCAGGTGGCGCTCAGAGTCTGCGGAGGCATCACAACAGCCCTGAATTTGAATCCTGCTCTGCCACTGCCTAGTTGAGACCTTTTACTACCTGACTAGCTGAGACATTTACGACATTTACTGGCTCTAGGACTCATTTTATTCATTTCATTACTTTTTTTTTCTTTGAGACGGAATCTCGCTCTGTTGCCCAGGCTGGAGTGCAGTGGCACAATCTCGAGTCACCTCAACCTCTGCCTCCAGGGTCCAAGCAGTTCTCCTGCCTCAGCCTCCCAGGTAACTGGGATTACAGGCGCCTGCCACCACGCCCGTATTTTTAGTAGAGATGGGGTTTCACCATGTCGGCCAGGCTGGTCTTGAGCTCCTGACCTGTGATCCACCTACCTTGGCCTCCCAAAGTGCTGGGATTACAAGCGTGAACCACCATGCCGGGGAGAAAGCTGGTTTTCTTGAGAGGTGATGAAGACTTGAGGCTACGTCAATCATACCTGAGTTAGAATTCCAGTTCCAGCACCTACAATCTATATTTCCTTTGATATATATAAATGACTTCACCAGTCTGCCCTTCAGTTTCCTCCTTTATAAAATGAGTATTTTAACAAAACCTATCTCTGTATAACATACAGCAATCATGATGGATACACCATGAGGATTCAATGTGATACTGTAGAAAATCCTTTAACGCAAGGCTTGGCACAAAAAGACACTCCTATCAACCTTAAAATGTTAAGACTAATATTAAACTAACACTTGAGGGCTTGTTACGTGTCAGGGACATAACACCATGAATTCTCATAGCAACACCATGAGACAGATAATACTGTCATGATTCCCCTGTTATGGAAGAGGGAACTGAGGCTCAAGGAGATGTTACTTGTGGAAAGTCACACATTTGGGATTTAAAATAAGGTAGCCTGTCTCCAGGACCCATCTTACTCACCATTATGCTAGACTGGACTCCCTCACCCTCGTAACCCATGTTGTGTGCCCAAAATTCAAGTTTCTTCTGGGTCCGAGGTCTTTGAACAGCCAGAGGTCTTCCATCCCTTCCATCTTCTGTACTGGAGTGGATGACTCAAGAAGTAGAAAACCAGCCAGGTGCAGTGGCTCACGCCTGTAATCCCAGCACTTTGGGAGGCCGAGGTGTGTGGATCATCTGAGGTCAGGAGTTCAAGACCAGCCTGGCCAACATGGCGAAACCCCATTTCTATGAAAAATGCAAAAATTAGCTGGGCGTGGTGGTGTGCACCTGTAATCCCAGCTACTCGGGAGGCTGAGGCAGGAGAATTACTTGTATTGGGGAGGTGGACATTGCAGTGAGCTGAGATCATGCCACTGCACTCCAGCCTGGGTGACAGAGTGAGATTCCATCTCAAAAAAAAAAAAAAAAGAAAGAAAAAGAAAGAAAAGGAAAGAAAAGAAAAAAGGGGGCCAGACTTGGTGGCTCATGCCTGTAATCCCAGCAATTTGGGAGGCCGAGGCAGGAGGATCACCTGAGGTCAGGAGTTTGAGACCAGCCTGACCAACATGGAGAAACCCCATCTCTACTAAAAATACAACCTAGCCGGGTGTGGTGGTGCATGCCTGTAATCCCAGCTACTCCGGAGGCTGAGACGAGAATTGCTTGAACCTGGGAGGTGGAGGTTGCAGTGAGCTGAGATTGTGCCATTGCACTCCAGCCTGGGCAACAAGAGTGAAATTGCATCTCAAAAAAAAAAAAAAAAAAAAAAAAAAAGAAAAGAAAAAAGGGGGGAAAAGCTGTACAAAACCTTCTGCTCTTTGACCATGAAGATCATGATAATACTGTAGGGTAGTGATGCTCTGCTGAGAACATGCCTCAGAATTGCCTGCAGGCCTTGTTAAAACACAGGTTTTGGGTTTCTGATTCAGTAGGTCTGGGGTGGGGTTTAAGAATTTGAGTTTTTAGCAAGTTTCAGATAGCTGGGTGTGTGGTGCATGCCTATAGTCCTGGCTACTTGGGAGGCTAAGGCAGTAGGATTGCTTGGGTGCAGGAGGTTGAGGCTGGAGTGAGCTGATATCGCATAACTGCATTCCAGCCTGGGTGACAGAGCAAGACCCTGTCTGTCTAAAAAAAAAAAAAAAAAAAGTTCCAAGGTGATGCTGATGCTGCAGGTCTGGAGGCTGCACTTTGAGAACCACTGAACTATAGCAGAGCAACGAGTTTGAAGGAATCTGGGTCCATGATTGACCACAAGGAGGGGAACCACCTTGCAGTGCTGGACTAACTGTCTACTTCAAGAGGGACACAAAAGAAAGAAAGAAACTTGTATTTTATTTGAATGATTGCATTTTGGGATCTGTTGGTTACAACAACCTGGTCTTTACCTTAATTAATATGGACATTTTTCAGGCTGTTTTCCTGTAGATGTCCTGATAGATATCCTTGTTCCCATGAGCCATTGGTAACTTAGCCAACATCTGTCAGCAGATCCAGTTCTGTGGATTCCCCTCAAGGTCCAGAGATTCCCTCTGTCCCTCCCTCCCTCCCTCCCTCCCTTCCTTCCTTCCTTCTTTCCTTCCTTTTCCTTTCTTTCTTTTTTCTTTGACAGGGTCTCGCTCTGTCAATCAGGCTGGAGTGCAGTGGTGCAATCACAGCTCACTACAGCTTCGAACTCCTGGGCTCAAGCGATCCTCCTGCCTTAGTCTCCTGAGTAGCCGGGGCTACAGGCTCATGCTACCACCCCTAGCTAATTTTCTTATTTTTTGTAGAGACGTGGTCTCGCTATGTCACCCAGGCTGGGATTACAGGCATTAGCCACCGTGTCTGGTTTCAGAGTGATTTTTCTACAGCACAGATTTGATTGTGACTTCCCCTACTTTAAATCTCCTGTGGTTCCAAAGGCCCTAGGAAAAAGTCAAAACTCCTTGGTGGGACATTCAGAGATATTTCTAAGAATCCAAAGGACCTCTCATGGTCCATGTCCCAAAATTTTCCCCGATGGACCCTCTGGGCTAAACTTTTTCTCTTGTTACCTCTAGCCAAACACAACACAGTTCCAAGCCTCCTGCCCTTTCCTCTTGCTGTTCCTTCTCCCTGAGGTGCCTTTCATGGCTCACGCTGTGGCCAGGATCAGCGTGGAGTCAGTAGCTTGGATGGGTGGTCCAGGTCCAGTGCTCACTGAGTGACCAGGAATCTGGTCTCAGAATGTGACCGAAGTCTGGGTCAGCGTTCAGGCGGAAGCAAGGCTTGGGGTTCAGGTTGTCCATTTTTCATTTTCTCAGAATATTTACTGACCTGTTGTCAGCTGATATTTTGAGATATCCAAGCCCTGGGCCATTCTGGCACCAGATGGAGTCCAAGGGCTAGGCTAGGATGGCTCCTGGGTGTCATAGTCAAGGAAGGGTTAACTATTGTATTAAAGAACCCAAAACCTCAGTGGGGTTCACAGTCATGGGGCTCCATATCAGATCTGAGCATCTGAGTCCCCCGCCTGCCTCTGGAGCCCCAGGATCCCCTCCTTGCTCAGCTATCCCTGTGCCTCCCCCCGACATCCCAGTGCTGCATTTGGTTTATTAGAAGGGTGGGGAGCAGTAAATGTATTTGACCAACTCTTGTGTACCAGGTCTAGGACACACATGTCCTCACTAAGTCTTCAAAACAACCCTGTGGGTGGGGCACGGTGGCTCACACTTGTAATCCCAGCACTTTGGGAGGCCGAGGCAGGCAGATCACGTGAGGTCAGGAGTTCCAGACCAGCCTGGCCAACATGGCGAAACCCCATCTCTACTAAAAATACAAAAATTAGCCAGGTGTCGCGCATGCCTGTAATCCTAGCTACTCAGGAGGCTGAGGCAGGAGAACCACTGGAACCCAGAAGGTGGAGGTTGCAGTGAGCCGAGATGGCTCCATTGCACTCCAGCCTGGGTGATAGAGTGAGATTCTGTCTCAAAGAAAGTTCAGAAGAATTCCTTGGGAGATTAAGGGCCCACACCTGCTTTGTCCACAGATTTTATGTCCTTCTCAAGAAGGGTGTGAGAGAGATACACAGAGAAATGTCTACAGATACAGGGCTGTTTTTTTTCTTGCTCTGTTGCCCAGGCTGGAGTGCGATGGCCTGATCTTGGCTCACTGCAACCTCCACCTCCCAAACTCAAGCGATTCTCCTGCCTCAGCCTCCTGAGTAGCTGGGATTACAGGCACACACCATCATGCCCAGCTAATTTTTGTATTTTTAGTAGAGACAGGGTTTCACCATGTTGGCCAGGCTGGTCTCAAATACCTGACCTCGTGATCCGCCCGCCTCAGCCTTCCAAAGTGCTGGGATTACAGGCATGAGCCACCACCCTTGGCTCAGATACAGGGCTCTGATGCAAGAGCTCTACTTCTTCCCCATTGCCATCCCAGTTCCCTTGGCCATGGTTTGCTGTGGATCTTGCATGAGGTCTTTCCTTCTGTGGTCCACACTTCTTTCATCTTCAAGTGTCAGGGTAGGTGAGGTGGTCCCTTCCACTGCTCTGAGGTGGACTTTGGAGAGAGACAACAGTCTTGGATTCAAGCCACACCTTGGGCATTCTACTTGCTGGTGACTTTGGGAAAATGGCTTAGCATCTCTGAGCCTCGGTTTCTTCATCTGCGAAATGGGGGCCAAGCTGTACAATGCCTGTCAAATATTTAGGTAGTTCCGGCTCACAGCAGGCTCTGTAATGAGAGCTTTTTTTTTTGTTTGAGATGGAGTCTCACTCTGTTGCCCAGGCTGGAGTGCAGTGGCACAATCTCGGCTCACTGCAACCCCCACCTCCTGGGTTCAAGTGATTCTCGTCCCTTAGCTTCTCGAGTAGCTGGGATTATAGGCACACGCCACCACACCTGGCTAATTTTTGCATTTTTAGTAAAGACCGTTCTTACCATGTTGGCCAGGCTGATCTCGAACTCCTGACCTCAAGTGATCTGCCTGCCTCAGCCTCCCAAAGTGCTGGGATTACAGGTGTGAGCCACCATGCCTGGCCTGTAATGAGAGCATTCTTGCTGTGACTGTTGTTGAAAGTGCAAGGAAAGCTATTGCTTAAGGGTTTTGGAGATGGGCAGACCTAGGGTTGAATCCAAATCTGTCACTTTTTTTTTTTTTTTGAGACAGAGTCTTGCTCTGTCACCCAGGCTGGAGTACAGTGGCATGATCTCGGCTCACTGCCACCTCTGTCTCCCAGGTTTCAGCGATTCTCCCACCTCAGCCTCCTGAGTAGCTGAGACTACAGGCGTGCGCCACCATGCCTGGCTAATTTTTGTATTTTTAGTAGAGACGGGGTTTCACCATGTTGGCCAGGCTGGTCTTGAACTCCTGGCCTCAAGTGATCTGCCCGCCTCGGCTTCCCAAAGTGCTGGGATTACAGGCATGAGCACTGTGCTTGGCCCAAATCTGTCACTTTCTAACCCTGGAGATCCCAGAGACCATTCTCCCTCTGAGCTATTCCTTATTTAGAGAATGGGGATCTCTGACTTGGAAGGCAATGGGAGGGTTAAATAAGGTCATAAATGTAAATTGCACAGTGCAATGCTCAGATCTAGATGGGCTCTGTAAATGTTAACCATTATTATTCTATAAGTTTATGATCCCACAGCGCTAAGAGTCTCTATTTTTAAGTTTCAAATATTCGTTGTAAGGTTCCTGGATTCAGTCTGTAATGGGGGTGCCTCTTGCAGTTTCCACCTTTCCAGGGGCAGGGACTGTTCTGGATGACATCCCCACGGACAGGGATGCTGTGGCCCCCAACATGCATGCCTGGAGCAGTTGGCAAGACCACAGCAGCCCCCAGCCCTGTGTGTGTTTGGAAATTTTCCATCTGAGGCCAGGAGTGTTTGGCTCATGCCTGTAATCCCAGCACTTTGGGAGGCTGAGGCAGGCTGATCACTTGAGGTCAGGAGTTTGAGACCAGCCTAGCCAAGATGGTGAAACCCCATCTCTACTAAGAAAATTTCCATCTGTTCCATTGTTCCAGGTTCATGCTCAACACATTTCTTTCCCCAACTGGCCATAAGCAACCCATCCCTGAGTCATTGATTTTGCCTCCTAAATGTCTTTGGAACATGTCCATTTCTCTACATCTCCATCATTGTTATACTTTGAATTTTGTGCTCCCAAAAGATATTGAAATCTTCAACCCCAGGACCTGTGAATGTGATATTATTTGGGGAAAGGGTCTTTGCAGATGATCAAGCTAAGATGAGGTCATTAGCTGGGCTTGAATCCAATATGAGTGTCTTTTTGTTTGTTTAAGAGTTGGAGTCTTGGCCAGGTGTGGTGGTTCATGCCTGTAATCCCAGCACTTTGGGAGGCCGAGGCGGGTGGATTGCTTGAGGTCAGGAGTTCGAGACCAGCCTGGCCAACATGGTGAAACCCCGTCTCTACTAAAAATACAAAAATTAGCTAGGCATGGTGGCATGCGCCTGTAATCCCAGCTACTCAGGAGGCTGAGACACCTTCATGGTCATTGAAAGGTTCACTGTTGTATTAAAGAACCCAAAATCTCAGTGGGGTTCAGTCATGGGGCTCCATACCAGATCTGAGCATCTGAGTCTCTGCCCATCCCTGGAGCCCCAGGATCCCCTCCCTGCTTAGCTATCCCAGTGCCTCCCCCTACTATCCCACAGCTGCATTTGGTTTATTAGAAGGGTGGGGAGCAGTAAATGTATTTGACCAACTCTTGTGTGCCAAGTCTAGTACACACATGTCCTCACTGAGTCTTCAAAACAACATCATGGGCCATGGACGGTGGCTCACACCTGTAATCCCAGCACTTTGGGAGACCGAGGTGGGAAGATCAGGACCAGCCTGGCCGACATGAGGGCAGGAGTTCAGGACCAGCCTGGCCGAAATGGCTTTTTAAAAGCCCAAGGGAATAGGCTGGGTGGGTAGCTCACGCCTGTAATCCCAGCACTCTGGGAGGCCGAGAAGGATGGATCACTTGAGGTCAGGAGTTTGAGACCAGCCTGGCCAACATGGTGAAACCCCGTCTCTACTAAAAATACAAAAATTAGACAGGCGTGGTGGTGGGTGCCTGTTATCCCAGCTACTAGGGAGGCTGAGGCAGGAGAATTACTTGTATTGGGGAGGTGGAGGTTGCAGTGAGCCGAGATCATGCCATCTCAAAAAAAAAAAAAAATGCTGAAGGGAAGGCAGGTCTACTTTCCTGCTCCAGGGGTAACTGATTGTGTTTGGGTCTGCACAGCGCACACCTGCCGATTCTGGCTGATCTCGGAATACGCTCATGCATCGGGGCCCCACACAGGATCTCCAGACTCAGTGGGCACCTTTGGCCAGACAGTGGCTGTGCAGGTGGGTGTCGAGGGTGAGGGTGCGCGGCACCACGCTGATGAAGCGCTGGATCTCCAGCAGCACTGCGTTGGTGTAGGGCCATTGCACGTGGTCGTCCGGGCTTGGGACAGGCCTCTGCCCTACCACAGGGTCCAGCTCCTGCCCCTTGGCTGGGGCAGAGGGAGGCTGTGCACTTCCGGGACCCTCCAGCCATCTCCAAACCGCAGCCTCCCATTCTGGGTCTCTCTGGCTCGCAGACCTGCCACCTCTGGGTACTTAAGCAGAATGAGGAGCCCATATGGAGCACAGGGTGGTGCTCGTGGTTTCTGTGCCACCAAAAAAAAAAAAAAAAAAAAGTTGCATCGTCATTACCAACGTCTCCTCCTGGAAATGGCTCTCTGGGTCTTGCTGTTTCTGTGGGCAGAGAAGATGGGCTGCCGCGCGCCAGGCACCTGTTGGTGGGCGGCATGGATAGAGTTTAGGGAGCTGGGACCCATGCCTTACCCATCTGGCCAAGCAATCGATGAAATCGCGGGGCTCCGCCGGCTGCCTCATGTGCCAGTGTTGTTGGATTTGCTCAGAGATGAAGACCTGCAGCTCTGAAAAGTTTTGGAAGATTTGGTGGTGCGGGCCCGGGAGCCAGTCCATGAGAGACAGGCAAATGTACATCTGGAGAGACAGGGTCTCAACAAGGGCCCTGGACATGCCCACTAGGCCTTAGTTTCCCTACAGGGACTTTGATATTGGAGGTTCTAGAACTCTTCCAAGAATCTAACTGTCCCATTGTAGGTACGTCTGTGTACTCGGGATTTGGCATAAGGCTGGACGCACAAGGGAGAGATTGTGGCCGGCCCTCTCACCTCGCCCCATTTGGAACTCATGATGCGGAAGTTGTCACTTAGGAGGTTCAGGACCTCAGGAACTCCGGGTCCCCGTAGCCATAGCGGTTCCCGAAGACAAGAACAGGTAACACTGGATACAGCATTACCCAGTAGCCGCACGGGGTCAAACGGGGCTCCTGGGGGTAGGAACAGGACGGTGGTCATAACGCGTGGTCCTGCCCCCAGCCAGCCCCATGGGCTTACTGGCTTTCTTCCACCCAAATACCTTCCAGTGGCCCCGTCTTGGCAGTGCAAGGGACTCTCCCACACCAGGCCCTTCCGCTCTCCCGGCCAGGCCGAAGCAATGGTGGCTTGAAATTCGTCTAGCAGACAAGCCGCCTCATCCAGGACACGCGCCTCGATGGTCCGCGTATCCAACCCGAACTTCTTCGGCGCTCCAAGTGCAAAATTGCGCAGTGTCCACCAGCACGGCCGGTTAGAAAACAAGATTCCTGTGGTGGGGACGGGAAAGGAGGCGGGCCCGGGAACCGGCCACGCCCCATCCAGGAAGCGCCGGGTCACTGGCTACATCCCTTTCGGGGCCTCCGACTCCTGCGGCCGGCTTCGTTCGTTTTGCTGCCTTACCAGACCTCCAAGTGCCCTATCCACACATTGGCCCCGCCTTTGCTGGGCTCCATCCCTGACCTAGGCTGGCTCTGGGACTTTGAATCTTAGGCTCTTTTCTCCTGTTGGCTGCAGGATGAACCTCCATTCTAACCTTACGCTTTAGCGCCGCCCCGCCCTCTCTCGGCCGTTTGCACCTCATTAGCTGGAGTCTCTATTAGGCCCCGCCCCCATTTGCCCGCCTCTACCATTTACCCGCCCAGCCTGGAGCGTCCGGACCGGCAAGTCCAGCGCCGGGGCCTCACTGTTTCCGCGTGTGAAGCGTTCGAAGACTGCCATGGACCCGCGGCCGGAGACCGCATCCGCCTGTAGCACTAACGCGTCCCGCAGCGCTGCGTAGCCGCACAGCACCACCGCAGGGCGCGGGCCCAGCCGCACTGTGAACACCCGGCCCCAGCGGCCGGAGAGCTACGGGTAGCCGGTGCTCAGCGGGTGCCCATAGGGTTCCTCATCGGAGCCATTGCCCCCAGCTCCCTCTTCCTTCAGACCCAGGAGTCCTCGTCTCAGACCCTCATTCCTCAGGTCCAGGAATTCAGATCCCCAGCTCCTTCCTCCCTGAGATGCGGGAGTCCAGGCCCCCACTTCCTTCTTCCCTTGGGACCTAGAAGTCCAGATTCCCAACCTCCTGTACCCTCAGAGTGTCTCCTGGGCCCTCAGTACCTCCCCACCCTGAACCAGGAGAACAGACCCCCTGCTCCCCTCTTCCCACAACCTGATTTCCTGCTCTGGGCTCCTTCCTTACGACCCAGTGTCCCGGCCCCAGGCTCTCCACTCCCTATTCTCCTTTCCTAGTACTCAGCAGTCCGGAGCACTCATCCTTCCTGTCCTTCCTCAAGATCATAGAGTACAAGCCCTCAGCTGTCTTCGTTCAGGAGGAGTTCTAGTCCCCAGCCCCACCTCCACGAATCCAGAATTCCGTTCCCCCATTCCTGTCGGGAATGGAGCGCGCGGTCCAGGCCTCCGGACTGCAGCTGCAAGTTCCCCAGCAATGGGAGCAGCCTGGGCCGGGGAGGTAGGGACCCCCGCATCTGAGCGCGGCACCCACCCTACCCCCACCACGCCGGCACCAGCACCAGAAGCCACAACAGCAGCGCAGCGATACCCGCGATCATCATGCCTGCAATTCTCCACGCCTGCACCTCTATTTGATTTCCAAGGGGTCTTGGGTGGAGCAGGGGCAGAGACCCGATGTGGGAGGAGTGGGCATCTCAGGGCTGCTCATTCCATGGATTCCCCAGCCCGACGTCTCCAGCCCACCCCCAGCCCTGGTGGAACTGTGCCCTGGCTCCTCCTGGCTTTTTTTTTTGTGCCTGCCTCAGCCTGCCCCACTTAACATCTTTCGTACACCAGCATTTTCATGTCAACACACCTGGCCAACAGGTGCACCCTCCTGAGCCCCTAGCACCTTTGAGTCCAATTTATTTGGCCTGTAGGTGTGTATTCCTCAATCTCCGGGCCATCTCTGGGCCCCCTGAACGCTGTACCCTGTACCTCTGATTCCTAAATACACACCGACTCTCAAATACACTTCTTCTTCTTCTTCTTCCTTCTTCTTCTCCTTCTTCTCCTTCTTTTTTTTTTCAGAGTTTCGCTCTTGTCGCCCAGGCTGGAGTGCAGTGGTGCGATCTCGGCTCACTGCAACCTCCGCCTACCAGGTTCAAGATTCTCCTGCCTCAGCCTCCCAAGTGGCTGCGATTACAGGCGTGCACCACCAGGCCCTGCTAATTTTTGTATTTTTAGTAGAGACGGAGTTTCACCATGTTGGCCAGGCAGATTTTGAACTCATGACTTCAGGTGATCCGCCTGCCTCGGCCTCCCAAAGTGCTGGGATTACAGGTGTGAGCCACTGCTCCTGGCTCAAATACACTTCTAAAGACACCCCTGGCACTCCTGTGCTCTGTGCCTGTGATTCCTAGGAGCTCACACCTGAGCCCTTGTCACTTCCATTGCTCTTGGGACCCTGTGTGCTACGCTTGTTCCCCAGATCTGCCTTCAATTTCCCTGGCTTCTGGGTGTCCATCAGCCTGGCACTTCTGTGCCTCTATTTCTTCAGGGTGTCTTTCTGCATGTTGACCCCCTTGTACTTCCATATTATGTCCTGCCCTGAATCTACCATCTCTATTCCCAAGGCATTGGCTCCCAGATGCCCCCAAATGTTCTGTGCCCATGCTGCTGAACCCCCTGGTATCCAGTCCCCCAAGTCCTTGTCTGAGGCCAGGCCATGATGGCAGACAAACTTATCCCTTATTCTCTCATCTATCCCCCACTACCCCCAATCCTAGGGCATGGGCTAGAGGGGGCAGACTCAGGCCTGGATGGGCCAGGGTTGCGGTGGTGGCAGCAGTGAGTGAGGTTGGGGCTGTATTTGGAACAGACTGTTCAGGAATGTGGTCCACCCTCCTGCCTGCCCCTGCTTGGCCAAATCCAGCCTTCCTCCAAGTGCCTGGCACAGGGCCCAGACCTGGCGAGCCAGTGGGCGGGGGGGGGGGGACTGTGCAGAGCCTAGGACTGGCATTGTCTCTGGGAGGGTCTCTCTGTGTCTCTTTGTTTCATCTCTCAGTCTCACTTGCTCTCTCTCTCTTTTCTTTCTTTTCCTTCCTTCTTTTCTTTTCTTTCTTTTTTTGAGACAGAGTCTGGCTTCTGTCCCCCAGGCTGGAGTGCAGTGGTATGATCATGGCTCACTGCAGCCTCAACCTGGGATCAAACAATCCTCCCACCTCAGCCTCCCGAGTAGCTGGGACCACAGGTACACACCACCACATCCTGCCAATTTTTGTATTTTTTGAAGAGACAGGGTCTCACTGTGTTTCCCAGGCTGGTCTCCAACTCCTGGGCTCAAGCAATCTTTCTGCCTTGGTCTCCCAAAGTGCTGGGAGTATAGGCATGAACCAGCGTGCCCAGCCTCCCTCACGCTCAGTCTCTATGTTTCTGTGTTCATCTCTCTCTCTCTCCTCTTTCCATCTTTTCCCATCTCTCTCTCCTTTCTCTCAGTCTCTGCCTCTGTTTGTGTCTGTTTTCTGTCTCTCTTTTCAGTATGTCTGTGTCTTCCTCTCCCTGTATCTCCCCCAGTCTGTGCTTCCCTTTGTCTCAGCCTGGCACTTCTGTGCCTCTCCTTATTTCTTCAGGGTGCCTTTCTGCATGTTGACCCCCTTGTACCTCCATATTCTGTCCTGCCCTGTCCTGGGTCTTCCTACCTGTCAGCCTTTCTGGAACCTGGTGACTGACATGGGTTGTCTGGCAGGGCCCCTGCTCAGAGCTGCTGACTCCACTGACAGCGGGAGTGTGGTGGGGCACAGTAAGCTGCATCCTCCCCCAGCCCTACCCCACCCTCTGTGACAGGCTTTAATGGATCCTCTTTATTATGGCCTCTGGTTTCTCCCCAGCTCCTGACTCTTCCTCCATTTTGCTCGGGTGGGCTGTCCTCTGGAATGTCAGCTCTTCCAGAGCAAGGATTTTGTCTTGTTTGCTTCTGTATCCCAGCACTTAAAATAGCGCTCAGCACAGCAGTAGGCACTTAGTAAATGTTTGTTGAATGAATGCCCAATTTTTCTTCCTCCCTACCTCTCTTTGTTTTTTTATAGAGATGGGGTCTTGTTAAGTTGGCCAGGTTGGTCTTCAACTCTTGGTCTCAAGCAATCCTCCTGCCTCAGCCTCCTAAAGTGCTAGGATCACAGTCGTGAGCCACCGTGCCCAGCCTCTTTCTTCCCTCCCCTCCCCTCTTTTCCCTTTCTTCTTCTCTCTTCTCTTCCCTTCCCTTCCATCTGTCTTGTTCTGTTGCCCAGGCTGGAGTGCAGTGGCACCATCACAGCTCACTGCAGCCATGACTGCCTGGGCTCAAGTGATCCTCCCACCTGAGCCTCCCAAGTAGCTGGGACTAGAGGTGCGTGCCACCATGCCTAGCTAATTTTTAAAATATTTATAGAGACCAGGTCTCGTTATGTTGCCCAGGCTGGTCTCAAACTCCTGGGCTCAAGTGATCCTCCCGCCTTGGTGTTTCTATCTCTTTGTAATTAGACTGGATTTCTCTGTTTCTCTCTTTCTTTTCCTCCCTTTTTCTTTTTCTCTCAGGTCTCTCTATCTCTCTTCATTTCTGTTCTCTTTATTTATCTTTGTCTTTCCTCTCTCTGGACATCGCTGTCTTTCCCTTTTCTCAGTGGCTGTCTTTCTCCTCCCGGTCTCTGTTTTCCAGGATTTCTCTGCCATCCCTGCGTTATCTGTCTCTTCCTTTTCCTCTCCATCTCTTTTCAGTGTCTCCAGGTGTTTTTCTGCATCATCTCTCTCTGCCTGTCTTTCTCAGGACCTCTGAGTCTCTCTGTGTCTCCCTCTCTCCCCCAACCTCTGTGTCCCTGGCTGGGCCCTGGGGCCGACTCTGGTCAGCCTGTGATGGGAACAGTGAGGGGATTAAAGAGCTGACACCTTAATCCCCATGTGGGGACTGCCTATAAGCCTCACTCCAGTAAGCCCCATGCTCAGCAGAGCATGTCCCAGTTTCTGCATCGCCTTGGGGAGACCCCGTTTAGGGTAGAGCCTCTCAGGCCACCTCCACTGATGGCTGAGGGGCCAGTTCCACTCTGCTTGAATCTGGCTTGATGTGCTTTGGGACGCCTGCCCCGCAAAAACAGCCACTGTCAGCAGGATGTTAGGGTATTAGGTCGGGTCCCAGGTTGGGAGGGTACATGCCTGGGGTTGCTATCGTCACTCCAAACGGGAGAATTTCAGAGAATTTCAGTGAGAGGGTGGGAGGGCCTAGTGCAGTGGTTCATGCCTGTAATCCCAGCACTTTGGGAGGCTGAGGTGGGCAGATCACTTGAGGCCAGTAGTTCGAGACGAGCCTGGCCAACATGGTGAAACCCCATCTCTACTAAAAATACAAAAATTAGCTGGGCATAGTGGTACGTGCCTGTAATCCCAGCTACTCGAGAGGCTGAGGCATGAGAATCACTTGAGCCCTGGAGGTGGAGGTTGCAGTGAGCTGAGATCATGCCACTGCACTCCAGCCTGGGCAACAGAGCAAGATTCTGTCCAAAAAAAAAAAAAAGAAAAGAAAAAAGAAAAAAAAGAAAAGAGGGGCTGGGGATTGAGGGAGGGAGCCTCAGTCCTCGGAACTCCCACTGTCATTGCTCATCTGTCTTTCTCTGGTCATTTCTCTGTTTCTTTCCATTCTCTCTCTCGATTCCCCCTGCCTCCCATATCTTAGTGTCTGTGTTTCTCTGCTCTTCTCTGTATTTAAGGGTGTCTGCCTCTTTCTTTCTGGGTCTCTGACTTGTGAATTAAAAGGTAGTAGTTAGAAGTGCAGTGTCTGAGTAGGGCATGGTGGTGTGCACGGGTTGTCCAGAACTTTGGGAGGCTGAGGCTAGAGGATCACTTGAGGCCAGGAGTTCGAGACGAGCCTGGGCAACATAGTGAGACTGCCTCTACAAAAATTAAAAATAAAAAAATTAGCAGCTGGGTGCAGTGGCTTACGCCCATAATCCCAGCACTTTGGGAAGCTGAGGCGGGTGGATCTCCTGAGCCCAAGAGTTCGAGACCAGCCTGGCCAACATGGTGAAACCCTGTCTCTACTAAAAATACAAAAAAAAAAAAAAAAAAAAAAGGTAGCTGGGTGTGGTGGCGGGCACCTGTAATCCCAGCTGCTCAGGAGGCTGAGGCACAAAAATTGCCTGAACCTAGGAGGTGGAGGTTGCAGTGAGCTGAGATTGAGCCACTGCACTCCAGCCTGGGTGACAGAGCAAGACTCTGTCTCAAAAAATAACTCAAAAAATAAAAATAAAAACAAATTAACCAGGTGTGGTTGTGGTGCAGCCTGTAGTCCCAACTACTCAGAAAGCTAAAGTGGAAGGATCTCTTCAGCCTGGGAGGTTGAAATTGCAGTGAGCTGTGATTATGCCATTGCATCCCAGCCTGAGAGACAGAGTGACAGCTTCTCTTGGAAGAAAAAAAAAAAAAAAAAAGAAAGAAGAAGAAAAAAGAAAAGAAGTGCAGTGTCTGTAGCCTCAGAGTCTGAATTTAGATCCCAGCTCTGCCTGTTTCTGTGTGACCTTGGGCAACTCACTTCACCTCTCTGAGCCTCAGTTTGCTCATCTGTAAAAACATGATAATAATACTGCTTTGTGGCCAGGTGTGGTGGCTCATGCCTGTAATCCCAGTGCTTTTTGGGTGGGAGGATCGCCTTAGTTCGGGAGTTCAAGACCAGCCTAGGCAACACTGCAAGACTCTGTCTCTACTAAAGATTAAAAAAAAAAAAAAAATTAGCCAGGCACGGTGATTGTAGTCCCAGCTATTTGGTGGTCTGAAACAGAAGCAGGAGGATCAGCTGAACCCAGAAGTTCAAGGTTGCAGTGAGCCTTGAATTGTGCCATTGCACTCCAGCCTAGGCAACAGAGGGAGACCCTGCCTATAAAAGAAACAAACAGGCCAGGCACAGTGGCTCACACCTGTAATCCCAGCACTTTGGGATGCCGAGGTGGGCGGATCACGAGGTCAGGAGATTGAGACCATCCTATCTAACACAGTAAAACCCTGTCTCTACTAAAAATACAAAAAATTAATCGGGAGTGGTGGCACATGCCCGTAGTTCCAGCTACTCAGGAGGCTGAGGCAGGAGAATCACTTGAACCAGGGAGGCAGAGGTTTCAGTGAGCCAAGATCGCGCCACCGCACTCCAGCCTGGGCAACAGAGCGAGTCTCTGTCTCGAAAAAAGAAAGAAAGAAAGAAAGAAAAAAAACCTCCCAAATCAAACCAAAGCAAAAAACATGGCTTTGCCTCATAGGGAGACTTAATGAGGCATTCAGAACAGCGTGCAAATAGGGAGTGTCATTTAGTGTCAGTGCTTGTTCCTTAGCCTCACTTTGCCCTGCTTCCATCTCTCTGCAGTGCCCTTCATCTCTTGCATATTCTCTCTGATATCTCGCTGCTGTCTCCTTCTTCCTTCTCCTCCTCTTCTTCTTCTTCTTCCTCTCCTCTCCCTCCTCCCCCTCCTCCCTCTCCCTCTCCCTCTCCTTCTTCTTTTTTCTTTCTTCTTCTGACAGGGTCTCACTCCCGTCTCCCAGGCGGGAATGCAGTGGCGCAATGATACCCCATTGCAGCCTCGACCTCCCAGGATCAAGCAATCCTCCTGCCCCACTTTTTGACTTTTTGTAGAGTCAGGCCTCACTCTGTTGCCAGGCCGGTCTCAAACTCCTGGGTTCAAGCGATCCTCCCGCCTCAGCCTCCCAAAGTGCTGGGATTACAGGTGTGAGCCACCTCACCTGGTCCTGCTGCCTTTTTCTCTGTCTTGGTTTCTCTGCCTCTCTGGCTTCAGGTCCTCGCAGCCTTTACCTTCAAGCCTGTCTCCAGGATACAATTTGTCCCACCCTAGCCACCCTAAAGGTGAGGGCAAAACTAGCCAGTGTCTCCATCTCTGCAGCCAGCTCCCTTCTCCCCATCCTAAATGACTCTCATTCTCACTTTAATTCAGCCAAGACTGGTTTGAATCTATTACAATGTACTAAGAAATGATACAAAAAGCCTAGAAAAGGGCGTGCCATAGAACAAGCTCTGTGGGTACAAAAAGACATGCCACATCTGCCTCTGCCCTGCAGACGGGGCACAGATTGGAGGGATGGGGGAAGGGCACGCGGCAGGCACAGCATGCAGGGAAGACAGCGTGACTGCCAGAGGGATGAGGGCAGACTGTGGACCAAGAAGGGGACGTAGCAACCCGCATGGGCGGGCCTCATCGCTCACAGGCGAATCTGGAAGGGCCGGGGCGTTAGCGCGGGCGCAGGCACAGCTGGAAAGGCCGCGGCAAATTGCCAAGACCTGAGCTGAGTGGGGTCAGGTCGATGTCCTCGGGCGCACCCAGCGGCTGCAGCGAAAAGCTCTGCAGGATGGCGGTGAGGTACAGAAAGAGCTCCATGCGCGCCAGCGACTCTCCCAGGCACAGACGGCGCCCTGCAGGGGTGGCAGGATGGGGAGCGGCGGTGAGATAAGATGAGGTTAGAGGCTGCAACCCCACATTCCCAGAGGAAAACATAAGAGGAAAGGAAGACAGCAGCTGGGGACGTCACAGATTCACCCATGTAAAGAACTGGGAAAGATGCTTTAAACTGTGGAGTGGAATGACCTGGGCTGCTTGGGTTCGAATCCTGGCCCTGTCACTACTAGTTTTGTGATCCTGGACAAACCACACGTTCTGGATATTTAAAATGGGGATATGAAGGCTGGGCGTGCTGGCTTAGGCCTGTAATCCCAGCATTTTCGGAGGCCGAGGGAAGAGGATCCCTTGAGCCCAGGAGTTTGAGAGCAGCCTGGGCAACACAGCAAGATCCCATCTCTACAAAAAAAATTTTAAAAATGTGCAAGGTGGCACATGCCTGCAGTCCCAGCTGCTTGGGAGGCTGAGGCGAGGGGATCACTTGAGCCCAGGAGATCAAGGCTGCAGTGAGCCATGATCGTGCCACTGCCCTCTAGCCTGGGTGACAGCAAGACCCTGTCTCAGAAAGAAAAATAAAAGGAGGGATAGTAATAGTGCCTCATGAGGCTGCTGTGAATGGTAAACACAGGGAAAGCAGTGAGGCTGTAAGTAGCTTACCATGGGCCATGCATTACTCTGAGCATTACATCGCAATTAATTCTAACAACTCCAAGAGGCAGGCCTTAGTATTATCTCCATTTTATAGATGTGGACATTGAGGCACAGAGAAGTGGAGTAACATACCCAAGGCAACACAGCTAGGGGGTGACAGATGGGATGCAAACCCTGCTGGAATCTGGGCCACACATTCCCAGAGGAAAACATAAGCTCTTAGCTGGGCTCTTGTAGAGGCAGCACTTGACGCACAGTAGGCAATATGGTAAGTTACCTATTATTATGCCAGTTTTTTGTTTTTTCTTTTCCTGCCACTGAGTAAAGAGGGAGTTTTTCAGCAGGGTAAAGAGGAAAGCCAAAAAACAAACAAACAAAACAAAAACCCCTAGAACCACCTCAACTGCGCCACCCAGTGGAGAGGTAAACAATGACCACTCCCAAGTTCAATTTTTTTTTCTTTTAAAATTTTTATATATTTTTTATTTTTGGCTAGTCAGTATTTTTTATTTTAGAGAAAGGATCTCGCTCTGTTGCCCAGACTGGAGTGCAGTGGCATGATCATACTCACTGTAACCTCAAACTCCTGAGCTCAAGTGATCATCCCACCTCAGCCTCCCAAGTAGCTGGGACCACAGATGCACACCACACCACATCTAGGTAATTTTAACATTTTCAGTAGAGAAAGGGTCTTGCCATGTTGTCCAGGCTGGTCTTGAACTCCTGGCCTCAAGCGATCCTCCCGCCTCAGCCTCCCAAAGTGATGGGATTACAGGTGTGAGCCAATGTGCCTGGCCCAAGTTAAATAATAATTATTATAATTATTATTTATTCATTTTTTGAGATGGAGTTTTGTTCTTGTTGCCCAGGCTGGAGTGCAATGACATGATCTTGGCTCACTGCAACCTCCGCCTCCCGGGTTCAAGTGATTCTCCTGCCTCAGCCTCCAGAGTAGCTGGGATTACAAACATGTGCCACCATTCCTGGCTAATTTTGTATTTTTAGTAGAGACAGGGTTTCACCATGTTGGTCAGGCTAATCTTGAACTCCTGACTTCAGGTAATCTGCCCGCCTAGATCTCCCAAAGTGCTGGGATTACAGGTGTGAGCAACTGCCCCTGGCTGTTAAATTATTATCATTATTTTTTTTGAGACAGAGTCTCTCTCTGTACAATGGTGCAATCTCGGCTCACTGCAACCTCCGCCTCCTGGGTTCAAGTGATTTTCCTGTCTCAGCCTCCAGAGTAGCGGGGACTACATGCGCCCACCACCACACCCAGCTAATTTTTGTATTTTAAGTAGAGACAGGGTTTCACCATATTGGTCAGGCTGGTCTCGAACTCCTGACCTCAGGCGATCCACCCACCTCAGCCTCCCAAAGTGCTGGGATTACAGGTGTGAGTCACCATGCCCAGTCCCAAGTTAAATTATTAATCAACCTCCCCACCTTGCTTCACGAGGATTTTAGTCACTACTTGCCTATAGGAGCAGAGTTGAGAGGAGGAATGAATGTCTCTGTGCATCCAAAGCTGAGAATGGGTGGAAGGAAGGAGTGAGAGGATTTGGCAAGTGGAATTAGGGTGAGGAATGTAGGTAGAAATTGGGCCAGAAAGACTCTGATTCCTGCCCTCACCAGCTGAGAAGGGCATGAAGGCTGGACTCTTCTTGAAGGACTGATTGGCATCCAAAAAATGCTCGGGGTTGAACTCCTGGGGCGTCAGGAACTGGCTGGGGTCGTAGTGGACGGTGTTAAGGAGGGTGATGACATCGGTGCCCTGTGTGGGTGAGGAGGTGGACTTAGCAGTGTAGGAGGGCTGGGAGGCTCCCAAACTCCTTTCCATTGTATTGGGCTGGGTGTCCTGGGGACTTGATAAGGGGTGGGTATAGGTGGGTATAGGACTCAATCGGGGGCCAAGGAAATATGTGTGGGTGTCTAGGGTTCCAAGTGATGGGTGCTATATGCTGTATTATTGGGGACTTTGGCAGGGATGTGGGAAACCCCCAACCTTTGTGGGAACAGATGTGGGGTTTCTGGGGAAAAGGAGGGGTCCCTGAGAATAGCGTTTAGGCCCAGGGGATCCTCCAGATGAAGTTCCAGACCCCAGGGCTTCCAGGGAGGGGTTCTAGGAAGGGGATTTGTCATGGTGAAGGGGTCTAGTCCACTATGATATGAGATGGGGTCCTGGCAAAGGCCTGAGCTTCTGGATTTAAGGGTCTGAGATGTCTGTAGCTAGGGCTTGGGATGCCAGTTGCTAAGGCCTGGGGTGTTCATGGCTAGTGCCTGGGATACTCCTTGCCAGTGCAAGAGCCTGCGATGCCTCCTCTTAGGTTGCCTGATGTCGTTTGCCAGGCCTAGCGCACCTTGGGTATCAGGAAGCCGCGAAAGGCCGTGTCCCTAGTGACGCGGTGCGGCAAGTTCATGGGGATGATGTCTGCAAAGCGCTGCACCTCGTGGATCACCGCGTCTGTGTAAGGCATGGCCGCGCGGTCCTTCAGCGCCGGCAGCCGCGCGCGTCCCACCACGAGGTCGATCTCCTCCTGCACGCGGGCTGGAGAGGAAGCGGGAAGCGGGGTCGAGGGTATCAGCGGGCGCGACAGGGCAACCAGGCTGATAAGAGGTGTGTGCGTGTGTGGGGAGGCGTCTAGTCAAAGTCTCCCAGCGCGGGGCGCCACTGCTGGGGCGCACGTGAGAATTAGCTAGAGCTGGCCGGGCGCGGTGGCTCACGCCTGTAATCCCAGCACTTGGGAGGCCCAGGCGGACGGATCGCTTGAGCCCAGGAGTTTGAGACCATCTGGGCAACATGGTGAAACCCAATCTCCACAACAAAATAGAAAAATTAGCTGGGCTTGGTGGCGCACACCTGTGGTCCCAGCTGCTTGGGAGGCTGAGGCAGGAGAATCACTTGAACCCAGGAGGAGGAGGTTGCAGTGAGCTGGGATCAGGCCACTGCACTTCAGCCTGGGTGACAGAGCAAGATTCCGTCTCAAAAAAAAAAAAAAAAAAAAAAAAAAGGGGGGGGGGAAGAGGAAAAAAAAAAAAGAATTAGCCAGGGTCTGGGAGGAAGTGGGTCAGTGAGGGCGAAAGCTTGGCTTGTGCAAGGGCCTGAGTGTTGGGTTGTGTGGGCAGGGCTTCAGGGAGGCCTGGAATCCAGGACCTGATGGGATTTCAGGAGCAGTTTTGGGGCTCTACTGGCTGGACGGTAGGTCGAGTGGGTGGACTGTGTGGGAGGGCTGGAGATCAGGGGCAGAGCAGGGGATACACCCAGAGATGGAGCTTGGGGAGGTGGAGCAGCAGACAGAGCTGTGTGTGTGGGCCAGGCTGCATGGGAGAGGTAGGGTTCCCTGGCAGGCACATGGCTGGGGCTCCAGGGCAGGGCTCTGAAGCCGGAGGTGGACGCATGTGGTGGTTGACGCACTCGGCACAAAGCAAGACTAAGCGGGTGGAGGCAGGAGCGGTGGCTCACACCTGTAACCCCAGCACTTTGGGAGGCCAAGGTGAGAGGATTGCTTGAGCCCAGGAGTTGGGGACCAGCCAGGGCAACACAGCGAGACCCTGTCTCTACAAAAAATAAAAAATTAGCTGAGTGTATTGAGTGTGGTGGTGCACGCCTGTACTCCCAGCTATTGATAAGGCGGAGGTGGGGAGATTGCTTGAGCCCAAGGGGCTGCAGTGAGCTGTAATTACGGCACTGTACTCCAGCCTGGGCGACAGAGTGAGTCTGTCTCAAAAACAAACAAAAAACTAAGCAGAGCTGGGTGTAGTGGCTCACGCCTGTAATCCCAGCACTTTGGGAGGCTGAGGCAGGTGGATCACTTGAGGCCAGGAGTTTGAGACCAGCCTGGCCAACTTGGTGAAACCCTGTCTCTACTAAAAATAGAAAAATTAGCTGGATGTGGTGGTGTAATCCCAGCTACTTGGGAGGCTGTAATCCCAGCTACTTGGGAGGCTGAGGCAGGAGAATCCCTTGAACTCGGGAGGGGGAGGTTGCAGTGAGCGGATCGAGATCACGCCACTGCACTCCAGCCTGGGTGACAGAGCCAGACTCCGTCTCCAAAAAACAAAACAAAGACAAAAAAACCAACAATTAAGCGGGTGGGATCTGGGTCGGGATTCGGGCAGGCTGCATGGACCTCATGGGCCATGTGGTGGGATCGGCCTCCGTGTGGGTTTGTGGGTTTGGCTGTGGAATCCTGGTGCCAGCAGGAGGCTATATCAGACCTGGGAGGCGGGGCCGTGGCTCCCTGCTCTGGGGTGAGGCTGGAACACATGGGCACCTCCACGCTGCTGTGTGGGTGGGCCTCACCTTGAACTTTTGGGTACTTCATGAGTGCCAGGAAGGCGTGGTGCAGCGTGGTGCTCACCGTCTTGGTGCCGCCAAAGAGCAGGTTATGTGTGGTCATCAGCAGGGTATCCATGTGGAAGTGGCTCAGTGGGTCCTCCTTCTCCTGCATTGGTAGAGGGGTGGGGATGTGAGCCAGGAATGGAGGCCCCTTCACTCTAGACCAGTACAACTGCTGCTGGGGGCCCATTCGGTCCCAGCTGGGTTTAACTTTCTTTCCCTGGGAGAGCTGGGGAACGGAGAAGGGCAGGGCAGGGAAAATCTCAGCTGCAGGGCCTACAATTAACTTCTTGGATAGAGCTTGAATGACTTCTTGTTTTTTTAAAAAATACGTTTTATGTATGTATGTGTGTATGTATGTATGTGTGTATGTATGTATGATGTATGTATGTATGTGTGTATGTGTGTGTGTATGTATGTATGTATGTGTGTGTGTATGTATGTGTGTACGTATGTGTTGTAGAGACTGGGTCTTACTATATTGTCCAGGCTGGTCTCGAACTCCTGGACTCAAGCGATCCTCCTGCCTCGGCCTTCCAAAGTGCTGGGATAACAAGCCTGAGCAACTGCCCCCTCCACCCTGCCCCACCTCCTTTGATGACTTCTTAATGAGCTGTAAGTTGGCGGTGGCTGCGAGTGGCTCCTGGCTCCAGCCCAGCTGGGCCAGATGCTTCAGCTTCTCCAGGGAGAAGGTCCCCCAACCCTGCCCCATCTGGGGTCCCTGTGGGTTTGAGGCAGGGGCAGCAGGAGAATTTCAGGTCAGACTAGAGGTGGGATTTCCAGGTAGGGATTACCTCTGCCATCTTGGTGAGGAAGCACTGGATGAAGTCCCGGGGAGATCTGGGGTCTAGCGAGGCCTGGTGGTCGTGGACGCTGTGGGCGATGAGGTCTCTCAGGCACTTGAAGTTCTGGAAGATGCGTTGGTGCGGCCCAGGCACCCAGTCCAGGAGGCTCGGGAAGATGTCGTACAACTGGGGACCAGACAGAGTAGGAGGGTTTTGGAGGAGGACAAAGGGTGTTCAGGGGCGAATGGGGTCAGTGTGGATTAGGTAGGCAGGGACAGGGTCTCAAAGGGCAGCCAGGTCCGGGGTGGGGGTTGGGGCTGAGGGGGAGTGGGAAGGAGGCAATGGCGGCCATAAATGCTCAGTGGAGGGGAGTGGGCGTGGCCGTGTAACTCTGGGTGGGGTCAGATGGGAGGGGGCGGGCCCTGGGCGGGCCATTCACAGCCCTTTCCCCGCCCACTGTTTCCTCTCCATTCCTAGATCCTGCGGACCCCACACCCTGCCCCTGCTGGACTCAGTTGGCTGACCTCGCCCCAGGGGCTGCTCATGATTTGGAAGTTGTCATTGATAAGGCGGATAATGGTGAGCAGACGCTCATCATCATAGTCGAAGCGGCTGCCGAAGAGCACGGAACAGATAATGTTGGACACTGAGCGACTCAGCACAAACGTGGGGTCAAAGGGCTCGCCTGAGGGTAAGGAGTGCAATGGATCAGGAAGACGCGATGTGCAGCACACCAGACCTCATGCAGCAACACCATTAATTTGTACAACATCCGACTCAACCATGGCAACGTGTCTTACGGTGCAAACACGGGGACATGGTCACAACATGCTGCTTAACGACACCCCAAAAGCATCTGTCAATGCCACAGACGGCACCGAACCCACAACTTCCTGCAGCACATCGACAGCAACAACGCCCAACCACAGAACGGGCTATTCTTGGCAACACAACACACAGCACGCGACATAGCACAAGGCAATCATCAGGCATCACGGAACACAACAACACAGGGCAACAGAACACCCAGCAAATACGATCACAGTACATGCCAACACACGACACGCAGTGACCTAACAGCCAGCCCGGAAACATCCCAAGACACGGTAACCACACACCAACACATAAAGCCAGCATACAGCTACATAATCCTGCCACACAACACACGCTAGTACACAGCAACCCAGCCTGGGCGACAGAGCAGTCAGCAAGCAGAATCGCTTGAACTCAGGAGGCGGAGGTTGCAATGAGCTGAGATCACACCATTGCACTCCAGCCTGGGGGACAGAGCGAGACTCTGTCTCAAAAAAAAAAAAGTAGAATGGATGTGAATTATAAGGATGAACTGGATTCAAAGACCTGGCCAGACATGGTGGTGTATGCCTATAGTTCCAGCACTCTGGGAGGCAGAGGCAAGAGGATCATTTGCACACAGGAGTTTGAGACTGGCCTGGGCAACATAGTGAGACCCTGTCTCTACAAAAAATTTAAAAATAAGCTGGGTGTGGTGGAGCACACCTGAAGTACCAGCTATTCGGGAGGTTGAGGTGGGAGGATGGTTTGGGCCCAGGAGGTCAAGGCTGCCATCCAGCCTGTTAAAAAAAAAAAAGATCGTGCCATCCAGCCTGTTAAAAAAAATTCCTGACCTTCAGTTTTCCGCAGCTCCGCCAGCAGGAAGCTGCCCTCCTCTAGGATTCGCTCCTCAATGCTTCTCTTCCCCATCCCGAAATTCCGTAGAATCTGGATAGAGAACTGTCTCAGGACCTTCCATCGATCCCCACTGGAGAAGGCGATGCCTGGGGAGAAGAGGAGGGGACCAGCTTAACCGGGAACTCATCCTGAGGCCACTGCCACCCAGGTCCCCTTTCATGGTATTTGCTGGGAGAGAGACAGAGTTTGGAATCTCCCTGGCTCCTTCCAGTAAGCCCTTCTGGACCCTCCAGCTTAGGGGTCTCCTTCAAGCTTCCATAGGACCATGGGCTTCCCTCACGACCATCCTATCACTCTGCCTCTGTTTCCCCATTAAGAACCTGATCACTCTGGGCTGTTACTGTCTGGTGATGGGGCTGTCTCCTTCACAGAACTGTGAAGGCAGAGTGGGTGCCTGTCTTGGTCACCACTGGGTCCTTAGCATTGTCCAGTGCAGAGGGTGTCACACAGGAGGTGCTGGTGATTACTTATTGATGATGATTATTATTTTTTGCGACACAGTCTCGCTCTGTTACCCAGGCTGGAGTGCAGTGACACCATCTCAGCTTGCTGCACCCTCCGCCTCCCGGGTTCAGGTGATTCTCCTGCCTCAGCCTCCTGACTAGCTGGGATTACAGGTGTGCACCACCACGCCCACCTAATATATATGTGTGTGTGTGTGTGTGTGTGTGTGTGTGTGTGTGTATATATATATATATATATATATATAGAGAGAGAGAGAGAGAGAGAGAGAGAGAGAGAGAGAGAGACGGAGTCTTGCTCTGTTGCCAGGCTGGAGTGCAGTGGCACAATCTCAGCTTACTGCAACCTCCGCCTCCCGGGTTCAAGCAATTCTTCTGCCTCAGCCTCCCCAGTAGCTGGGATTACAGGCATGGCAAGGATGGTCTCGATCTCCTGACCTCGTGATCCACCCGTCTTGGCCTCCCACAGTGCTGGGATTACAGGCATGAGCCACTGCGCCTGGCCTAATTTTTGTATTTTTAATAGAGATGAGGTTTCACCATGTTGGCCAGGCTGGTACCAAACTCCTGACCTCAGGAGATCCACTCACCTCGGCCTCCCAAAGTGCTGGGATTACAGGTGTGAGCCATCGTGCCTGGCCTGCTTATTGATTATTAAATGCATGAATAAGAGAGATAGGCAAGAAAAATAAGCACCAGGACACTGGGAATTCATCCAGGAACAAAACAGACCCCGTCTCTTCTCTTCCTGGACCCAGAATCTTTGCACAGGCTGGTCTTTCCCAGAGCACTTTCACCCCCTGCCTTCTCCTGAATACTCATCTTCATTCTTTAGGTTTCAGCTTAGAGGTCCCCTCTTCCAGGAAGCCTTCTCTGGCTCCTCCTCCCTTCTAGGCTGGGCCAAGTGTTTCTCTAGGGTTTCCATAGCTCCCCAGGCTTCCCCCATCCCAGCCTGGACCACTCTGGGATGGCACAATCTGGTTGGTGATGCCTGTGTCTTCCACTGGACTGGGACCTACTATAGGATAAAGTCTCAGATGTGTTTATCTCTGGTTCCTCTGGACCTAGCAGAGAACTAGATACTAAAGAAGAAGAGAAAAAAGACTATAGTGTATTGCCTGCATTTTTATGCATTGTCTCATTGACTCCTCATAACATGGAGTTAATGCTATTATAATTTTCTCATGGTAGCAAACTAAGAGGAAGAGAAGGGAGGCCTCTGGCCCAAGGGTACACAGCTAGTGAGTGGTGGAACCCTGCTGTTACCCTCTGTGCTGTGTATTGAATAACTAGATGGTGGCTATTTTTGGTAACAAACGATGTACCCATCCAGATGTTTTCTGTGCAAAAGTAGCAAGGTGACTTTCTCAAGTGCCCTGTCTCCACCTCTTTGCATCTGGTGTACCTGGACAGGTAAGGTCATCAGATCAAGCCAGGGAAGGGAGCATGAAGGATGGAACGTGTACCTAATACACAATATTGTAATATTGTAATATTGTACCAGAGCTCTCTGATTTCAAATCCTGGGGCAGCTGGGACCCATCTAATGCAGGAGCCAGGGAGAGCCCTAGACATTCTTTGGAGGTGAGGAGAGAATAGTCCAGGATGCAGGTCTCCAGGATCCCCTTTCCAATCATGATGGCTTCCTTCCATCCTTCCTTCCTTCCTTCATTCTTTCCCTCCCTCCCTCCTTCCTTTCCTTCCTTCTTTCCTTTTTCCTTTCTTCCTCCTTCCTTCTGTTGGTCCCTCCTTCCTTCCATCATTTATTGGGTCTTGTCACATAGCTTCCTTTGAACAGAGATTTGTCTTTGAAATAAAGTTTGGGGCTGGGTGCAGTGGCTCACACCTGTAATCCCAGCACTTTGGGAGTCTGAGGCTGCTGGATCATGAGGTCAGGCATTCAAGACCAGCCTGGCCAACATGGTGAAACCCAGTCTCTACTAAAAATACAAAAATTAGCTGGGCATGGTGGCAGGTGTCTGTAGTCCCAGCTACTCAGGAGGCTGAGGCAGGAGAATGGCATCAACCTGGGAGGCGGAGATTGCAGTGAGCTGAGATTGCGTCATTGCTTTCCAGCCTGGGCAACAGAACGAGACTCCATCTCAAAAATAAATAAATAAATAAATAAATAAATAAATAAAGTTTGAAGACCACAGGACTAGGGTGATTCCAAGCCTTAGAGGGACAAGATATTGACATAGATGAGGTTTTAAGTGAATGATATGAATTGCTGGATGGCTGAGGATGGAGTTGAGTTTGGGTTAGGTTGGGAATGACAATGGGGAATGAAGGGGGTTATAAGATTGATGATAAATTGTATTTGAAGCTGGTGATGTGGATGGAGTTGGGTAGGATGAGGAGGATTGATAGATTGGGACTGAGCTTGAACTTGGGGTTGGGTAGATATGTGATGGGGTTGTTTTGGTGATGGTAGTGAGTTTAAGATTGAAAGCAAGAACTGGGAACTGGAAATTTCAATAGGTAATTGGGTTAGGAGATGGGGCTGGGATTGGGGGAAAGTAGCAGCAGAATTCAGTTTGGGCCAGGAGCAGTGGCTCTTGCCTGTAATCCCAGCACGTTGGGATGCCGAGGTAGGTGGATCACCTGAGGTTAGGAGTTTGAGACCAGCCTGACCAACATGGCAAAACCCCATCTCTACTAAAAATACAAAACATTAACCAGGTGTGGTAGTGTGCACCTGTAGTCCCAGCTACTCAGGAGGCTGAGGCAGGAGAATCGCATGAGCCTGGGAGGCAGAGGTTGCAGTGGGCCGAGATTGTGCCACTTCACTCCGGCCTGGGTGACAGAGCAAGACTCATCTCAGATAAAAAAAAAAAATTCAGTTTGACTAAAGGGACTAGGATGGGGTTGATAATAGAATTTAAAGTGGGGACTGGGATGGGGTTCATAATGGGAATGAAGGTTGGATTGAGATGCTGTCAGTGTTGTGGATAGGGATGAAGGTGGGGCTGATGTGGTGAACACTGGGGAAAGGTTGATGGGGACTGGGATTGGGTTGAGGTGGTCAGTGGGAACTGGGGCCACTTGACTGAGTTGGAAAGTTGATGATGCGGTTGGGATAGAGCTAGGGATTGGGATGACAATGGGGTTGGGGTTGGATGGAGATGAGGAGTGGTGCAAGAGTACAATTCAGGAAAGTGGTGGGATCTGGAGGTGAGGAAGGTGGGAGAGAATTTGCCATAGACCAACACTGCCTCGCTGCATTGCATTTGGTGTCATCAGTGATGTCAGCAGCCCTGAGTGTCAACAAGATTGAGACAACAGTCTCTCACCCTCACCCCCTCCCTCAATATGGAAAAGGCCGAGAGCGGAGGAGACAAGGACGAGGCTTACCATTGCCCTTGGTAAAGTTGAAAAAGGCAGGGTAGTCACCGCGGCCACTAAACTCCTCTCCCTGGTCCACCAGGGCCTCCTTCACAGCTTGGTACCCGCTGAGGACCACCACCCGCCTGGGTCCCAGGTGCACTGTGTACATGGAGCCATACTCCTTGCTCAGCTGAGGGTAGGAAGACAGAAGTTACAGGGGGGCCTGTGGCCATGGGACCCCTCCTCCTTATCCTTCCACCATCACCCAAGCTAAGGGCCTTGCACCTTAGTGAGAGAAGTCAGCATGTCTTGGGAGCAAAGCAGCAGCAGGTTTCCCAGGATTGAGAGGGGTCTGGGTCCCGGAGGCAGCTTTCCCTTATCTCTTGAGCTTAGGGTCAGGAGCAGACAGACGAGAGCCAGGAGCAGGAGTAAGATGGCTGTGCTTATGCTGTCCATGGTGAAGGCAGCTGCTGGCGTGTGGAGGGCAAAGTGGGAGAGGACATCGCTGATCCCTCCTTTCCATCTCCCCTGGGACTTACCTTCCCTAGGCCCTGGAAATGAAGGCAGATGGAGAGAAGGAGACAGGGAGAGGCCAGGGGATGGGGAAGGGAGGGAGAAAGGAGGAAAGAGGCAGAGATAGTCAACATATAGACAGATAAGGAGACAGAAACACAGAGACATAAATGGAGAGAGGCAAGTGATAGAGGAACAGAGACTAAGAGAGGCCAAGAGATATGCATAAAGATAATGAGAGAGACAGAAAAACAGTGAGCGATCTACATATCTACAGATGTCTGTCTACCTATCAGCCATCTATCATCTATCACTCTTTCTTTCCTTCCTTCCTTCCTTTCTTTTTCTTTCTTTCTTTTTTCTTTTTCTTTCTTTCTTTGTTTCTCATCTATTATCTAACATCTATCAACATCTATCTATCATCTATCTATCTATCTATCATCTATCATCTGTCTATCCATCATCTATCTATTCTTCTATCATCTATCATTGATCTGTCTATTATCTATCATCTATTATCTATCTATATCTATCATCTATCTACTATCTTCATAATCTATCATCTGTGTATCATCTGTCTATTATCTATCTATCATCACCTGTCTGTCAAGAGACTGTCATACAGAGACAGTGATAAAGAGAGATCAAGACACACAGGGACAGAGACAGACAAACACAGAGATAGGGAGAGCCAGAGAGCACATCACAGAAAGAGAGAGGCTGACATAGACTAGAGAAAGAAAGAGACAGAACTAGACAGACACAGAGCTAGAGAAAGACAAGGGAGATTGAGTGGAGAGACAGTGAGATGGACACTGACTGAGAGACAGAGAGGGACATGGAAGGATGGAGAGAAAAAGGGTAAGAGGGACAGAGAGAGGGAGAGACAGAGCTAGACACAGAGACTGAGGGAGACGAGAATGACAGACAGAAACAGATACACAAAGACAGAGTCACATAGACAGAGATGGAGAGAGAGAGAGAGAGAATAAGAGAGGCAGGGAATATTAGAGCCACACAAAGAGACGGGTAGGCTGCAAAGGGCAGACCAAGAGAGACTGAGGCCGGGCACGGTGGCTCACGCCTGTAATCCCAGCACTCTGGGAGGCCGAGGCAGGCGGATCACTTGAGGTCAGGAGTTTGAGACCAGCCTGGCCAACATGGTGAAACCCTGTCTCTACTAAAAACACAAAAATTAGTCAGGCGTGGTGTTAGGCACCTGTAATCCCAGCTACTCAGGAGGCTGAGGCAGGAGAATCGCTTGAACCCAGGAGGTGGAGGTTGCAGTGAGCTGAGATTGAACCACTGCACTCCAGCCTCAAAAAAAAAAAAAAAAAAAAAAAGAGAGAGAGAGAGAGAGAAAGAGACGGAGACAGAGAGGAAGGGCACAGGCAGAAACAGTGACAGGAAAAAATCAAGTGTTGCCAACCATGGGGTTGCATTGCAGAGAGAGAAGCCACCTACTTGGTGAAGCACCAGTAAAGAAATCCCAGTGCTCAGAACAGGGACATGAGAGCTCTCAGAGGAAACAGCAAAAAAGATTCCTAGCCAGTCTCAGAGACAGAGATTGGAGCTGGCGACCCACCCTCTCTTGGGAGACACCCCCTCCTTCTCTGCCTCCCTCACCGGGGCCCTTTACCTGCTGAGCTGCAGGAGACACTGGCTGGGATGCGCTAGAGCCTGCAGCTCTGGGTGTGCTTGGGGGGTGGTGGGGCAGAGGTTGTTCTTAAGTTGTTTCTGCCCACACCCTCCTCCTTAACCCCACTTTTCTTGTTCTCGCTGTGAACTTTAAATCCCTCCCATCATCTTGCCATACCTTTCCTGCGGCCCTAGGGCTCACAGCCAGCTGGAAAGGTGCCGTGGGAGGGGGCTGCGCCTGGGGGCCCTCCTGGGATGGGGCAAAGCTTTCTTTCTTTCTTTGTTTTTTTTTTTTGCTTTGCCAGTTGGAGCCTGGGCCTGGTTTTGGGGTAGTCATGGGGCTGTCGCAAAATGATGGGCCAGGGATGGGGGCTGGGTTCCTTTGGTATTTGGGGCACTTGTTTCTTTTTCTCTGGGTTCAAGTCCATTTCTGCCACTGATGGGCCGAGTGGCCCTGGCTAAGTCCCTTTCCCTCCAGAGCTGGAGTTTTCTCTTTCTCTGGAAGCCTATTTTTTCATAGTTCTCCATGCTGTTCCCTGTCTCTTGCCGTGGGTCTCTGAAATGCTCTGTGTCTTGCTTTGCTTCTGCCTCTACAGTCTCTGCCTCTGAATCTTTTTGTCTCTCTGTGTCTCTGTCTCTCCCTCCTTTGGTGTCTCTGGGTCTTCATTTCTTATGCTCTCTGGGCTTTCTCCTTCTCTCTGCTTCTCTCCCTGATCTCCCTGTAAGTCCCTCTCAGTCACTGTCTCCTGATCTCTCTGGTCTCTCACTCTCTCTATCTCTCATGTCTCCACGAGTCAGACTGCACTTGGTGGGACTGAAGCCAAGCTGAGGCTGAAGGAGTGTTTAAGAAAAGGGCAGAGCTGGAAGCCACAGGGAAAAAGCCTCTCAGACTAGAATGACACTCTCTCCCACCACTGGCTCATAAACAGCCCTCCTCCTGCCCTCCTGAGCACCCTACTAGCCATGTCTACTCTCAGCTCCTGCCTTAGAAACTCACCCTAGTAGGCCAGGCGCAGTGGCTCACGCCTGTAATCCCAGCACTTTGGGAGGCCGAGGTGGGTGGATCACCTGAGGTCAGGAGTTCAAGACCAGCCTGGCCAACATGGTGAAACCCTGTCTCTACTAATAATACAAAAATTAGCCAGGCATGGTGGCTCACGCCTGTAGTCTGAGCTACTTGGGAGGCTGGGGCAGGAGAATCGCTTGAACCCGGGAGGTGGAGGTTGCAGTGAGCTAAGAACATGCCACTGCACTCCAGCCTGGGCAACAGGGTGAGACTCGGTCTCAAAAAAAAAAAAAAAAAAAAAAGAAGAAGAAACTGGCCCTAGTTACCCACCTCCTGGCCAGGTCACAAGGGCAGAATGCAAAACCTGGAGCTGGGCCAGGGCTCTGGTGCCAGGGGCTAGGCTGGGTGGAGAGCCCCTGCGGTCAAGGGTCTGGGAGGCCAGGTGGAGGTGTGGGTACCCCCACAGGTTCGTGGGTGTGCACCAGGATTGCTGTTCTCAGAGGGGCAGAGGAGGAAGTGTTTGGAGGTCCTGGGGAATTTGACACCCTAGGTCCCAGGCATATGGTGGGGTGGAGGTGGGGCCCATGCTGTTGTTTCAGTCCTGGATAGGCCGGTTGGGGCAGGTCCTGGAAGAGGGCTGAAGGCTTGATGATGGGATTATATAGCTCTAGTTTCCCTTGGCGTCTACTCCCTACTTTTAAGGGGAGGGTGTAGTGCTGTATCCACGCCAACCCTGTAAGCAACTTATCCCTCACCCTAGAACTTGGTTAAGAGGGGCCTAATGAGGCTGGGCGTGGTGGCTCATGCCTGTAATCCCAGCACTTTGGGAGGCCGAGGTGGGTGGATCACCTGAGGTCAGGAGTTTGAGACAGCCTGACCAACATGGCAAAACCCTGTCTCTACTAAAAATACAAAAAAAATTAGCCAGGCGTGGTGGTGCTTGCCTATAATCCCAGCTACTCAGGAGGCTGAGGCAGGAGAATCACTTGAACCCGGGAGGTGGAGGTTGCAGTGAGCTGAGATTGTACCATTGCACTCCAGCCTGGGCAACAAGAGTGAAACTTTGACTCAAAAAAAAGAAAAAAAAAGAAAAAAAAGATGGGCCTAATGGGACCACCTGATTGGGGAAACTGGGATTTATGGGAAGGGCAGTTAGTTAGTTTGTTTTGACACAGGGTCTCACTCTGTCACCCAGACTGGAGTTTAGTGGTGTGATCATAGCTCATTGCAGCCTCGATCTCCTGGGCTTAAGGGATTCTCCTGCCTCAGCTTCCCAAGTAGCTGGGACTACAAGCACGCATCACCACACCTGGCTAATTTTTAAAATTTTTAGTAGAGATGAGATCTAGCATGCTATGTCACCCAGTCTGGTCCCCAACTCCTGGGCTCAAGCGATCCTCCCACCTGGGCCTCTGGGGATTACAGGCGTGAGCCACCATGTGTGGCCGAGAAGGGGGGTTTTAAGAGGCTTTGAGTTCTGTTATTCTGACTTGCTCTCCTGCTACAGAGGGAACTTGGGGCAAGGAAGGGATGTATTGCAATTTCTCAACTCACTGCTGTTGATGTCTTGGGCCTTCATGGGTGGTGGGGGCTGCATCCTGTGTGTGGTAGGATGTTTAGCAGTGTCCTTGGTTTCTACTCAGTAGATGACAGAACCCACCCACTCATTCCCTACCAGTTGTTACAAACAAACATGACTCCAGATACTATTGAATGTCCCCTTGGGAGGAAAAAAATCAACCCAGTTGAGAACCGCTGGGGTATTGCAGAAAGCTGAAACACACTCCGTGGTGGAAAAATGCCTCGCCTCTCATTGTCCTCTCTTGGAACTCCCCCCGCCCTATTCCTATCCTTTTGTTCCTGCCTCCTCAAACTCCAAAACCCTCTTCAGTCACCTCACTCTTTGTTGATGAACCCGCTTCTTATCTCACGGAGAGAATGGCAGCAATGGGCAGTAAGCGGGCGCATCCTCCATCATCCTGTCCTCTTGCCCACTGGCATCTGGACGGCACATGCAGCCTTCCTTCCTGCTAGAACCACACAGTGTCCCATGTCAGGCTTAGGTGAGCCCCCTTCTGGTGTGCCAGATCCCATTCCATCGCCAACTGGAGGACTTGATTCTATTTACTGTGTCATAGTTCCTGTGAAGGTGTGTAGATGGAGTTTTCCCTTAACGATTTCTTTAGGTAAAATTTACCTGTGATGAAATACACACATGGTAAGTGAACATTTGCTGAATTTTGAAGGTATCGAAATCCCTGTGAAGATACAGAATATTTTCATCATCCAAGAAAGTTCTCTTGGAGCTGGGCGTGGTGGTTTGTGCCTATAATCCTAGCTATAGGAGGCTGAGGTGGAAGGATCACTAGAGGCCAGAAATTTGAGACCAGGCTGTGCAACATTGCGAGACCCCTGTCTCTACTAAAAAAAAGAAAAAAACAATAGCTAAGTGTGGTGGTGCACGCTTGTAATCCCAGCTACTCAAGGGGCTGAGGTGGAAGATCACTTGCACCCAGGAGTTCCAGGCTACAGTGAGCTATGAACACACCCCTGCACTCCAGCCTGGGTGACAAAGAGAGACTCCCTTCTCTAAAGTAATAATAATAATGAAAAGAGAACCCTCCTTCCTACTCCTTCCTAGTCAACCATGCTCCATCTCTTGTGGGCAACCATTGTTCTAGGTTTTTTTCTCTTCTTTTGAGACAGGGTCTTGCTCTGTCCCCCAGGCTGGAGTGCAGTGGTGTGATCATTGTTCACTGCAACCTTGACCTCCCTGGCTCAAATGATCCCCCGGCCTCAGCCTCCTGAGTAGCTGGAAGTAGAGGCCTGTGCCATCACAACTGGCTAATTTAAAAATTTTTTGTAGAGGCAGAGGTCTCCCTATGTTGCCCAGGCTGATCTCGAACTCCTGGGCTCAAGCAATCCTTCTGCCTCAGCCTCCCAGAGTGCTGGGATTACAGGCTTGAGCCACTGCATCCAGCCCTGTTCTAGTTTTTTCTTCCCACTATTGATCTACATTTCATATAAATGAAAATCTACGGCTGGGCATGGTGGCTCACGCCTGTAATCTTAGCTTTTTGGGAGGCTGAGGCGGGTGGATCACCTGAGGTCAGGAATTTGAGACCAGCCTGGCCAACGTGGTGAACCCCTCTCTCTATGAAAAATACAAAAATTAGCTGGACTTGATGGAGGGTGCCTGTAATCCCAGCTAGTCGGGAGCCTGAGGCAGGAGAATCACTTGAACCTGGGAGGCGGAGGTGGCAGTGAGCCAAGATCATGCCACTGTACTCCAGCCTGGGCGACAGAGCGAGACTCCGTCTCAAAAAAAAAAAAAAGAAAAGAAAATCTACAGCATTTCTTCCATATACCAAGCCTGCTTCTGGGAAGCATACGTAATGCTTTTGAGAGTTAACCATGTGTTACATACATCAGAAGCTCATTCCTTTTCATTGCAGAGTAGCATGTCACCGCATATAGATGTGCCACAATTTGCTTTTCACCAGTTGATGGAAATGTGGATTGTTCCCAAGGTCTGGCTATTTTGAATAATATGTATTATTCTTGGCATATATGCATATGTCTTTGTGGGGATCTATGTTTCGTGTATCTGGATATATCTGTGAGTGTGACTGCTGGGTTCTATGATGAGTGTATATTTATAAGAAACTTCCAAACTCTTTTCCAAAGTGGCTGTGTCATGTTTTCATTTCCTGTGTGATTTGTTTTCTTCTCTCTATTGAATATTTTTCATAAAGAGCCAATAAGCTGGCCGGGCATGGTGGCTCATGCCTGTAATTCGGCACTTTGGGAGGCTGAGATGGGCAGATCAATAGAGATCAGGAGTTCAAGACCAGCCTGGCCAACATGGTAAAACCCCGACTCTACTAAAAATACAAAAATAGCTTGGCATGGTGGTGTGTGCCTGTAGTCCCAGCTACTCAGGAGGCTGAGGCAGGAGAATTGCTTGAACCCGGGAGGCAGAGGTCGCAGTGAGCCGAGATCACACCACTGCACTCCAGCCTGGGCAACAGAGGGAGACTCTGTCTCAAAAAACAAAACAAAACAAACAAACAAAAAACCCCAATAAGCTGTATTTCTCCCATCTTAAAAAGACCCTTTTATGAAAAGATGTTCAAAATCACTAGCCATCTAGGGAAATAAAAATCAAAAGCAAGAGATATAACTTCGTGTTCATTAGGATGGCTATTAAAAAACACGCACCAGAAATGGTATAATGGTAGGTATTGCCCCTTCCTTCCTTCCTTCCTTCCTTCCTTCCTTCCTTCCTTCCTTCCTTCCTTCCTTCCTTCCTTCCTTCCTTCCCTCTTTCTTTTACCTCCTCAGCTCAAGTGATCCTCCTGCTTTGGCACCCCAATTAGCTGGGACTATAAGCCTGTACCACCATGCCCAGCTACTTTTTTTGTTTTTTATTTTTATTATTTATTTATTTATTCATTTATTTATTTATTTTTGAGACGGAGTCTCCCTCTGTCGCCCAGGCTGGAGTGCAGTGGCACGATCTCGGCTCACTGCAAGCTCCGCCTCCTGGGTTCAGGCCATTCTCCTGCCTCAGCCTCCCGAGTAGCTGGGAATACAGGCGCCTGCAACCTCACCCGGCTAATTTTTTGTATTTTTAATAGAGACGGGGTTTCACCATGTTAGCCAGGACGGTCTCAATCTCCTGACCTCGTGATCTGCCCGCTTAGGCCTCCCAAAGTGCTGGGATTACAGACGTGAGCCACTGCGCCCGGCCTGTTTTTTATTTTTTTAGAGATGGAGTCTCACTATGTTGCCCAGGCTGGTCCTGAACTCTTGACCTTAAATGATTTGCCTGTGTCAGTCTCCCAAAGTGCTGGGATTATAGGCATGAGCCACTGTGCCAGTCTTGCTAATGTATTTCACTGTATGAATATACCATAATTTCTTTATCCATTCACCTGTTGATGAACATTTGATTTGTTTCCAGTTTTTGGCTATAAGCTGCTCTGAACATTCTTTTTTATTTTTATTTTTTGAGACAGGCTTTCTCTCTGTCGTGTAGGCTGGAGTGCAATGGCATGATCTCAGCTCACTGCGGCCTCTCCCTCTTGGGTTCTAGTGATTCTCCCACCTCAGCCTCCTGAGTAGCTGGGACTGCAGGTTCATGCCACCATGCCCAGCTAATTTTTGTATTTTTTAGCAGAGACAGGGTTTCACCATGTTGGCCAGGCTGGTCTCGAACTCCTGACCTCAAGTGATCCGCCCGCCTCAGCCTCCCAAAGTGCTTAGATTACAGGTGTGAGCCATCGCGCCTGGCCTGAATATTCTCATACAAGGCGTTTTGTAATCTGTGCATTCAGTTATTTTTGGTATTGTTGGGCCATAGGATAAGGTATATTTTAGCCTTAGTGGGTACTGCCAAACAGCTCTTCCAAGTGGTTTATCAATTTACATTTCCCTGAGACGTATATGAGAATGCCAGACCTTCTCTTGACCCCATGTCATCCTTCAATTCCTGCTCCATTCTCTGATCCTCTTTATTCTTCATTTCTCTTAACCTTTTTATTACCAAGTTTTTTTTTTTTTTTTTTTGAGATAGAGTTTAGCTCTTGTTGCCCAGGCTGGAGTGCAATGGTATGATCTCGGCTCACTGCAATCTTGGCCTCCTGGGTTCAAGCAATTATTCTGCCCCAGCCTCCTGAGTAGCTGGGATTACAGGCATGCACCATCATGCCTGGCTAATTTTGAAATTTTTTTTTTTTTTTTAGATGGAGTTTCGCTCTTGTTGCCCAGGCTGGAGTGCAATGGCACGATCTTGGCTCACCACAACCTCTGCTTCCTGGGTTCAAGCGAGTCTCCTGCCTTAGCCTCCTGAGTAGTTGGGATTACAGGCATGCACCACCACGCCTGGCTAATTTTGTATTTTTAGTAGAGATGGGGTTTCTCCATGTTGGTCAGGCTGGTCTTGAACTACCGACTTCAGGTGATCCACCCGCCTTGGCCTCCCAAAGTGCTGGGATTACAGGCATGAGCCATCATGCCTGGCAATTTTCAAAGTTCTATAAAAATAGAGTGGCCAGGTGCCATGGATGACATGACAGCCTGGATGACAGAGGAAGTCTCTGTCCAAAAAAAAAAAAAAAAAAGGAGAGAAAATAGGATCCATGTACACATCACCCAGAGGTTTTCAACACACAAACAATCTTGTTTCATGTCTTCTTCCACCTCCATCTCCCCTTTTTAACTTGAGTATTTAAAAATGAATCTCATGGGTCCCAGGTGAGATAAAAGACAAAAACAAAGAAAAAAAAATGCTGGGCGCGGTGGCTCACATCTGTAATCCCAGCACTTTGGGAGGCAGAGGTGGGTGGATCACTTGAGCTCAGGAGTTCGAGACCAGCCTGGGCAACATGACAAAACCTTGTGTCTACAAAATAGTTTAAAAAATAAGGAGATGTTCTAGAATTGAATGGACTCAAAAAAGAAATTAGGAGATCATTATGTCAAGTGAAATAAGCCAGGTACAGAAAGACAAACATTGCATGGTCTTACTTATTTGTGGGATCTAAAAATCAAAACAATTGAACTCATGGACACAGAGTAGAAGATGGTTACCAGAGGCTGGAAAGGGTAGTGGAGGACTGGGGGGAAGGTGGGGATGGTTAATGGGTACGAAAAATTGTTAGAAAGAATGAATAAGACCTACTACTTGATAGCACCACAGGGCGACTGTAGTCAATAATAACTTAATTGTATATTTTAAAATAATTTAAAGAATGTAATTGGATTGTTTGCAACTCAAAGGATAAATGTTTGAGGGGATGGATACCCCATTCTCCATGATGTGCTTATTTCACATTGCATGCCTGTATCAAAACATCTCATGCACTCCATCAATATATACACCTACTATGTACCCACAAAAATAAATAAATAAAAGCACAAAAAACTGAATATACACCTGTAGTTCCAGCTACTTGAGGGTTTAAGTGGGGGGATAACTTGAGCCTGGGAGGTCGAGGCTGCAGTGAGCCATGATGGTAGCACTGCATTCCAGCCTGGGCAACAGAGCAAGACCTATCTCAAAAAAATGTATTTATTGTATTGTGTGCAACATGATGTTTTGAAGTATAAGTATTGTGAAATAGTTAAATTTATCCAATTAACAAATGCATTATCTCACATAATTGTCATTTGTGTAGTGTGAACTCAATGTCCACTCTCTTTGCATTTTCCAAAAATACGATATATCATCATTAACTATAGTTACCATGCTGTACAGTAGATCTCTTGAACTTACTCCTCTTATGTAACTCTAATTCTCGATCCTTTTTTTAAAAATTATACTTTAAGTTCTAGGGTACATGTGCACAACGTGCAGGCTCCTTACATAAGTATACATGTGCCATGCTGGGCCGCTGCACCCATCAACCCCTCATATACATTAGGAATTTCTCCCAATGCTATCCCTTCCCCAGGCCCCCACCCCACGACAGGCCCTGGTGTGTGATGTTCCCCACCCTGTGACCCAATGTTCTCATTGTTCAATTCCCACCCATGAGTGAGAACATGCGGTGTTTGGTTTTCTGTCCTTGCGATAGTTTGCTCAGAATGATAGTTTCCAGCTTCATCCATGTCCCTGCAAAGGACATGAAATCATCCTTTTTTATGGCTGCATAGTATTCCATGGTGTATATGTGCCACATTTTCTTAATCCAGTCTATCATTGATGGACATTTGGGTTGGTTCCAAGTCTTTGCTATTGTGAATAGTGCCGCAATAAACATACGTGTGCATGTGTCTTTATAGTAGCATGATTTATAATCCTTTGGGTATATACCCAGTAATGGGATTGCTGGGTCAAATGGTATTTCTAGCTCTAGATCCTTGAGGAATCGCCACACTCTCTTCCACAATGGTTGAACTAGTTTACACTCCCACCAAAAGTGTAAAAGCATTCCTATTTCTCCACATCTTCTCCAGCGTCTGTTGTTTCCTGACTTTGGTGTGAGATAGTATCCCATTGTGGTTTTGATTTGCATTTCTCTGATGATCAGTGAAAATGAACATTTTTTCATGTGTCTGTTGGCTGCATAAATGTCTTCTTTTGAGAAATGTCTGTTCATATCCTTTGCCCACTTTTTGATGGGGTTGTTTGTTTTCTTCTTATAAATTTGAGTTCTTTGTAGATTTTGGATATTAGCCCTTTGTCAGATGGGTAGATTGCAAAACTTTTCTCCCATTCTGTAGGCTGCCTGTTCACTCTGATGGTAGTTTCTTTTGCTGTGCAGAAGCTCTTTAGTTTAATTAGATCCCATTTGTCTATTTTGGCTTTTGTTGCCATTGCTTTTGGTGTTTTAGTCATAAAGTCCTTGCTCATGCCTATGTCCTGAGTGGTATTGCCCAGGTTTTCTTCTAGGGTTTTTATGGTTTTAGGTCTAACATGTAAGTCTTTAATCCATCTTGAGTGAATTTTTGTATAAGGTGCCAGGAAGGGATCCAGTTTCAGCTTTCTACATATGACTAGCCAGTTTTCCCAGAACAATTTATTAAATAGGGATCCTTTCCCCATTTCTTGTTTTTGTCAGGTTTGTCAAAGATCAGATATTTGTAGATGTGTGGTGTTATTTATGAGGCCTCTGTTCTGTTCCATTGGTCTGTATCTCTGTTTTGGTACCAGTACCATGCTGTTTTGGTTATTGTAGCCTTGTAGTATAGTTTGAAGTCAGGTAGCATCATGCCTCCAGCTTTGTTCTTTTTGCTTAGGATTGTCCTGTCAATGTGGGCTCTCTTTTGGTTCCATATGAACTTTAAAGTAGTTTTTTCCAATTCTGTGAAGAAAGTCATTGGTAGCTTGATGGGGATGGCACTGAATCTATAAATTACCTTGGGCAGTATGGCCATTTTCACGATACTGATTCTTCCTATCCATGAGCATGGAAAGTTCTTCCATTTGTTTGTATCCTCTTTTATTTCGTTGAGCAGTGGTTTGTAGTTCTCCTTGAAAAGGTCCTTCACATCCCGTGTAAGTTGGATTTCTAGGTATTTTATTCTCTTTGAAGCAGTTGTGAATGGGCGTTCACTCATGATTTGGCTTTCTGTTTGTCTGTTATTGGTGTATAAGAATGCTTGTGATTTTTGCACATTGATTTTGCATCCTGAGACTTTGCTGAAGTTGCTTATCAGCTTAAAGAGATTTTGGGCTGAGATGTTGGGGTTTTCTTTTTTTTTTTTTTTTTTTTAATTATTTATTTATTTATTTATTTATTTTTTTATTGATAATTCTTGGGTGTTTCTCACAGAGGGGGATTTGGCAGGGTCATGGGACAATAGTGGAGGGAAGGTCAGCAGATAAACAAGTGAACAAAGGTCTCTGGTTTTCCTAGGCAGAGGACCCTGCGGCCTTCCGCAGTGTTTGTGTCCCTGGTTACTTGAGATTAGGGATTGGTGATGACTCTTAACGAGCATGCTGCCTTCAAGCATCTGTTTAACAAAGCACATCTTGCACCGCCCTTAATCCATTTAACCCTGAGTGGACACAGCACATGTTTCAGAGAGCACAGGGTTGGGGGTAAGGTCACAGATCAACAGGATCCCAAGGCAGAGGAATTTTTCTTAGTGCAGAACAAAATGAAAAGTCTCCCATGTCTACTTCATTCCACACAGACACGGCAACCATCCGATCTCTCAATCTTTTCCCCACCTTTCCCGCCTTTCTATTCCACAAAGCCGCCATTGTCATCCTGGCCCATTCTCAATGAGCTACTGGGCACACCTCCCAGACGGGGCGGTGGCCGGGCAGAGGGGTTCCTCACTTCCCAGTAGGGGCGGCCGGGCAGAGGCGCCCCTCACCTCCCGGACGGGGCGGCTGGCCGGGCAGGGGGGCTGACCCCCCCCCACCTCCCTCCCGGACGGGGCGGCTGGCCGGGCGGGGGGCTGAACCCCCACCTCCCTCCCGGACGGGGCGGCTGGCTGGGCAGAGGGGCTCCTCACTTCCCAGTAGGGGCGGCCGGGCAGAGGCGCCCCTCACCTCCCGGACGGGGCGGCTGGCCGGGCGGGGGGGCTGACCCCCCCCACCTCCCTCCCGGACGGGGCGGCTGGCTGGGCGGGGGGCTGACCCCCCCCACCTCCCTCCCGGACGGGGCGGCTGGCCGGGCAGAGGGGCTCCTCACTTCCCAGTAGGGGCGGCCGGGCAGAGGCGCCCCTCACCTCCCGGACGGGGTGGCTGGCCGGGCAGGGGGGCTGACCCCCCCCAACCTCCCTCCCGGACGGGGCGGCTGGCCGGGTGGGGGGCTGACCCCCCCACCTCCCTCCCGGACGGGGCGGCTGGCCGGGCGGGGGGCCGACCCCCCCACCTCCCTCCCGGATGGGGCGGCTGGCCGGGTAGGGGGCCGATCCCCCCACCTCCCTCCCAGACAGGGCGGCTGGCCGGGCAGAGGGGCTCCTCACTTCCCAGTAGGGGCGGCCGGGCAGAGGCGCCCCTCACCTCCCAGACGGGGTGGCTGGCCGGGGGGAGGGCTGACCCCCCCAGCTCCCTCCCGGACAGGGCGGCTGGCCGGGCAGAGGGGCTCCTCACTTCCCAGTAGGGGCGGCCGGGCAGAGGCGCCCCTCACCTCCCAGACGGGGTCTCGGCCGGGCAGAGGCGCTCCTCACATCCCAGATGGGGCGGCGGGGCAGAGGCGCTCCCCGAGATGTTGGGGTTTTCTAAATATACAGTCATGCCATTTGTGAACAGGAACAATTTGGCTTCCTCTTTTCCTAACTGAATACTCTTTATTTCTTTCTCTTGCCTGATTGCCCTGGCCAGAACTATGTTGAAAAGGAGTGTTGAGAGACGGCATCCCTGTCTTGTGCCAGTTTTCAAAGGGAATGCTTCCAGTTTTTGCCCATTCAGTATGATATTGGCTGTGGGTTTGTCATAAATAGCTCTTATTATTTTGAGATATGTTCACTCAATACCTAATTTATTGAGAGTTTTTAGCATGAAGTGCTGTTGAATTTTGTTGAAGGCCTTTTCTGTGTCTATTGAGATAATCATGTGGTTTTTGTCGATGGTTCTGTTTATGTGATGGATTACATTTATTGATTTGTGTATGTTGAACCAGCCTTGCATTCCAGGGATGAAGCCAAGGCTGGTTCACCCTTGATTGTGGTGAAGTTTGATTGTGGTGGATAAGCTTTTTGATGTGCTGCTGGATTCAGTTTGCCAGTATTTTATTGAGGATTTTTGCATCAATGTTTATGAGGGATATTGGTCTAAAATTCTCTTGTTTTGTTGTGTCTCTGCCAGGCTTTGGTATCAGGATGATGCTGGCCCCATAAAATGACTTAGGGAGGATTCCCTCTTTTTCTATTGATTGGAATAGTTTCAAAAGGAATGGTACCATCTCCTCTTTGTACCTCTGGTAGAATTCGGCTGTGAATCCCTCTGGTCCTAGACTTTTTTTGGTTGGTAGGCTATTAATTATTTTCTCAATTTCAGAGCCTGTTATTGGTCTATTCAGAGATTCAATTTCTTCCTGGTTTAGTCTTGGGAGGGTGTATGTGTCCAGGAATTTATCCATTTCTTCTAGATTTTCTAGCGTATTTGCATAGAGGTGTTTATAGTATTCTCTGATAGCAGTTTGTATTTCTGTGGGATTGGTTGTGATATACTCTTTATCATTTTTTATTGCATCTATTTGATTCTGCCCTCTCTTCTTCTTTATTAGTCTTGCTAGTGGTCTATATATTTTGTTGATCTTTTCAAAAAACCAGCTCCTGGATTCATTGATTTTTTGAAGGGCTTTTTGTTACTCTATCTCCTTCAGTTCTGCTCTGATCTTAGTTATTTCTTGCCTTCTGCTAGCTTTTGAATGTGTTTGTTCTTGCTTCTCTAGTTCTTTTAATTGTGATGTTACGGTGTCAATTTTAGATCTTTCCTGCTTTCTCTTGTGGGCATTTAGTGCTATAAATTTCCCTCTACACACTGCTTTAAATGTGTCCCAGAGATTCTGCTACATTGTGTCTTTCTTCTCACTGATTTCAAAGAACATCTTTATTTCTGCCTTCATTTCGTTATGTACCCAGTAATCATTCAGGAGCAGGTTGTTCAGTTTCCCTGTAGATGTGCGGTTTTGAGTGAGTTTCTTAATCCTGAGTTCTAATTTTATTCCACTGTGGTCTAAGAGACAGTTTGTTGTGATTTCTGTTCTTTTACATTTGCTGAGGAGTGCTTCACTTCCAGCTATGTGGTCAATTTTGGAATAAGTGCGATGTGGTGCTGAGAAGAATGTATATTCTGTTGATTTGGGGTGGAGAGTTCTGTAGATGTCTAATAGGTCCATTTGGTGCAGAGCTGAGTTCAATTCCTGGATATCCTTGTTAAGCTTCTGTCTCGATCATCTGTCTAATATTGACAGTGGGGTGTTAAACTCTCCCATTATTATTGTGTGGGAGTCTAAGTCTCTTTGTAGGTCTCTCAGGACTTGCTTTATGAATCTAGTGCATATTTATGAATCTAGGTGCATAAATATATATGCACCTGTATTGGGTGCATGTATATTTAGGATAGTTAGCTCTTTTTGTTGATTTGATCCCTTTACCATTATGTAATGGCCTTCTTTGTCTCTTTTCATCTTTGTTGGTTTAAAGTCTGTTTTATCAGAGACTAGGATTGCAACCACTGCTTTTTTTTTGCTTTCCATTTGCTTGGTAGGTCTTCCTCCATCCCTTTATTTTGAGCCTATGTTTGTCTCTGCACGTGAGATGGATCTCTTAAATACAGCACACTGATGAGTCTTGACTCTTTATCCAATTTGCCAGTCTGTGTCTTTTAATTGAGGCATTTAGCCCATTTACATTTAAGGATAATATTGTTATGTGTGAATTTGATCCTGTCATTATGATGTTAGCTGGGTATTTTGCCCGTTAGTTGATGCAATTTCTTCCTAGCCTTGATGGTCTTTATAATTTGGCCTGTTTTTGCAGTGGCTGGTACCGGTTGTTCCTTTCCATGTTTAGTGGTTCCTTCAGGAGCTCTTGTAAAGCAGGCCTGGTGGTGACAAAATCTCTCAGCATTTGCTTGTCTGTAAAGGATTTTATTTCTCCCTCACTTCTGAAGCTTAGTTTGGCTGGATATGAAATTCTGAGTTGAAAATTCTTTGCTTTAAGAATGTTGAATATTAGCCCCCACTCTCTTCTGGCTTGTAGAATTTCTGCCGAGAGTTCTGCTGTTAGTCTGATGGGCTTCCCTTTGTGGGTAACCCAACCTTTCTCTCTCACTGCCCTTAACATTTTTTCTTTCATTTCCATCTTGGTGAATCTGACAATTATGTGTCTTGGGGTTGCTCTTCTCGAGGAGTATCTTTGTGGTGTTCTCTGTATTTCCTGAATTTGAATGTTGTCCTGCCTTGCTAGATTGGGGAAGTTCACCTGCATTATATCCTGAAGGGTGTTTTCCAACTTGGTTCCATTCTCCCCATCACTTTCAGGTACATCAGTCAAACGTAGATTTGGTCTTTTCACACAGTCCCATTTTTCTTGGAGGCTTTGTTCATTTCTTTTTACTCTTTTTTCTCTAATCTTGTCTTCTCACCTTATTTTATTAATTTGATCTTCAATCACTGATACCCTTTCTTCCACTTGATTGAATTGGCTATTGAAGCTTGTGCATGTGTCATGTAGTTCTTGTGCCATAGTTTTCAGCTCCTTCAGGTCATTTAAGTTCTTATCTACACTGTTTATTCTCGTTAGCCATTCATCTAGTCTTTTTTCAAGATGTTTAGCTTCCTTGTAATGGGTTAGAACATGCTCCTTTAGCTCAAAGAAGTTTGTTATTACTGACTTTCTGAAGCCTACTTCTGTCAGCTCATCAAAGTCATTCTCTGTCCAGCTTTGCTCCATTGCTGGTGAGGAGCTGCAATCCTTTGGAGGAGAAGAGGTGCTCTGGTTTTTAGAATTTTCAGGTTTTCTGCTCTGGTTTTTCCACCTTTGGTCTTGGATGTTGGTGGCCTACAGATGGGGTTTTGGTGGGGATGTCCTTTTTGTTGATGTTGATGCTATTCCTTTCTGTTTGTTAGTTTTCTTTCTAACAGTCAGTTCCCTCAGCTTCAGGTCTGTTGGAGTTTGCTGGAGGTCCACTCCAGACCCTGTTTTCCTGCGTATCACCAGTGGAGGCTGCAGAACAGCAGATATTGGCACCTGATCCTTCCTGTGGAAGCTTCATCCCAGAGGGGCACCCACCTGTGTGTATGAGATGTCAGTCAGCCCCTCCTGGGAGGTGTCTCCCAGTTAGGTTACATGGGGGTCAGGGACCCACTTGAGGAGGCAGTCTGTCCATTCTCAGAGCTTAAACACCATGCTGGAAGAACCACTGCTCTCTTCAGAGCTGTCAGACAAGGATGTTTAAGTTTGTAGAAGTTTCTGCTGCCTTTTGTTTAGTTATGCCCTGCCCCCAGAGGTGGAATGTACAGAGGCAACAGGCCTTGCTGAGCTCCGGTGGGCTCCACCCAGTTCGAGCTTCCCTGTATGCTTTGTTTACCTCCTCACACCTTAGCAATGGTGGATACCCCTCCCCCATCCAGGCTGCTGCCTCACAGTTTGATCTCAGACTGCTGCACTAGCAGTGAGCATGGCTCTGTGGGCATGGGACCTGCCGAGCCAGGCATGGGATATAATCTCCTGGCATGCCATTTGCTAAGACCATTGGAAAAGCGCAGTATTTGGGCAGGAGTGTTCCAGTTTTCCAGGTACACTCTGTCACGGCTTCCCTTGGCTAGGAAAGGGAAATCTCCCAACCCCTTGCACTTCCCGGGTGAGGCAATACCCCACCCTGTTTTGGCTCACCCTCCATGGGCTGCACCCACTGTCCAACCAGTCCCAGTGAGATGAACTAGGTACCTCAGTTGGAATTGCAGAAATCACTCATCTTTTGTGTTGATCATGCTAGGAGCTGCAGACTGGAGTTGCTTCTATTCATCCATCTTGGAATGGAAGAAAGTTCCTATATACCTTACATCTTGTGTAAGTATGATACCTTTGTTACAATGATTAATCAATACTGATATATTATTATGAACCAAAGTCTGTAGTTTACATTAGGGTTTATTTTTTCTGTTGTACAGTTCTATGGGTTTTGAATAAGGCATAATGTCATGTAGCATTTCAGTATCATACAGAATAGTTTATCTGCCCTAAAAACCACATGTGCTGCACCTATTCATACTTCCTCCTCCCTAAACTCCTGGCAACTACTATCTTTGTACTGTCTTCATAGTTTCATTTTTCCAGAATGTCATATAGTTGGAATTATATAGGATGTGGCCTTTTCAGACTGGCTTTTTTCACTTAGCTACATACATTTCAGATCTTCCATGTCTTTCTGAGGCCTGATTTCTTTGTATTGCCAAATAATTTTTTTTTTTTGCTTGTTTTTTGAGACAAAGTCTCACTGTGTCACCTAGGCTGGAGTGCAGAGGCTCCATCACAGTTCACTGCAACCTCTGCCTCATGGGTTCAAGCAATTCTCCCACCTCAGCCTCCCAAGTAGCTGGAACTGCAGGTGCATGCCACCATGCCCGGCTAGTTTTTGTATTTTTAGTAGAGATGGGGTTTCACCATGTTGGCCAGGCTGGTCTCGAATTCCTGACCTCAAACGATCTGCCCACCTTGGTCTCCCATAGTGCTGTAATTACAGTCATGAGCCATCACGCCCAGCCATATTTCATTGTATGAACATACCACAGTTCATTTATCCATTCACTTATTGAAGAACATCTTGGTTGCTTAGAAGATTTGGCAACTATGAATAAAGCTGCTATAAATATCTGTGCAGAAATTTTTGTGTGGCTATACATTTTCAATTCATTTGGGTTAATACAGAAGAGCATGATTGCTGTATCACATAGTGAAAATATGTTTAGCTTTGCAAGAAACCACCAATCTGTCTTCCAAAGTAGCTGTGCCATTTTGCATTCCCACCATCAGTGAATGACAGTTCCTGTTGAGCCACCTCCTTGTCAGCATTTGGTGTTGTCAGTTTCGGATTTTAGCCATTCTAATAGGTAGGTAACGGTATATCATTATTTTTTAAATTTGAAATTGCTACTGACATGATGTGGAGCATCTTTCCTTATGCTTATTTGCTGTGTGTATATTTTATTTGGTGAGGTGTCTGCTCAGATTTTTGCCCATTCTTTAATTGGGTTGTTTTCTATTGTTGAGTTTTAACAGTTCTTTGTGTATTTTGAATGTAAGTCCTTTATCAGGTATGTTCCCTGCAAATATGTTCTCCCAGTCTGTAGCTTGTATTGTCATTCTCTTGACAATTATCTTGCAGAGCAGAAATTTTTTATTTTAATGACTCAGAACTTATCAATTGCTTCTTTCAAGGATTGTGCTTTTGGTGTTGTATCTAATAAGCCATCACCAAACTTAAGGTCATCTAGATTTTCTCCTACGTTATCTTCTAGAAGTTTATACTCACTTTTCATTTAGGTCTACAATAAACTTGGAGTTAATTTTCGTGAATGCTGTAAGGGAGCTTCTAAGGGGGACACACACTAACGTCTTTGAGAGTGGGCAGGTGATTGTGAAACTCTTAGCTGGGTCTTACAACAGACCCCAGATCCATCAGGAGAGCCCCACCTTCAGAAACCCATAGTGGAATGTGTTTCATGCATACACGGAGGAGAATATGCAGTCATATGCTCACATGCATGCCTGCACATGATCACAAACATGCGTATGGTATGTCCTGATCCAGAGTTCTCCCGGCATTAAAGTGGTTCTCTCCTTCAACTTCTTCATTAAGAGATACAATGACAGAATGTCATTAAAATTAAAAACTTCTGCTCTGCAAAGGAATTGTCAATGGACTGACTCTGTATGTCCATTCATGTCTCGTTGTGTCCTAGACTGACTCTGATTGGGCCACAGTGGCCTTACCTGGTAGCGAGCTCAGATTACACCCTGGTGTTCAAAGCGTGCCGAGTAGGAAAGTGTGCAGAGAAGGCAGGACAGCCGCCCGCCAGGTCTCTGGAAAACCCCCCAGGACAGGGATGTTCAGGCCATGTGATGCTATACTAAGCTATTTTACGTGAGGAAGGGGTGCTTTTTAAGAATCTATCTAGAGGGCTATGGGCACAGATCTGTGTTCAAAGATTTTCTGGGCACTTACGTTTTGTGAGAAATCAGATAGAGACAACTTTCTGAGCCGCAGCTTTGTCACGTGTAAAATGGGCATGAACGCTTTTCCCCTTCGTAGAGGTTTGTGGCAATTAAGTGAGGTGAGCGTGCAACGCTTTTTGAACAAAGCTGACACGGAGGTACTTGTTCAGGAAATAAGAGCTGCTATTATTACTACTCTTTGTAGCATACTGTAAGGTTTCCCTTCCTCTCATCACAGCTCTGAAGGACATCATCAAGGTGAACTGAGCCCCTTCTGTTTCTTCTGTTCCCTCTAACCACCTCTCCCCTTCCTTCCCCCACTGCCCCCATTCTTAGCCCCGCCCCTCCCACAAGCCCCGCCCCTGCCCCGGCCGTTTCCCTGGCCCCGCCCACCAGCCCTGCACCAGCACAGCCCTCGCTCAGCGGGGCAGGAAGCTCATGGTGTAGTTTCGTGGGATCGTGGCAAAGCCCACGTGTTTGGGGGACACGTCGATATCCTTAGGCGACTGAGGGGACTTGAAGCGAAAGTTCTGCATGATGGTGGTGAAGAAGAGAAAGAGCTCCATTCTGGCCAGGCCTTCTCCAAAACAGTACCGCTTTCCTGAGGAGGAGAGGCAGGAGGGGTGAAGGTGAAGCCCACTCTCAGTGCAGCCTCAACCCCTACTGACCCCCGGCTGCACTCTCTAGGGAGGAGGGGTGGAATATTATGGCCTGAGAGACTTTCAGAGGAGACTCCGATCCTCCCTGAGCTTCAGTTTCCTTCTATAAGAGATATAACAATGGTGAACCAATATTGATATATTATTACTAACCAAAGTCCATAGTTTACATTAGGGTTTACTCTGTGTTATACAGTTCTATGGGTTTTGAAAAAGGCATAATGTCATGCCTCCATCATAGATGGGGTGATCCATGCCAGGTGTAGCAATGGGAGGTTTAGATGCCCCTACCCCCCAGATACACTTGCAAATATGACTGCTGTGCTGTGCCATTATCTCCTTTTCAGGGAGCTGAAGAATCTGCTGTGTGACCCTAGACAAATAAATCTATGGGGGAAGATGTTTCCTTCCCTTTTACCTGGGCGCAGGTATTGGGTGCTTGGCAGTTAAGGGAGTATCAGCTGGTGGCGGCTCAATGGTAGATTCTAACAGGAACTTCCAAGCTGGAGAAATACCAGGCTACACCGCAGAGAGGGGAGGTGGGTGAGAGAGGCCCCTGCTGGTGTGAGCCGTGGCCTGGCAGCAAACAGTGGTCTCTTACCGATGGAAAAGGGCACAAAAGCATCACTCTTCTTAAACTGCCCCTTCTTATCCAGGAAGTGCTGGGGATTGAAGTCCCGGGGGTTGGAGAAGAACCTGGGGTCTCTCAGCACGGAGCCCAGCATAGGGAACACTTCAGTGCCCTGGGAGGGAGGAGGAAGGTGTGTGTAATGAGGCAGGTTGGGGGGATTGGTGAAAGTACACAGGGGCTGCAGGGGGAACTAGGGTGCCCCAGGTGAGGGGAGTGGCAGGCATGGAGGAGTTGGGGACCTCTGAGGGAGGAGCTTTGGGGGATAGAAGTTTCATGTCTCTGAAACAGGAAGTTTGGGAGACATGGGGTCCATGTTCCACTAGGCAGGGTGTTTGAGGGACCTGAGATTTGTGTCCCTAAGGCAAAAGGCCTAATGGAAAGGGGGCTTCTGTTTCTTAAGACAGGAAGTTTGGGAACATGGGGTGTATTCTCCTGACACAAAGAGTCTGGCGAGATGCAGGACTCAGGACTGTCTAAGTGGAAAGGTGGAACAGATGTGGTGGTTGGGGAAGTCTTTTTTGACTGATTGAGGGAGTGGGACAGAGTCTAGAACACTAATGGGGGCAGGATTCTGGGGACACAGAGAGAGGCTGGAAGTCCCCGTAGTCTGAGTGGTGGTGGTGGAGGGGAGACAGCACCTTAGGGAGGAAGAAATCCCGAAACTTGGTGTCCTTGTTGACCCTGTGGGCCAAACCCATGGGGAGCATGTCTCCAAATCTTTGGATCTCGTGGATCACTGCCTCTGTGTAGGGCATCTTGGCCCGGTCCTCAAACTTGGGCTGCCGGTTCTTGCCGATCACTCTGTCAATCTCCTCATGGACCTTGGCTGGGGGAGGAGGGGAATGTGTTTAGGTGTCTAGGGGTCTTAGAGCAGGGATGATAGTCCGAATAGGTAAAACACGGTGGTTGACATAGCTCCACCTATGACACGGAGGTAGACCATTCATAACAGAACAGACATCAGCCATTCGCATTGTTGCAGCAGGATCCTGTTAAACCAGGTTGTGTCAGAATCACAGGGTAGGCACAGGGAGGAACTTAGGGGATGATCCAGAGGAGCAGGCAGCGGACACTCAGTGGGCTTGGGACAGGAGTGACTGACCAATCAGTGCAGACATTTTCAATATTTTAATAGCTAATGAGACTCAGCTGATGCCTATCAGCTGAATATTGTCCTGTCTCTGGACAGCAAGGCACGTCTCAGGGTCCTGGGATCTGGGATAGGTGGGTACACTGCACCAGGCTCAGGGGAGTTTTGAGGGTCTGGGGCCCTTCACTTTCCTCCCTTTCCAGTCTTACCCTCCACCTCTGGGTGCTTCATGAGCAGCAGGAAACCGTAGCGCAGGGTGGTGCTCACGGTCTCAGTGCCCGCAAAGAAGAGGTTCAGGGTGGTCATCACCAGGTTCTTCAAGTAGAACTCTGTGTTGGGGTTCTTCTCCTCCTGCAGGGAGAGGGCGGTTTAGACCAAGCTCACTCTCCATGCTCTTGGGGCCCTTCTAGGGCTTTTCCTTTGGAGCTACCTCTCTTTGGTCCAGACCAAAGGTGGAAAGAGGGACCCTAGATTTGCCAAACTCGCTCCAGGTTCCAGCCCTTGCCCTGGCTGCTGGCTTTGCCCAAAATGCTCTTCCTTCTCACCTTCTTTACCTCACTGATCATCTATCCTTTAATTGTCAACTTAGCTGTCAGTTGGTTTTTTTTTTTTCTTATACAGACTTGGTCTTGCTAAGTTGCACAGGCTGGACTCCAACTCCTGGGTTCAAGGAATCCTCCGGCCTCAGCCTCCTGAGTAGCTGGAACTGCACATGCACATGACTATGCAGGCTCACTTGTTAACTGTTAAAAAATTAATTCTTTTTTTTTTTTTGAGACACGGTCTTATTCTGTCACCCAGGCTGGAGGGCAGTGCTGTGATATCGGCTCATTGCAACCTCTGCCCACCCTGGGCTCAAGCTATCCTCCCACCTCAACCTCCTTAGTAGCTGGGACCGCAGGCATGCACCACCATGCCTAGCCATTTTTTTGTACAGACGGGGTTTTGCCATGTTTCCCAGTCTGTTACTTTTTTAATGATAGGAATATTTGGAAAGAGAAGGATGAGGGGAGACGAAGAGAAAGTAGTACAGAGATGGCAAGATGAAGAGTCAGAAAAAAAGAGTTTTTCTGAGATACAAGCACAGAATTTTAAGCAACAGCATCCTATTTCTTCCCTAAAAATCTTGAAACTTACTGTGGAGGAATCCCTCCCTTGATCCTTTCTCCCTGAGCTTTGGATTCCCTAAAGCCTTCCCACATGGGAGGCTGACATCCAGAGGTAGGCGGGGACCCTGCAATGTAAAGCCAGGTCACCTGTCCACAGAGGTGTGTCTGCTAACCAGGACATGAACGGTTAGAGAGCATGGTGGCTAAAAGCACCAGCTTTAGGCTCAGAGAGACCAGGGTTTGAGCTTGGGGGACCATGGCTTCCTCACTGTGTGACCTCAGTTAAGACACTTAAACTCTCTGGGCCTCAGTTTCCTCATTTGTACAATTGGGGCCATGATTGAACCTCCTTCAAGAGCTGTTATAAGTGTTCCATGGCGGACTATCTTAAAGCACTTAACGCAGTGCCTGGCACACGGTAGTGCTGTAGAAGTGCTTGCTATTCTAATGCACGTGCATAAGTCGTGCTTGTGGGTGAGGGCTCAGTAGATGGAACAGCAGTGGTTGATGTAGTTGGGATTGTCAGGATTTTTTTTTTTTTTTTTTTTTTTTTTTTTTTACAGGGTCTTGCTCTGTCACTCAGGCCGGAGTGCAGTGGCATGATCCCGGCTCACTGCAACCTCTGCCTCCCGGATTCAAACAATTCTTCTGTCTCAGCCTCCTGAGTAGCTGGGATTACAGGCGCATGCCACCATACCTAGCTCATTTTTGTATTTTTAGTAGAGACGGGGTTTCACCATGTTGGCCAGGCTGGTCTCGAACTCCTGACCTCAGGTGATCCACCTGCCTCGGCCTCCCAAAGTGCTGGGATTACAGGTCATGAGCCACCGCGCCTGGCCAATTGTAAGGATTATTATGACGAGGGCTAATTTGAATGGGCCTGTGTCGTCTGCCCACCCCACTCCCATCCTGATTTCCCTCTCCCTGGCTTTGCACCTGCCTGCACTGGCTGCTGGGATGTACCTCCTGCATGCGGATGAGAAAGGAGTCGATGAAGTCCCGTGGGGAATTGGGATCCAGCGTGCGCTGGTTGTGCTCCACCTTCTTGGCGATGAAGTCCTCCAGCCCTTGCAGCTCCTTAAAGGCCTGTTGCTGTGGTCCTGGCAGGTGTTTCATCACCGAAGAGAACATCTCATAGAGCTGGGGTTGCAGAGAGAGGATGGGAAGGGAAGGACAGCTGTCACGGGGCAGGAGCTGATGGGAATGGGGATTTGTTTCATAGCAAGGAAGGAACGGAGTTAAAGGCATCTGTCCAGGTGTTTAGGTATTTCAGTGGGGTTGGATGGAAACTTATATCTAAGTTTTCACGTGGATTAGGTGCCAGGGCCACGGTCTAGTAATTTAGGTGAGAAGAACTGAGGCATATATCCAGGTTTCAGGTATGCAAATGAGGCTGGATTGGAGCACACATCTAGGTGTTCAGATATTCAAGTGAAGTTGAGTTGGAAGACACCTGTCCAGGTGTTTAGCTCTTCAGGTGGGGCTGGTATGAGGTGAGTGGCACCTGTCTAGGTATTTAGGCATTCAAGTGGACTTGGTTGGAGACAGCTGTCCAGATACTTACTGGGTCTGGATTGGGGGCTTTTGTTCAGGTGTTCAGGTATTAAAGTGGGGCTGGTGAAGATGTTGAAGTGGAGGGGATACCTGTTGAGGTGTTTACCTATCCAAGTGGGATGCACTGGGAGCACCTCTGTAAGGTGTGTGATTGGAAAGGGTTGGGGAACACTTATTTGGGTGTCAGGGAATAATCTATCTAGATATTTATGTGTTTAGGGTATTGGTTAGGGCACCTGTCCATGTTTTCAGGCATTTAAGTGGGTGAAGTAGAGGGCCCTTGGCCAGATATTCCAGTGGGCTAATCTGTGACATTTGTGTAGATGTGAAATGATTATGATGGGCTGGATTTTGCAGCACCAGGTGTTCAGGTATGCAGGAGGCGGGTTGACGCAGTCACTTGTCCAGGTGTTAAAATATTCAGAAGAACTGGGTAGGGAGCACCTGTTACAAATTACGGTAAGTTGGGGATGGGAACATGTGCCCAGGTGAGAGAGCTGAGCTGAGGGTATGCATCCTGCCAGCAGGCTCTGTTTTGGGGATCATCTGTTGAGCTATCCAGGTGTCCTTGGAGACTGGGTATTGGGCATCCCTCCTGGGTTCTGGTGCAACCGTCCAGTTGTCCAATATCGGGGACTGATTTTGAGGGGACACTGTCTGGAGGGGGGTGGGAGTTTGGGGCACCTGTCTCCAGGTAGGGGAGCAGTTGGCAGGTTGTGGTAGGGGCGTCACTGGCGGGCTGCAGCCAGTTACCTGCCCCGTGGAGGTTGCCGTGAACTGGAAGCTTCCCAGCATCATGCGCAACAGTGACAGGAACTCTTTGTCCTCATAGTCAAAGCGGTCCCCAAAGACAATGGAGCTGATGACATTGGAGACTGTGCGGCTCAGGAAGAAGGTGGGATCGATATTGGCGCCTGCAGGTGTGGCGGGAGAAGGGGGTTGGGGAGAGAGTCAACTCAGAGGTCTGAGGAGAGTCAGAATTCCAGGAGGCAGGGCCCTGTTGAGCCGAATCCCAGCGCCAGACTCCAGGGCTGGAAGTGCGGGCCCCTTTCCCCACCTAGTCCCCATCCCCAGGCAGAAAGCGCGGGTTCCCGCCCTCGCACTCGGGGTCCCCTACTCACCGTGCGTGCCCCGGAGGGCGTCGATGAGGAAGCCCGCCTCCTCCTGGATGCGTTCCTCGATGCCGCGCTTGCCCACGCCAAAACCCCTTAGGGTGGCGATGGAGAAGCGCCGGAGCTGCTTGGCGCGCTCCCCGTTGCTGAACGCCACGCCTGGGGAGGTGAACGCGGGGGTGGAGAGAGGTCAGGGGGCGGCGGGAGCAGGAGCGGACCAGCTCCAAGGGGCTCCCCAAGGGTGGAGCAGAGAGGGAGTGGGGTGGGAGAGAGATGGATTCAGCGCGAGTGCCCAGGAGAGCTGCAAACTCAGTCAGAGAAACACGAGAGCACGAGAGAGAGAGAGAGAGAGAGAGAGAGAGAGAGAGAGAGAGAGAGAGAGAGAGAGAGAGAGAGAGAGACCGGGTAGAAAGAATAAGAGAATCAGAAGAGAAGCAGAAAGGCCAGACAGACAGATGCAGAGAAACAGAGGGATACGGGGATACTCCATGGAGGAAGGGAAGGAAGTGGGGAGAGAAAGAGAGAGATGGAGGGAGGGGAAGTGAGATATGGGGAGATCTGGGAGGAGGAAATAAAAATGGTGAAAGATTCTTAAGCTGAACTGGAGAAGAGAGAAAAATATGGAGACAGAAACAGAGAGGATCGGGAAGGAGGACAGACAATTACCAGGAGTTGGAGGCTGGAGATGTGGAAGTAGGAATACCCTGAAATCCTAAGACAGAGGAAGAAGTGGGAGAGGGAAGCAGAGAGAGGAGAAACACGGAGAAGCACAGAAGCCGAGAGCGACAAAAAGACAAATGAAGACAGAGGACCAGGGCTGGAAAACAGAAACCCAGGATGTCCTCAGAGATGGAGAGAGAGGGGAAAGAGGAGACTCCAGTGAGAGAGAAGGAGGAGACGGGGCAGAGAGAGGCAGGGAGGAATCACGACAGGGACGCTGGAGACAGGTGAGGGACGCACAGGGAGAGGCCACGATGAAGGGAGATGGGGAGAGAAGACCAGACAGGGGGCTCTGCCATAGCCTCCAGTGGGCAGGAGAGTCAGGGAGAAGGCTGGGGACACGGAGACCATTGCATCCACCTGGCCACCTTCCCCCTCTTGGGCACCCCCTCACCATAGCCTTTGAAGAGCCAGTCGAAGGTGGCCTGCTCGCCTCGCCCGCTGAACTCCTCAGCCTGGTCCACCAGAGCCTCCTTGACGGCATCATGTCCGCACAGCACCACGACCCGCCGGGGCCCCAAGTGAATGGTGAACACAGGGCCATAGCGCTCACTGATCTGTTGGAGGCAGGTGGGAGTGGTTAGAGGGAGCAGCCCCCACTCTGAATGGGCCCAGCACTGAGATATCATGTACTGGGATGCTTCGCCCCCAGGTTCTCACAGTCAGGGAGCTGGACATCCCAAGATCCTGTCTTTCCTGCTAGGACCCTGATGCTGAAACTCCAAGACTCCCTTTCCTAAGACTCTGGTCCACACTGGTCAATCCCCTGCCACAAAGCCCCAGCCAACTGGGCAGCCCCCACCCCGTGCCACCCATCTCCCTGCCTTAGGACACCTTCATGAGGGAGTTGTACATCTGCTCTGTGTTCAGCTGCAGGTAGTTTCCAATGAAGGGCAATGGGGTGGGTCCCGGAGGCAGCTTCCCCCTGCTCTTCCTCTGCCGCCAGACTGACATCAAGACCATCACAGTCAGGCAGGCCAGCAAGGTCACCAGAAGCAGCCCTGAGGCCAGCATGGTGGCAGTGGGATGATAGATGGTGATGGCTGGGGTGGTTTGCCTTTATACTGCCTGAAAAAGAGGGATGGACTTTGGTTGATTATATAATCACCTCATTTCACCTCCCAACTACACCCCAACCCTGAATCCCACACAGCTTAGGACACAGCCAGCAAGGGAGGAGGAGAGGGACCCCAGGGAAGCTGAACAGGGAGGGGAACTCCAGACTAAATCTGGTACTTCAGGAGGGTTGCTGCAGGGCTGTGGATTTAGGAGCGGGCAACAGATAAACTGTGGAACTGAGGAGTTTGGAATATTTGCACAGGGGAGCACCTGGACTTTGGATTTGGGATCTGGGAGTGAGAATGCACCCCAAAGTTGTGGATTTGGGCATTCCACGGGAGAGGAATCCAAAGGTCTGGGTTTTACTAGGGTGAGATGGAAGTGTGGCTGTGCATCTGGGGGTCTTCTGTTGTGGAGGATGCAGGGTTAAGGGTCTCAGGACGGGGGATTCCAGGCATATGGACTTGAAAGTCTTGGGGCTAGGAAGACCCAGGGCTGTGGGTGTGGAGTTTCTGGGAGGTGGAGTGTGTAGCAAGCCCAGCAGGTGCTCCCAGAAAGCCCAGCAGCCCAGCACTGGGCCCAGGGACTGACTTGATTTTGCTTTGACCCAGAGCTGTCTCTTGATGCCCAGAATCCTCATTGGAACCTCAGAGTGAGGCCAGGATGGGTGCCATAGAACCTCCGCTGCCCATCTCTGGCTGGGAAAGGGGCAGAAGACGAGAGCCATATTTCAGAGGAACTTTCCCCACACGTGGAGAAGAGTACCTCATGTTACCAGTTGGCAGAGGGGATTGGCTAGGTCTGGAGAAATAGTAATAACAACCCTCAAATGCTGGAAAAATCTCAAGTGTCCCAAGGGTTGTAATTTACGAAGAACTCCACTGGTTTCCAACCCAGATTCTTAGGGAAACCCACTAGATTGATTGTATCATCCCTATTAATACTATGATTGTTATTTATGTTTCTCATTTTATATAAAGATCTACAGAGGACAGAAAACAGACAGTGGGCAGGGGACATGTGTGAGTGGCCCTGAACTCCCATCTCTCTTGCTCTGCGTCTTTAGTTCCACTTTCTGGATTTGGTTTTCCTGCCAGTGGAAAGGGAGTGTTTGGGAAGAGAAGACCACGTTTGAGGGTGAGTTAAGTCTCCTTTAAGGGCGATTCCTGCTTTGTCAGGGGCTACTACTATTAGTAGGCAGAGGGAACAATCGCAGAAGAGATTGGGGTAAACTCCAGTATTAGGCACAGAGGCAGATCCTGGGGTGGGTGTGAGTGGAGAAGGGATGAGTAGCCCTCCTGTCCTTCCCTCAAGGAAATTCTTCCTTAGTAAACAGGACAGTTACCCTTTGGTGAGCATGGTCATATATGGGAAGATTAAGTCTAGGTGTGTATGATCTGGTTGAATCTTTGTAACAGTGAGGTTGGTTCATCATGATCATCCTCATTTTGAAGATGAGCAGATCTAGACTCCATAAATCCTCTTGAGTGAGGTCACACAGGGAGTAAGTGAGGGAGCTGGGATGTGAACTTTCTCCTCGCCCCCCTTCATTGACTGGCCTAGATCACCCTGGGAGTCAAGTGCAGGCCAGGCTTAGCAGGAGGTGAGTGCTGGGACTGGCATCAGCAGTGGACACACTGATGACATTGGCGGGTTCTGATATCAGCATCAGGTGTGTCCAGGGAGGGAAAGGCATCGTGTTGGCTTTGGGACTGCCCCCAGGTGTATGCGAGGATGGGAAACAAGTTGGCACTGAACTTGACACCAGGAGAATATTGAAGTCATGTTTGGTGCCAAGAGGGCTCTGTGTGTTGTCTCAGGTGTCATTGAGGGCATAAGAGAGTCCTGCTTCAGGAGGGCATAAGAGTGGCACCATATAGGGTCTGAGGTTGGTCCCAGTGGGCTCTGACATGAGCATGAGGCAGGTGTTGATATTGGTCCTATGTGGGTCTGAGATGAGCCTCAGCCAGACCCTGAGAGGGGCTCCAGATGGGCACAGGACAGGCTCTGATGTTTGGACCTTCCACTGTTGCACCTCTCCTCTGGGTCACCAACTGTGGACAAGTGGAGGTGGGTGAGGTTGGCCCCCCCAGGACTGACATCTTGCTCAAAGTGTTCTAGGATGCTGAGCTCTGAGACCTGTGTGGAGGGAACAAAGATCAGAGAACAAAGGGGACAGAGGAAAGTTGTTTGTTGATTTTGGAGGGGAAGAGGTGGGAAGGAGGATTAGCACCAGCTTGGCAGATATCAATCCCTCTAATCCTGGTCACCAGCCTGCACCTGGGCTGGCCCTAAGCCTGGGCTCCTCCTTTTCCTTCTAGTTCCTTAAAAAGGTGGGAGATAGAAATTCGGGAACTTTGTTTCTCAGTGAGGTTGGCACTAGGAAGTGCACTGAGTGATCAGCAGGTTGCCATGATCTGGCCAGGGAGGGGGTGGGGAGAGACAGGTTTGGAGAACTCTAGTGTTTGTGGACATAGAGGTCAATCAATTTTGGACTTGTTGATTACCCTGGAGCATGGAGTGAGAGAATGGTGTCTGAAATCATGTGGGAGGGACTTGTCCCAGTGGGCAGTGTCTTGGGTACAGCCTTTCAGAGTGAGTTAGTGGAAAACCCAGGAAGATCCCTTTCCTTTGCTTGGCCTCAGTTTCCTTTTCTGGATGGATGGTGCAATGATTAAGGCCTGGATTGGAATCCTAACCTTATCCCTTCTTTGTTGTGTGGCCTTGAATAGCTGACTTTATCTCTGAGCCTTATGGAGCCAAGAACAGCTCTTACCTCTTCAGCTATTTAGGGGAGAAGTATATGTGTTAATGCAGGTGAGGTACATGGCAGTAAGTGCTCAATGAATAGCAGTTGTTCTCTTTCCTCTGTACGATGAAGCGGATGGATAAGATGTTCCCTAAACACATTCCTTGCTTTTACATTCTCTAGTCTAAAGCTCACAGATCTTTTCCTTTGGGAAGGAGGAAAAGGACAGAGTCTTTGGGAACCTCTTTCCCCACCCCTTCCTCAGCACAGCCAAGCTTTACTCCATGGAGCTGTGAATAGGAAATTAATCCTTCATGGCCTCCTGGAGTGTGGTGCTGAGTTAGGCAGTATCTGTGGAAGGACAGGCCAGCATTAGACTCTCAGGTTATTCTGGTTGGCCCTGGAGCCCTGCACAGGACTTTGCCCACCTGTCTGTCTACCGTTGTCTTGGATCCTGTCTTTCTATCTTCTCTTTCTCCTTCCCTGCAAGTCAATGTTTCCCTCAATCACCCTGTGTGCTCCTGCATCTTTGTATTTTGTGCCATTTTGTCCAGTGAGTTCTCCTGGATGCCTCTGCCATGTTTATCCTCATTTATTCAACTGTCTGTGTGTCATTCTGGTAGTGTCTATGTGCATGTATGTTTCTGTATGTCCATGTTGATACATGAATTTATGTGTGCACCAGGCTTTGTGGGGTGTATGTTTGTGCTTGATAATGGGTATCCATTCCAACTTATGTCTGCACATGCACATGTGTGTGTGTGCCTGACAGGGTGTGCCACTGTTTCTCAATGCTTGCCAATCTATGTGTCTGTCTCTGCATACAGCATGTGTGCACACATGATTTAGGGGTGTCTATGATGTGCATTTCTGTGTAAAACAAGATGAATGCCGCATATTCATGTTTGTATGTATGCATTCACAATTGGGTGACTACATATAAGTATGTGGATGTTCTCATGTGTGCATTCTGGTGTCTGTATGCAGGCTTGTGGGCCATGTTGCATACATGTCAACATCTGATATTTTCCTGTGCTCATCTGTGTTTGGATTAAAACAGTCCTAGCCCAGCTCCATTTATCCGCTTGAAGAAAACCCCAGAACTGTGGGAAGCTTTTTATGAGCATAATCTTAGTTAAACTCCTCATTGCAAGACTGTGAGGTTGGCTTTATCATCTCCATTTTGCAAATGAGTTAGGTAAGGCCCCCAAAGTTGGTTGTAAGTGACTTGCTTCCGCATTCCACAGCTAATGAGGGTAGAGTCTTAGTATGGTCTTGTGTGACTGTAAATTTCTTTCTTTCTTTCTTTCTTTCTTTCTTTCTTTCTTTCTTTCTTTCTTTCTTTTCTTTCTTTCTTTTCTTTTTGAGATGGAGCTTTGCTCTTTCGCTCTCGTTGCCCAGGCTGGAGTGCAATGGTGCGGTCTCGGCTCACTGCAATCTCTGTGTCCTGGGTTCAAGTGATTCTCCAGCCTCAGCCTCCCAAGTAGCTGGGATTCCAGCCACCACGCCCAGCTAATTTTTGTATTTTTAGTAGAGATGGGGTTTCACCATGTTTGTCAGGCTGGTCTCAAACTCCTGACCTCAGGTGATCCACCCACTTCGGCCTCCCAAAGTGCTGGGATTACAGGTGTGAGCTACCATGCCTGGCTGTGAAAGTAAATTTCATGCTGTTAATCACCACTTTGGACTGCCAGGCCCCACCTGTTTTTCTTTATGAAATATTAGAAAAACTGCCTGTAATCTCTTCTTCAAATACTTCCTTGTAAACATGTAACAAAAGTTTTCAAAATGTTAGAAAAAAAGTCTTTTAATAGGAGGGAGACTTGACCTTCTATAGTGTTTGCACTCTTCGGAACCTTAACCAACGACCTAGTTGGCCAGTATACCCCTCAGGCCATTGTCAATGAAGCAGTGGGGGAGTTGGGGTATTAGTGGTTGTGGTCAGAGAGTGAAATGTCTGTGTTTCACATTTCAGAGTGATGACAAGGATTAGGGTGGGGCTATGGGAATGTTGGCTGAAATAGAGTAAAGGAGGTCAAAGAAGAGAAGAAAGTCAAGATTCTTTTTTTCTGAGTGTTTGGACAGCTCACATCCATGGCCATGAAGTTCCTGCCTACCAGGAAAATGGCAAGACTTAGAGCCCAGAGATGGGAAAGAAGTTGGATAGATGACAGGGATGAACAGCTTTTTTTGTTTGAGACGGAGTCTTGCTCTGTCGCCCAGGCTGGAGTGCAATGGCGCGATCTCGGTCCACTGCAACCTCTGCTTCCTGGCTTCAAGCAATTCTCCTGCCTCAGCCTCCTGAGCAGCTGGGATTACAGGCATCCACCATCATGCCCGACTAATTTTTGTACTTTTGAAGAGACGGTGTTTCACCATGTTGGCCAGGCTGCTCTTGAACTCCTGACATCAGGTGATCTGCCCGCCTCAGCCACCCAAAGTGTTGGGATTACAGGTTTGAGCCACCATTTCTGAACAACTTTAAAAAATTTTTATTTTTATTTTTATTTTTTAAGAGGACGAAGATGTCAGCTGCCAAGTGCACTGATGAAGAGTTTCTTCTGGTAATGGTTGAGTAGCTTCTTTTGGAGCAAGCATCCCGTGAATAAAAACTATTAACTCTGAAGAAAACATTTTTAACAACCCAATTCCCTGAAATCACTGGGGGGTGAAAAAAAGCAGCAGATTCTGAAGGGAGTTAGGAGAAAGGGGTTTCCTTTAGAAAAAAAAAAAGAAAAGAAAAGAAAAAAGAAAAAAAATAGCTTTTGGTCTTCCTTACCACAGGAAGAATGGGAGATGGGGTCACTGCAAATTTATTCTAGAATATTTTTCATCTTATTAAAATCCTTTAAAATGCAGACCACTTCTTGACAGGGAGGGCTAGGTAAACAACAATTCGTAAGGGAACTAATTTTTTTTTTTTTTTTAACATGCTGTGTCTCTTTAAATGTAGAAAGGTGATCAAGATGGCTGACCAGATGCAGGTAGCATGGCCTTCTTCGTGGAGAGGAACTCCATTTTAAACAGATTATCTAGGAGAGAATGCTGGAATTCATCAGAGAAGAGAAGGGATTCAACAGAGAAAAGAAGGGAAGCACAGGAAGTGAGTAAGGAGAGGGGATTGACTGAAAGCTGAGAGTGGCTCCTGGATGAGGGGAAATTATAAGAGAGAAACTCCCAGGGCTCCACACTTTGAAATGGGCTTTTATGATCTTGGCTATGGTAGAAACCCTCAACCCACTTGGGTCTTGGGCCTGACATACGGAGCTCCCTAAAGATTGTGCAGAGACATTGCCCTGGAAAATGGAACCCACATGGAATCCCATTTGAGCCTAGAGCAGCCTCAGCTGAGTGCTGTTTTGAGAACCTGGATACTGGAGATCTATAGAAATGGTTGCTGCTGCTGTGCTGCTTCAAGTAAGTATAGAGGAGACCCAGCACTCCCAGGCACCCATGGGAGGGTCCTTTCTGCCTTGCTGCGGGCTGCTGTTGAGACTGAGATGTGAGTGAACCACATTCCCCACAGCTTCTTACCCTGGTTGCAGGCCCAAGGAACCATTTTGAGAGTTTAATACTGTGCCATGCCCTGCCCTCAGGCCCAGTTTGAGTTGACCTGGCTGCAGCCACCACCTGGCCAAGGAGGGACAGGGAAACAAAGCTCCTTTACATATACCTGGGACAATTTCCCCGACCCTGCTATGGGCTGCTGTGACAGGGAGACTTGAGCAGACCCCACTCCCCACAACTTCTTGTCCATACTGCTTACCAGAGAGGGGCCTGTCCTCTTTGGTCACAAGCCCACAGCTGGCACAATCATAAGAGTTTAATGTTGGGCTCTGTCCCCCTTTTTGCCAAGTCTGAGGTGATGCCACTGTAGCCGCCACCCAGATGGGGGAGGCACAGGGGAGAACAAGCTCTCCTAAGCACACTTAGGTCAATACCACTACCCTGCTACAGGATGCTGTGGGACTGGGGAGTAGCCCACCCAACCCATTGCATCTACCAGCAACACCAACATGGACTGCCTGGGTCCTAGTGGATTGCTCCACCACCACTACTGCCATCACCCATATCACACCAGGTTGTGCTTCCCAGGGGCCTGAGAACTTGCCCACATCCCTGTCCCCCAACTCCCATGACTCCTCTAAGCAAGCCACTAGGAAGCTCAAGAATCAGCCTCCCAGGACTCACTAATACCAAAGCCAGTAGACTGCTCTGGGGCTCAGCCATACTCTCCAAGCTGCTGCCACCACCAGGGCCCAAAGATGGGCTCAGTTGGCATCCACCACCCAGCTAAATTTCTCCTCGATCTCAAGTAATAACTGTACTCTAAGCTACCAAGGAAATCAAAGATACCAGTGACCCTGGGTACTGCCTATGAAGTCATACTAAGATCACACTACCATAGGCACCCAGAATCAAAGCCAAAGTATCCTACTCAACTAACAACATGCATACATTTTTCAGGAAAAAAATTTTCTCCTACAGGGCAATTAAAAAAACTTGAACAAGCTACTGCTACACAAGATTTGCAGATATCAATGAAAGGACACAGGAAACATGAAAAAGGAGAAAAATGTGACATCATCAAAGGACCACAATTGTCCAGCAACAGATCCCAATCAAAAAGAATCCCTCAATATGCCAGATAAAGAATTCAAAATACTGATTTTATAAAGCCCTACAAGATGCAAGAGAAATTTGAAAATCAATACAAAGAATTAGAAAATCAGTCCAGGAAATGAATGAGAAATTTACCTAGATAAATAACTTAAAAAAAAAAACAAGCAGAAACTCTTGAACTAAAAAAATTCAATGAAGGGAATACAGAATATATTCAAAAGCTTCAATAGTAGACTGGACCAAGCAGAAGAAAGAACCTCAGAACATGGCTGGGTGCAGTGGCTCATGCCTGTAATCCCAGCACTTTGGAAGACCAAGGTAGGTGGATTCCTTGAGGTCAGAGTTCAAGGCCAGTTTGGGCAACATAGTGAAACCCTATCTCTAAAATTAGAAGAAAAAAAAAGAATCTAAGAACTTGAAGACAGGTCTTTTGAAATGTCCTGTCTGACAAAATAAAGAAAAATAAATAAAAAAGAATCATCAAAGACTTTGAGATATCTGGGACTACATAGTGTGACCAAACTTATGCATTTTTGGTATTTCCAAGGGGGAAGAGAGATTTTAAAAAATTAGAACACCTATTTTTAGGAAGTAATTGATGAAAACTTCCACATCTAGCAAGAGAGTTAGACATCCAGCTACAGAGCCCCAGCAAATACATTGCAAAAAGAACTTCACATAATAGTACATTTAGAAAGTCTAAAGTCAAGAAGAAAGAAAGAATTTTAAAATTAGCAAGAGAAAAGCATCTAGTTACCTATTAAGAAAACTCATCAGACTAACAGCAGACTTTTCAGTGGAAACCTTACAGGCTAGAAAAGAAGAGAATGGCATTTCCAACTGCTGAAAGAAAAGTACTGTCAGCCAAAAATTTTATGTTCTGGCAGAATAAGCTTCATAAATGAAGGAGAAATAAAATCTTTTCTAGAGAAGCAAATGGTGAGTAAACTTGTCAACACTAGCCTGTTCCTATGGGAGATGCTCAAATGGGTCTTAAATATGGAAATGAAAGGTCAACACTCAGCGTCATGAAAACACACAGAAAAATAAAACTCACATTTCTTATAAAAACAACCTCATACATGAGGAAGAGAAAAGAATCAAATGGCAACATGGGAGAATCTCATCAAACCACAATGACAAAAAGAGAAAAAGAAAGAAACAAATAATTTATCACATAAAACAACTTAAAAACAATTAACAATATGACAAGAATAAAGCCTTGCATATCAATATTAACCTTGAATAAATGGATTAAATGCTTCACTTACAAGATATGTATTGGCGGAATACTTTAAACAACATGATGCCCAGCACTTTGGGAGGCCAAGGTGAGTGGATCACCTGAGGTTGGGAGCTTGAGACCAGCCTGACCAACATGGAGAAACCCTGTCTCTACTAAAAATACAAAAATTAGCTGGGTGTGATGGCATATGCCTGTAATCCCAGCTACCTGGGAGGCTGAGGCAGGAGAATTGCTTGAACCCAGGAGGCAGAGGTTGCAGTGAGTCGAGATCATGCCATTGCACTACTCCAGCCTGGGCAACAAGAGCAAAACTCATCTCAAAACAAACAAACAAACACACACACACACACAAACCATGATGCAACTATATGCTGCCTATAAGAAACTCACTTTACCTGTAAAGACACATATAGACTGAAAGTACATAGATGGAAAAAGCTATTCCATGCAAACAAAAACCAAACAAGCAGGAATAGCTATATCTTATACCAGTTAAAACAGATTTTAAATAAAAAACATTAAAAATAAAAACAAAACAAAGAAGGTCATTATATAATGATAAAGGGATCAATTTAGCAAGAGAATATAACAGTGCTGAATATATACGCACCGAACATCACAACCCCTAAATTTACAAACAAATACAACTAGACCTAAAGAATGAGATATACAGAATACAATAACAGTGGGGAGCTTCAATATCCCACTCATACACTAAACAGATCATTGAGAGACAAAATTAGCAAAGAAACATTAGCCTTTCATATGCTTTGGATGTGTGTCCCCTCCATATCTTATGTGGACATGTGATCCCCTATGTTGGAGGTAGGGCCTAGAGGGAGGTATCAGATCATAGGGGCAGATCCCTCATGAATGGCTTAGTGCCATCCCCTTGGTGATGAGTGGGTTCTCACTCAGTTTAAATGAGATCTGGTTGTTTAAAAGAGCCTGGGACCACCCCCTTCCATCTCTTGCCAGTGTGATACACTGGCTCCTCCATTGCCTTCCACCATGATTGTAAGCTTCCTGAGACCCTTATCAGTAGCAGATGCCAGTGCCATGCTTCATGTTCTGCCTGCAGAACTGTGAGCTGATTAAACCACTTTTCTTTATAAATTACCGAGGCTTGGGTGTTCCTTTATAGTGATGCAAAAATGGACAAATACAGACTTAAATTGGACTTTAACCCAATGGACTCAACAGACACTTATAAAACATTTTACCCAACAACTACAGAATATACACTCTTTTCATCAGCACATGATATATTCTCCAAGATAGACCATATATTAAGCCATGAAACATACCTTAACAAATTTTCTAAAAATCAAAATTATATCAAGTATCATCTCAGACCACAGTGGATAAAGCTAGAAAAGGATTCCATTCCATCAATACTAGGAGGAACTTTGGAAATGGTATAAATACATGGGCATTAAACAGCATGCTCTTGAAAGATCACCAGGTCAGCAAAGAAATTAAGCTGGAAATTTAAAAAAAGTTTGAAATGAATAAAAATGAAAACACAACACAAAAGTCTGTGGGATACAGCAAAAGCAGTACTAATAGGGAAGTTTATAGCACTGAATGCCTACATCAAAAAAGTAGAAAGGGCCAGGCATGGTGGCTCACAGCTGTAATCCCAGCACTTGAGGCGGTGGATCACTTGAGGTCGGGAGTTCGAGACCAGTCTGGCCAGTATGAAGAAACCCTGTCTCTACTAAAAAATACAAAAATTAACAAGGCATGTTGGTGCATGCCTGTAATCTCAGCTACTCGGGAGGCTGAGGTGGGAGAATGACTTGAACCTGGGAGGCAGAGGTTGCAGTGAGCCGAGTTTGCGCCACTGCACTCCTGCCTGGGTGACAGAGTGAGACTCCATCTCAAAAAACAGTAGAAAGATCACAAATTATCGACCAATGTCACACCTCAAGGAACTGGAAAAAGAACAAATCAAACCCAAAGTTAGCCAAAGAAATAACAAAGATCAGAGCAGAACTAAATGAAATAGAAACCACGAAAACAATAAAAAAGATCAACAAAACAAAAGTTGGATCTTCAAAAAGTTAAAATTAATGAACCACTAGCTAGACTAACCCAGGAAAGAAGAGAAAATAAAAATAAAAACAATCAGAAATGAAGAATGGGACATTACAACTGATAGGATAGAAGCACAAAACATCATGAGAGACTATTATGAACAGCTATAGCCTCACAAACTAGAAAACCTAGAGGAAATGAATAAATTTCTGGACAGTTACAGTCTATCAAGATTGAACCAGGAAGTAGAACTCTTGAACAGATCAATAATGAATAGCAAGATTGAATCAGTAATTAAAAGTCTCCCAAGAAGGCAGGGTGTGGTGGCTCATGCCTGTAATCGCAGCACTTTGGGAAGCTGAGGTGTGCGGATCACTTGAGGTCAGGAGTTCAAGACCTGCCTGGTCAACACAGTGAAACCCCATCTGTACTAAAAATACAAAAATTAGCTGGGCGTGGTGGTGCACGCCTGTAATCCCAGCTACTTGGGAGGCTGAGGCAGCAGAATCGCTTGAACCCAGGAGGTAGAGGTTGCAGTGAATCGAGATCATGCCACTGCACTCCAGCCTGGGTGACAGAGTGAAACTCCGTCTCAAAAAAAAGTCTTTCAAGAAAATAAATTCCAGGACCAGATAGATTCACAGATGAATCCTACCAAGTATACAAAGAAGAACTAATACCAATCCTTGTAAAACTATTCCAAAAAATTGAGGAGGAGGGAATTCTCCCTAACTGATTCTACGAGGCCAGTATCATCCTGATAACAAAATCAGACAAGAACACAACAAAAAAGAAAACTACAGATCAATATCCCTGAATCACATAGATACAAAAAGCCTCAGCAAAATACTAGCAAATCAAATCCAACAGCACATCAAAAAGATCATACACCATGATTGGGTCGGATTTAACCTGGGGATCCAAGAATGGTTCAACATATGCAAATCCATAACGTGATACATTCCATCAACAAAATGAAGGACAAAAGCCATATGATTATCTCAATAGGTGCAGAAAAAGTATTCAATAAAAATCAGCATTTCTTCATGATAAAAATCCTCAACAAACCAGGCCTAGAAGCAACATACCTCAACATAATAAAGGCTACATATGACAAGCCCACAGCAAACATAACATTTAACGGTGAAAAGATGAAAGCATTCTCTTTAAGAACTAGAAGAAGACAAGAATGCCACTTTCACCACTCTTATTCAACAGAGTACTGGAAGTCCTAGCCAGAGCAGTCAGGCAAGAGACACAAATGGAGGGCATCCAAATTAGAAAAGAGGAAGTCAAATTATCCCTGTTTGCTGATGATATGATCTTATGCCTAGAAAACCCTAAGGACTCTAAAAACAACTCTTAGATTTGAGAAATGAATTCAGTAAAGTTTTAGGATACAAAATTAATGTACAAAAATCAGTTGCATTTCCACATACCGGTAACGATCTAGCCAAGGACCAAATCAAGGAGGCAATACATTTGCAATAGCTACAAAGAAAATAAAATACATAAGAATATATTTAACCAGGGAGGTGAAAGATCTCTATAAGAAGACCTACAAAACACCAATGAAAGAAATTGTAGATGACATAAACAAATGGAAAAATATCCCATGCTCATGGATTTGAGGAATCAGCATCATTAACATGAACATACAGTCCAAAGCAATCTATAGATTGAATGCAATCTCTATCAAAACACCGTCGTTTTTCACAGAATTAGAAAAAACAATCCTAAAATTCATATAGAATCAGAAAAGAGCCCAAATAGTTTAAGCAATTCCAAGCAAAAAGAACAAAGCTGGAGGCATTACATTACCTGACTTCAAATTATACTTCAAGCCTATAGTAACCAAAACAGCATTGTACTGGTATAAAAATAGACACATATATCAATGGAACAGAATAGAAAACCCAAAATAAAGCCACCTACCTACAACCAACTAATCTTTGACAAAGTCAGCAAAAATATACACTGGGGAAAGGACATCCTATTCAATAAATATTTCTGGGAAGATTGGATAATCATTTGCTGAAGAATGAAACTGGACTGGTATTTCTCACCATATACAAAGATGAACTCAAGATGGATTAAAGACCTAAATCTAAGACCTGAAACTATAAAAATTTTAGAAGAAAACCTAGGAAAAATTCTTTTGGACACAGGCCTAGGCAAAGAATTTATGATGAAGTCCTCAAAAACAAATGCAATAAAACAAAAAATAGACAAATGGGACTTAAACTAAAAGAGTTTCTTCACAGCAAAAGAAAGAAATCATTTTAGGCAAGGATTACAAGGTGATGGCTAATGCCTTGTAATCCCAGCACTTTGGGATGTCGAGAAGTGAAGATCGCCTGAGGTCAGGAGTTCGAGAACAGCCTGGCCAACATGGTGAAACCCTGTCTCTACTAAAAATACAAAAAATTAGCCTGGCATGGTGGCACACGCCTGTAGTCCCAGCTACTCGGGAGGCTGAGGCAGGAGAATCGCTTGAACCAGGGAGGCAGAGGTTGCAGTGAGCCGAGATCGTGCCACTGCACACTCCAGCTTGGGCGACAGAGTGAGACTGCACCTCAAAAAAAGAAAAAAAAAAAAGAAAGAAATCATTTTATAAAAAGGACACCTACACTTGTATGTTTATTGTAGCAGTATTCATAATAGCAAAGCTATGGAATCAGTCTAAGCCCATCAACGGAGGTTTGGATAAAGAAAATGTGGCATATGTATAACATAGAATACTACTCAGCCATAAAAAAGAATGAAATCATGTCTTTTGTAGCAACATGGATGGAACTGGAGACCATTACCCTAAGTGAAAGAGGTCAAACCAGAAAGTCAAATAACACATGTTCTCAATTATAAATGGAAGCTAAACAATGGATACCCTTGGACATACAGAGTGGAACAAGAGACATTGTAGACTTCGAAAGGTGGGTGGGCAGGAGGGGGTGAGGCTTGAAAAGTTACCTATTAGGTACAGTGTTTACTATTTGGGTGCTGGGGACGCTAATAGCCTAGACTTCGCCATGATGCAATACATGCATGTAAGAAATCTGCATCTGTGACTGGGTGCAGTGGCTCACACCTGTACGCCCAGCACTTTGGGAGGCTGAGGCTTACAGATCACTTGAGGTCAGGAGTTCAAGACCAGCCTGGCCAATATAGTGAAACCCCATCTCTACTAAAAATACAAAAATTAGCCGGGTGTGGTGGCACACAATTGTAGTCCCAGCTACTAGGAAGGCTGAGGCAGGAGAATCGCTTGAACTCAGGGGCGGGAGGGGGGATGGTGGGTGGGCACGGAGGTTGCAGTGAGCTGAGATTGGGCCACTGCACTCCAGCCTGGGGCAACAAGAGCAAAACTCCATCTCAAAAAAAAGAAAAAAAATTGTTAAGATGGGCTTAACCTGTATGGCCCGTGATGTTAGCTAGTGTTGGTTCTACCCTCTCTAATAAGGAAGCAGTGGATGACAAGAGACTGCACTGTATCTCAAGGCACAAGCCACAACGCCTGGCTAATTTTTTTATTTTTGTAGAGACGGAATTTTGCCATGTTGACTAGGCTGGTGGCAAACTCCTGACCTCAGGTGATCTGCCCACCTTGGTCTCCCAAAGTGATGGGATTACAGGCATGAGCCACTGTGCCTGGCTGAAGCTGCACATTTTTTTTTTTTAAGGGACCAAGAAGCTGCCAGACATTTGGTTCTCCCAGCAGCAACCCAATGCAAACCAAAAATGAGGGAAATGCCCAAAATGGGGGGATCATACTGTCCCAAGATCTGAGTAGGATGTACTTCTGAAGGATGTACAATGTTCAATCCTAAGTATGACAAGCAGAAAGCTTATGTACTTGGTGAAAGTAGCATGTTTGTCCCCAAGAGGCATTTCATCTTGAAGACACGTGGTGCCACCCCCTGACTGAAAGCATTGGCTCCCCTGTTGAAGCTTGCTAGGGATTACAGCTTCTACTAACCAACATTCTACTTTCCACTTTCATGAGATCAGTTTTTTAACTCCCATTATGAGTGAGAATGTGTGATATTTGTCTTTCTGTGCCTGGCTTATTTTACTTAATATAATGTCCTCCAGGTCCACCCATGTTCCTGCAGATGATAGGATTTCATTCTTTTTTTTATGGCTGAATAATATTCCATTGTATATATAACCATGTTTTCTTTCCTTTTTTTTTTTTTTTTTGGTGGAGTTGCCAGGGAATGAACATGTTTTCTGTTTTAAAAAATTTTATGAAATGTTATTTTATTTTATTTATTTTAATTTTAAGTTCAGGGGTACATGTGCAGGTTTGTTATACAGGTAAACTCATGTCATGGGGGTTTGTTGTGCAGATCATTTCATCACCAAAGTATTAAGCCTAGTACCCACCAGTTATTTTTCCTGATCTTCTTCCTCCTCTCACCCTCCACCCTCAGGGAGGCCCCAGTGTCTGCTGTTCCCCTCTGTGTGTTCATGTGTTCTCATCATTCAGCTACCACTTCTAAGTGGGAACATGCAGTATTTAGTTTTCTGTTCCTGCATTAGTTTGCTAAAGATAATGGCCTCCAGCTTCATCCATGTTCTGCAAAGGGCATGATCTTGTTCTTTTTTTTATGGCTGCACAGTATTCCATGGTGTATATGTACCACATTTTCTTTATCCAGTCTACCATTTTGGGCATTTAGGTTGATTCCATGTATTTGCTATTGTGAATAGTGCTGCAGTGAACATACATGTGCATGTGTCTTTATGGTAGAATTATTTATATTCCTTTCAGTATATACCTAGTAGTGGAATTGCTGGGTTGAATGGTAGTTCTTGTTTTAGTTCTTTCAGGAATCATCACACTACTTTTCACAATATATGAACAAAAGATCAACGAGTCCAGCAATTGGTTATTTGAAAGAATAAATAAGATAGATAGACTGCTAGCAAGAATAATAAAGAAAAAAAGAGAGAAGATCCCCAAATAAACACAACCATAATGACAAAGGGAATTTTACCATGGGACACGCTGAAATACAAAAAAAAAATTCACAGAGACTACTGTGAACCTCTCTATGCACACAATCTAGAAAACCTAGAAGAAATGAATGAATTCCTGAAAACATACAACCTCCCAAGATTGAACCAGGAAGAAATTAAATCCCTGACCAGACCAATAACAAGTTCTGAAATGGAATCAGTAATAAAATCCTACCAACCAGAAAAAGCCCAGGACCAGATGGATTCACAGCTGAATTCGACCAGATGTATAAGAAAGAGGTAGTACCATCTCTACGGAAACTATTCCAAAAAAAATGAGCAGGAAGGACTCATCCCCAGCTCATTCTATGAAGCCAGCACCATTCTGATACCCAAACCTGGCAGAGACACAACCAAAAAAAGAAAACTCCAGGCCAATATCCTTGCTGAACATAGATGCCAAAATCCTCAACAAAATACTAGCAAACTGAATCCAGCAGCATATTAAAAAGCTAGTCCATCACAATTAAATAGGCTTTATCTCTGTGATACAAAGTTGGTTCAACATATGCAAATCAGTAAATGTGATTCATCATATAAACAGAACTAAAAACAAAAACCATATGATCTTGTCAATAGTTGCAGAAAAGCCTTTTCATAAAATTCAACATCCCTTCATATTAAAAATCCTCAACAAACTAGGCATTGAAGGAACATACATCAAAATCATAAGAGCCATTTATGACAAACCCATAGTCAACATCATTCTGAACAGGCAAAAGCTGGAAGTATTCTCTTTGAGAGCCAGAACAAGACAAGGATTCTGTCTCACCACTCCTATTTGACATAGTACGGGAAGTCCTAGCCAAATCAATCATGCAGAAGGAAAAAAAAAAAGGGGGATACACACAGGAAAAGAGGAAGTCAAATTATCCCTGTTTGCAGATATGATTCTATAAGTATAAAACCCCCTAGTCTCTGCTCAAAATCTCCTTGATCTTATAAACAACTTCAGCAAAGTTTCAGGATACAAAATTAATGTATAAAAACAAGTAACATTTCCATACACCAACAACATCCAACCTGATAGCCAAATCAAGACTGCAATACCATTCACAATAGCCACAAAAGAATAAAATATCCAGGAATATAGTTAATCAAAGAGGTGAAAGAGCTCTACAATGAAAATTATGAAATACTGCTGAAAGAAATCAGAGATGACACCAATGGAGAAACATTCCATGTTCATGGATAGGAAGAATCAGTATTGTTAAAACCACCACACTGCCCAAAGTAATTTACAGATTCAATGCTATTTGTATCAAACTACCAATGACATTCTTCACAGAATTAGAAAAAAATATTTAAAAATTCATGTGAAACCAACAAAGAGCCTGAATAGCCAAGACAATCCTAAGCAAAAAGAACAAAGATGGAGGCATCACATTACCCAACTTCAAACTGTACAACAAGGCTACAGTTACCAAAACAGCATGGTACTGGTACAAAAACACACACATTGATAAATGGAACAGAATAGAGCCAAGAAATAATGCCACATGCCTACAGCCATCTGACCTTTGACAAAGACAACAAAATGAGCAATGGGGAAATGACTCCCTATTCAACAAATGGTGCTGAGATAACCGGCTATCCAAATGCAGAAGATTGAAATTGGACTCCTTCCTCACACCATATACAAAAATCAGCTCAAGAGGGATCAAAGGCTTAAATGTAAAATCTAAAATCATAAAAATTCTGGAAGATAACCTAGGGAATAAATAGCATTCTGAACATAGGACCTGGCAAAGATTTCATGATGAAGCTGCCAAAAGCAATTGCAACAAAGCAAAAATTAACAAGTGGGACCTAATTAAACTAATGAGATTCTGCACTGCAAAAGAAACTATCAGCAGAGTAAACAGACAACCTACAGAATGGGAGAAAATATTTGCAAATTATGAATCTGAGAAAGATCTAATATCTGGAATCTATAAGAAACTTAAACAAATTTACATGAAAAGAAACAACCCCATTAAAAAGTGGGAAAAGGACATGAATATTTTTCGAAAGAAGACATACATGTGGCCAATAAGCATATGAAAATGATTAACACCACTAGTCATTAGAGAAATGCAAACGAAAATCACAATGAGATACCATCTCACACTAGTCAGAATGGCTATTATTATTATTATTTGAGACAGAATCTTGCTCTGGCACCTAGGCTGGAGTGCAGTGGCACAATCTTGGCTGGCTCACTGCAACCTCTGCCTCCCGGATTCAAGCAATTCTCCTGCGTCAGCCACCCGAGTAGCTGGGATGACAGGCACCCGCCACCACGCCCAGCTAATTTTTGTACTTTTAGTAGAGGAGGGGTTTCACCATGTTGGCCAGGCTGGTTTCAAGCTCCTGACCTCAAATGATCCACCCACCTTGGCCTCCCAAAGTGCTGGGATTACAGGCATGAGCCACCGTGCCCAGCCAGAATGGCTATTATTAAAATGTCAAAAAATAACAGATGCTGGCAAGGTTGTAGAGAAAAGGGAACGCCTATACCTGCTGGTGGAAATGGAAATTAATTTAGCCATTGTGGAAAGTAGTTTGGCAGTTTCTCAAAGAATCTAAAACAGAATTACCATTTGACCCAGCAATACCATTATTGGGTCTCTACTCATAGGAATATAAATCATTCTACCATAAAAATAGATAAATAGTGCTGTATGTTCATTGCAGCACTATTCACAATAGCAAACACATGGAATCAACCTAAATGCTTATCAGTGGTAGACTGGATAAATAAAATGTGGCACATATGCACTGTGGAGCACTACACTGCCATAAAAAGAATGAGATCATGTCCTTTGCAGCAACATGGCTGAAACTAGAGGCCTTTATCCCAAGCAAAGTAACACAGGAACAAAACTCCAAATACTTCTTGTCTTCACTTGTAAGTGGGAGCTAAGCATTGAGAACGTACGGACACAAAGATGGGAACAATAGAACACTGGGACCTATTTGAGGTTTAAAGGTGGTAGGACGGTGAGGATCAAAAAACTACCTATTGGGTACTGTGCTTATTACCTGGGTGACGAAATAATCTGTGCACCAAACCCCATGACATGCAACTTACCTATACAATAAATCCTGTACATGTACCCCTGAAGCTAAAATAAAAGTTAAAAAAGCTTAGACACTAATTAATTGTGCAAACAAAGAGACATTCCATTTTGGAATGAAATTACCTTTAAGTGGGCTTGTTAGAAAATATGCTTAACTTGACTTTAAAACATCCCATAATCAGTTTTACCTTATTGCCGTGTTTTGAATAATTTTTCTCAGCCCTATGTATGGAAGACATACTTGACAGCAATATCTCAAGCATACCCTGAGAATGGTCTAGGAAGAATGTAAGTTGGGATTTCTGAGCTAAGAAATAAGGGAGTGGCCAACCCAGAGATTCACTCCATATCTGGGAAGGACATCTGAACCCCTGGCCCATTTGTTGTAATGCAGGCCATACAAGGGATCAAGGCTCTTTGTTTTGGGTTAAATGGAGGTTGCTAGGTGGAGCTTGCTAAGTGACAATCCTGTATAAACCATATGCTTTTTACACACGTTAGTGGTTTTCCTGTCCAGGTGGCCGCTCTGGGACCACCGTATATGTAAGTCTTCAATAAATTCTATGTCTTGTTTGTTGGCTCCAAATCTCTTCTTCAGCCTCTTGGAAATGATGGCACTCCCCAAGAGAAGAATGATCCAGGTACCACCTTCAGACCCCTAAAATTTGGTTCCTAGGACTCCACACATTTGTTTTGCGTTGGGACCTACAGCAACCAAAACTGTGCACTGACTTTACCTTTTTGCTTCTGATAAAAACATCCAGGAGGAGGTGGATGTTGGTGAGACTGCCTCTCCCTCCTCAGCTCCTTACTTTCCTAAAGCTGCACCCCACTCCCAACTGGAAGAATCCACATAGTATTGAAAACTTAAAAATCACAGAATTCTGGAATCCCCAAACATTAGAACAATAGATTCTGAGAATAGCATAATCTTAGGAAAATGCCAGCTTGGGGAGGCTGTTTAGCTCAGTCCTGGAACCATCCCATAAAACACTGCCCATAATGGGTCTTCTTAGACTACCCATGAAGATCTCCTGGACACACTTATTTTGCCTCCTTAGAAGAAAATGTCCAATTCTAGCTACCCTCCCTTCTACTGCAGCCAAGAGGAAACCAACAGATTTGCCCAGGTTTTGATGGTGAAGGGGATGAATATCCTTTCTCCACTCAGCTTTTCCTGGTCCCAGCTCCACTGTCGCAGCAGAACTCTAATTTTCATATTAGCAAACACTTATTAAATGCTTGCTCTGTGTCACAACTCATTGAATTGTCCCAAATACCTCAGAAGATCAATACAACCATTTGTCCCATTTTCCAGATGGGGAAACTGAGACACAGATAGTGTCCAAGGCCTCATTTTCAGGGACTCTTAGGATCATTCCATTTTACAACCATTTAATCATGCTAAAAGCCTTCCACTGGTTGAGCATGTGCCAAGCAAAGTCTGTGCTAAGGGCCTTCGATGCACGTTATCACCAACCCCGAACAACGCTACACAGAAGGTACTATTGTTATCATCCCCCAAACACAGATTGAAAAAAGGCTCACAGAGGGAGGCTTACTTTTTCTATGGTCTTCATGTCTGTCAGTCTCCAAAGTCATAGGGTGCTCCCCGCATGCCATTATCCAAGACATGAACACTACAGCCAGCTGAACTCCAACCTAGCTTTCTCTTCCATCTCCTTTGCTCAAAGGGAGGTGGAGACTTCCACAGGGATCCCAACCCACATAGAATTCCTCTTGATATCAGTGAGTTCCTGAAAAACTTCCCCCACTCTCCCTTGGGCACCTGCTGACATCATCCCAAGCCCAGATCTTCAGCTTTGGAAAAGCACCCACAGGGTTGTGCTGGTAAATGTTTATCAGCTGGCTCTTAGGAAAAAAAGACCTCATTTGTAGAGTTTTCTGATTGCTGTGCTGTGCATGCATTCACTATGGCCAATTTCAAACAACTGGCCAAGGTGGTGTCACTGAACATGGAGTTGGGAAGAGATGTGCAAAACCATGCCATCATATAGTATTTTCACTATACAGACACAAATAGACATAAACGATCTCAATAGCACAGATAACGGTAAACTCTAGTAAAATAATTAGGATGTGATCAGCCTTGAGTACTTATTACCTTCTTTTAAAAGTATAATATATTCCGTTTTTGTTTGCGTAATTTAATTAATAATGACTATTTCATAATAAGCTCACATCATTACCGAACATTTAATAATCAGCTCTTCTGCCAGGTTCACAGTGCCCTGCCCCTCACCTGCATGTTCTGCGTCGAGCCCTGATGAAGCCCCTGTCCTGGGAAGAAGGAAACTTCTTAAGGACAATGCCTAAGGACAAAATTCAGCACACGTACACAGGTGTGGTCCTACGAGTTATTACAGCCTTTTTTTTTTTTTGAGACAGGGTCTGGCTCTGTTGCCCAGGCTGAAGTGCAGTGGCGCAATCTTGGCTCACTGCAACTTCTGTCTCCTAGATTCAAGTGATTCTCCTGCCTCAGCCTCCTGAGTAGCTGGGATTACAGGCGCCCACCACCATGCCAAGCTAGTTTTTTTTTTTAATTCTTTATTTTTAGTAGAGATGGGATGTCATCATGTTGGCCAGGATGGTCTCAAACTCCTGACCTCAAGCAATCCACTCATCTCAGCCTCCCAAAGTGCTGGGATTACAGGTGTGAGCCAACACACCTGGACTATTAGAGCATCTTTTGATAGAGGTTGGTATTTTAGTTTGTTTAGTGTTGTTATTACCAAATATCTGTGGCTGAGTAATTTATAATAAAAAGAGATTTATTTGGCTCACAGTCCTGCCTGCTGTACAAGAAGCATGGCACCAGCATCTGCTTCTGGTGAGGGCTTCAGGCTGCTTCTACTCATAGCAGAAGGCAAAGTAGAGCCAGCATGTGCAGGGATCACATAGTGAGAGAAGAAGCAAGAGACAGAGGGTATGGCCAAATTCTTTTAAACAACCAGCTCTCATGGTAACTAATAGAGCAAGAACCCATTCATTACCATGAGGAGGACATCAGGTAACTCCTGGATCATGAACCAAACACTTCCCATTAATTTCCACCTCCAACATTGGGGATCAAATTTCAATGTGAGGTTTGCAGGGACAAACATCCAAACGAGAGCAGTTGGTAAATGGGAAATTCAACCACTTCTCCAGGACCACTCTTACCAATAGTCCCATAATTCAGCAACTACAGAGGCCTCTAGGACCCTACTCCATCTTCAGACAATGTTTGTGCTGCCCTGGTTGTTAAATATGTTTATTATCATCATCTGTAATACTCAAATCCATACATACATCCTCCTTACAAGGAATCTTGCAGTATCTCACAACTGATGATTTATACTCCATGGGTATACATTGGGTCAAATTATGCATTTTATACCTTTTGAGAAACACTGAACTAATAATATTTCTGAGACCTCTTCAAGCTCTGACATGCTGTGTTTAGACTTGAACCCTAAGCTTGAGTTTAAGAGTGAAAGGAGATGCAGAAAAGAAGTTGGGGGCAGGTATGAGTACCAGGAAGACTTCCCCATGGATGTGGGAGAGTATGGCATTAAATTACATTGACACACAGAAACTGTGGGAAATAACAAATCGTTGTTGTCTTAAGCCTCTAAGTGTTGAGCTGTTTTGTTATGTAGTATTAGATAACTAATACACAGGTATTTTCTAGTTATGATAGAAAATAGCTAATTTTCCATTAAAGGGAGAAATACCAAGTTCCATCTTAATGAATTTAAGTTCTTAAAAAGGAGAGTCAATTAAAGAAACATTAAATTCATATATGGGTGGTACTCAGACACAACAATAAAAAAGAAGGCAACAAGCACTTATCTTGGTTCAATGATTTTTCAAGCATTTTTCACAGAAGCCAAATTTCCTAAGATATAGGTTAACTGCTATAACAAAGACCCAAAACAGTGGTTTAAAGGGGCTTACATAAGATGGAAATTTAATTTTCTTTCTTTCTTTATTTTTTGAAGATGGAGTCTCGTTCTGTCACCCAGGCTGGAATGCAGTGGCACCTTCTGGGCTCACTGCAACCTCGGCCTCCCGGGTTCATGCGATTCCCCTGCCTCAGCTTCCCGAGTAGTTGGGATTACAGGTGTGTGCCACCACGCCCGGCTAATTTTTGCATTTTTAGTAGAGATGGGGTTTCACCATGTTGGCCAGCCTGGTCTTGAACTCCTGACCTCCAGTGATCCACCTGCCTTGGCCTCCCAAAGTGCTGGGATTACAGGTATGAGCCACCGCGCCCTGTGGAAATTTAATTTTCTTACACTTAATGGCTCTGCATAAGCAACCCTGAGCTCATCAGGCAGTTCACTGATATCAAAGACCCAGGCTCCTTCCATGTTGCTGCTGCTCCTTCCTAAGTTGTTGCTCTTGCTATCCCAGTTAGCCAGAAAGAGGAAATATTCTGGAAGGAAACCTTGCCCCTCCCTCTAAAAGCATAAACTGAAAGTTGCAGGCATCACTTTCACTCACTTCTCATTGGTCAGAACTTGGCTACACGGCCATACGCAGCTGCAAGGGAGCTTGGGAAATGTAGTTTTTAACTCTAGATAATCATGTAGCTGGATAGAATTCTATTACTACGGAAGACAGGGAAAACAAATATTGGGAGACATCTAGGTGCCTCTGAAATATGAACCTTTTCTCAAATACAGTCATATATGAATTTAATATATCAAACCAGATGACAATGAGAGCTATACCTCCAAGCACCTGAAACATCTGAATGCCTTTCCCCTCTGTATGAAAGGTATTACACAGAGTTTAAAAAAAAAAGTTTATCCAGCAGCTTCAGGTTATAAGAATATTTGTTTTAGGGTGACCTGAATAATCTCTGACTATTTAACATGCCCTTCCTTGCAAGCTGGTTGTTTGGATTAGAGGATACCCTGCTTGTCAAGCACACAGCTCCATCCATGCCTGGCACAAAGTGACAAATTAAAAAAATTTGGTTGGGCGCAGTGGCTCATGCCTGTAATCCCAGCACTTGGGGAGGCCAGGCAGGTGGATCACTTGAGGTCAGGAGTTCAAGACCAGCCTGGCCTACCTGGCAAAACCCCATCTCTACTAAAAATACAAAAATTAGCCAGGCGTGGTGGTGGGTGCCTGTAATCCCAGCTACTTGGGAGGCTAAGGCAGGAGAATCGCTTGCACCTGGAAGGCGGAGGTTGCAGTGAGCCAAGATCACACCACTGAACTCCAGCTGAACTTTAGTTCAAGTTCCTCCATTCCTGGCTTCCTGTCTGGAGGTGGGATGGTGAAGGGAGCTGTTCTAAGAGTACTTGCTCTCTCCCTTCCTGTCTGAATAGGAAAACCAGACTCACAACCAACCACCATCACCACACACATGCCACCACCACAAGATGGTTAAGAGGTTAGTCCTGAATGGGTGTTAAGTGCTGGGGGGTGAGGATCAGAATGGGATGGGAAGGTGAAAGCTAAGGGAGTCAAAGGAGATGGGCTGAGCTGAGTCTCTACTCCAAGAAAGACATTCTAGCAGCAGATCCAAGAGACAAAAGGTGGCACTGTGTGTGAGTCACTCAGCTTTCCCAGAATTTCCACCACTTCTGGACACAGGATGCCTCAGCTCAGCCAGCCAAACCCCATTCCCCAAACCTACAGATACCTTGAGGGATTCGGTTTCCAAGTCTGAGAATACAGTCGCATGAAAAGGACATTGAATTTTGTTAAATAGTACATGAGGGTAGGATATAATATCCAGGAAGTTCATTTCAGGACAATAAGGCTTTGAAAATATTTGGTGCAGAAAAGGTAGTTAATCACTTTTTAGATTATTAAGACATTCCCCTCCAGAGACTGGGGTTCAGAGGTGATCTCTACACCTTAGACTTTCAAAACACACACACACACACACACACACACACACACTGACACACACTACAGCAAAGTTCTTTTTTTTCTTTTTTTAAATTTGATACAGCAAATTTCTGATACACCAACATGGGTAATCTTTGATTATTGTTATTTAACATTAACTTGAGTAGAAAACAAGAACTCTTTGAACAAAACCCTTTCAATTGATTTATTTCTCTTGTTTTCTAAATCTTCAGCTTACTTTCCTTATTAACATTCTAGTGTTCCATTATACAGTAGGGTGGCTGGCTGTAGTTAACAATAATACATTGCATATTTCAAAATAGTTAGAAGAGAGGATTTTGAATGTTCTTACCACAAAGAAATGACAATGTCTCAGTAATGGATATAATAATTACCCGAATTTGATTGTTATACATTGCATACATGTATCAAAACATCACACATATGTACAATTATTATGTACATATATATACCACAAATATGTACAATTATTATGTGTCAATTTAAAAAATCTAATAACTGATTAATTAAGGTTATCCTTAATTAAATAATGAACAAAGAGTTTTCCTTGTTGTCTATCAAGACTTTCTAAAACAACATGGTCTGCCAGCTGCGGTGGCTCACGCCTGTAATTCCAGCACTTTGGGAGGCTGATTGGGGTGGATCACTTGAGGCCAGGAGTTCGAGACTAGCCTGGCCAACATGGTGAAACCGCATCTCTAGAAAAATACAAAAATTAGCTGGGCATAGTGGTGTGCACCTGTAGTCCTAGCTACTTGGGAGGCTGAGGCATGAGAATTGCTTGAACCCGGGAGGCAGAAGTTGTAGTGAAATGAGATCACGCCACTATGCTCCAGCCTGGGTGACAGAGTGATAATCTGTCTCAAAAAAGTAAAATAAAATAAAATAAAATAAAACAACATGGTTTCCCTATTTGATAGATGGAGAAACAAGTCCCAGAGGTTAAGTGACTTGCCCAGTGAAGAAAAGACAGAGCTGCCGCTTGTACTCAGATTGTCTGGATCCTAAAATCAATAGCCTAAAAAGGTAATAATCTGCCTCTTACACCCCACCAAAAAATTCTGTTCAATTCTGTTGAGCTGAGAGAGAAGAACAGAGAGACTGGAAATTTGAAGAAAGGGGAATGGCCCCAGAGGATTTCCCTTTGTGAATTCAATCTACCCTTACTCAGGTGGGAGATTATAGGTTATATAACCACCTCCCATATAAAGCAATCTCTTCTCCAATGACATTCAGACCCGGAAAACTTGAATCCCAGGGTGTTCAGATTTCGGTATAAGCTGATCTCCCAGGACCTATTTAGGCAGGATCTGGTGCCCAGGACAGAACCTGTTGACCTGGCACCATGGAGATGGGAGGGGCTGTCACCATCTTTCTGGCACTCTGCTTGTCTTGCCTGCTCATCCTCATTGCCTGGAAATGAATGAATAAGGCAGGAAAGCTGCCCCCAGGTCCTACACCAATTCCTTTCCTGGGGAACCTGCTGCAAGTTCGAACTGACGCTACGTTTCAGTCTTTCATGAAGGTGAGTCTGTCTGTCTCCTCTAATAGGGCTAAAAGCAACTAATCCTATTGCCAGATTCACATAGAACCTTATGACTTCTAAAGACAGACTCTCAGAAACACAGACTTTGCAAATCTTAGAATTCTGAAATTTCAGAATCCTAAAATATTGGAAACACACATTCTCAGTACATTGAGATAAGATTTTCATGATCTGAGGACTTTGGAATCACAGTACATTATATTTTTAAACACAAGGACTCTTTGACTCAGGTTGTCTTAGCACTTTGAGAGTTGGTATCATGAAGTCTTAAGAGTCTAGAAATTTAACATTTCAGAGAGAGAAGTATGAATCCTAGAATTCATCAAATCCAGGTCCATTATTTTAGAGATGCAGACAGTAAGTCTTGCGGGGAGGGATGAGCTTTTGCCAAGGGTGACAGGAGCCAAGACTTCCATGCCTCTTTCCCAGTATTCCTTCCAAGCCCAGATTTACCTTGGTTCCTTAGTACCATGTTTATATCCCTCTGAAATCGCCATCCTCTAAAATCCTCAATTGGCCTATGCTTGGTACTCCAATCAGCCCCTCCTACTGTGTTTTCCTTCACTCCAAGCTCAGGGAGAAATACAGCCCTGTGTTCACTGTGTACATGGGTCCCCGGCCAGTGGTGGTTTTATGTGGACATGAAGCAGTGAAGGAAGCCTTGGTAGACCAAGCGGATGAGTTCAGTGGCCGTGGAGAACTGGCTTCAATAAAGCAAAACTTCCAAGGTCATGGTAGGTAGCAACAACAACAAAAACAATAAAACCGGAAATGACTGCAATGCACTCCCTATATGCCAGGTTCTTTGGTAAGTAGTCCACATGACTTACTGTATTGACTCCCTTAGGAGAGCTGTTAACATTATACTAATGTTGTCAATGAAAAAGCTAAGATAGGCCGGGTGTGGTGGCTTATGCCTGTAATCCCAGCACTTTGGGAGGCTGAGTGGGGTGGATCACCTGAGGTCAGGAGTTCGAGACCAGCCTGGCTAACATGGTGAAACCTCATTTCTACTAAAAACTAAAAATAAAAATTAGCTGGGTGTGGTGGCACATGCCTCTAATCCCAGCTACTCGGGAGGCTGAGGCAGGAGAATCGCTTGAACCTGGGAGGCAGATGTTATAGTGAGCTGAGATCACACCATTGTACCCCAACTTGGGCAACAAGAGTGAAACTCTGTCTCAAAAAAAAAAAAAAGCTAAGCTAAAGGTTAGATAATGTCACACAGTAAGTGGTAGGATCACTTTATTATGAACCTATGCCATCCGACTCTAAACTGTCTTCTGTGTCTTCTGTGTTATTTCTGCTCTTATTTTAATGGATTAGTGATATTCTCTTTTTTTTTTTTTTTTTTTTTTGAGATGGACTTTCACTCTTGTTACCCAGGCTGGAGCGTAACGGCACGATCTTGGCTCACTGTAATCTCTGCCTCCCAGGTTCAAGCAATTTTCCTGCCTCAGCCTCCCGAGTAGCTGGGATGACAGGCATGCGCCACCACGCAGGGCTAATTTTGTATTTTTAGTAGAGACGGGGTTTCTCCATGTTGGAAAGGCTGGTCTCCAACTCCCAATCTCTGGTGATCCACCCGTCTCAGCCTCCCAAAGTGCTGGGACTACAGGCATGAGCTACCAAGCCTGGCGGATTAGTGATATTCTTTATGCACCCACTAAAGCTCTCATAGCCAACCTTATTTCTCATCTTCATATACTCATACACATACCTAACCCATAGGTCTCTGCCTTCTTCACTTAGGTAGATCTTTTTCTCCCAAGAATCCATCTCTAACTGCCCACATCCTTCAATTCCAAGCAGACTCACCACATACTGTCTGTCTATCTATCTATCTATCTATCTATCTATCTTTCTATTACCTTTTCTTCCTTTTGTCCACTGATCCATATTCATCAGAAAATCCACTCATTATTCTTTCTATAAAAACATCTTTCACTCTATTATCTATACATCTGTCAATTAACTTTCTATGTATTCATCTATCCATCATTCCATCCATTCATCAATGCTTTCATCATTCATACATCTATCAATCTATCCACTCTCCAACTGTTATCCATCTATCTCAAACCATCCATCCATTAACCATCCACCCATCTATTAAGTCTTCCATCCATCCATCCATCCATCCATCCATCCATCCATCCATCTGTCCGTCCGTCTGTCCATCCATCCATCCGTCATTCCAGTCATAAACTCTTCCTTCCATTCATCAATAAAGCAAAATAATTTCATTAGATCTAGTGAATTGGTTTAAGACTCTCATCAGTCCACACATTTAGTAATTTCTAAATGTGTCTTACTACATGATAACTCCTTTTCTGTAGGTATATCGATGTACAAGTGTGAGCTTCTGTGTACACATATGTGTACGTTCAGAGAATCCAAGTATTACATAGAAAATAGAATTAATATCCCCATTCCAGGGCACTCTATATGGCACTCTGTCCATACATCCCTCCACCTTCCACCTTCCTATGCATTCACTCAGTTATTTATTTATTTTTCCAGTTCCACCTCTCCTTCCTGTAAGAAACACTCTTTGATCTCCTCCTATCATTCCTACACTGATTCCCTTTTCCTCCACCTCAGTCTGGACTTTTTTTTTTTTTTTTTTTTTTGAGGATCCTGCAGAGAGAGAACCTTACTCTCTTGATTGAGCCTTGAAGGTTGAGAATGGCTTCCTTGACAGCAGAGTCTAGAGCTTTCATAATCTGTCCCCATCACTGTCTAGTACAGAGTTGAACACAGCAAGGGGAGGGAGGCAGAAGCCTGAGACTGAGATCTTGGCAGGTGTAGCTCTGGCCAATGGAGAACGATGGAGGATTCTCTGACGCTTCCCCCTGACCATCCTTCGGGACTTCGGGATGGGAAAGCGGAGCATTGAGGAGCGAATTCAGGAGGAGGCCAGCTACCTACTGGAGGAGTTCCGGAAGACCAAGGGTATGGGGGCCACAAGGGGGAGGACCACTGGGTGACTGGGTGGTTATGGAGCTCTCAGTCATGAGAGGATGAGCTTTGGTGGGAGAAAGGTCTGGAAAGGAAGAAGAGGGAAAATATTAAGAATCCACTAAGATTTCTGGCAGCTTCCATATTAAGAGTTTACATGAGCTGGGCATGGTGGCACATGCCTGTAGTGTCAGCCACCTGTGGGGCTGAGGCTGGAGGTTGCTTGAGCCCAGGAGTTCAAGGCTGCAGTGAGCTATGATCATGCCACTGCACTTCAGTATGAAAGACACAGTGAGACTGTCTCAAAAATAAAAAAAACCAGTTAACATGGAAGACCCTCAGAGACCACTTACTAGAAACTTTAATCAGTGGATCTCAGGCTGTCTGTGAGCTCTTGATATCCTATGCAGATTTTGGTGACATGTGACTTTGTGATTTTTCTTGAAGACAGGCTCAAATTTCATTACATTTGTATATCCGTATTATGGTAAAAAATACATAATATAAAAGTTACCATATTCATCATTTTAAGTGTCCAGTTCAGTAGTGTTAAGTATATTCATGTTGTGAAAAAAATCTTTTGAACATTTTTATCTTGCAAATCTGAAACCCTATACTCATTTTATTATGTTTTAAAAGGAGTTCAGTCCCACCAAAAAATAAGGTCTAGAAACACTGGGGTCTATAGAGAAAAGACAGAGAGGCTGAAAAAAAACCAGAAAAATAGATAAGAGGTAGAAATAGAGACACATTTCCTCTACATCCAAGGCGCCTTGCCTGGTCTACATGGGTGATTAACAGGTCTACATAAAAGCTTCAAATGCCCATGTACCCCAGAAATTTTCATAAAATTGTGTATTTATGAATATGTGCATTATTCTAGAGAAATTCTTCCCAGATCTACTGATCTTGTTTTACAGAAGGTGTAGGTGAGGGCAAGGGAAGGATTTTGTTTTGTTTTGTTTTGTTTTGTTTTGAGACAGAGTCTTGCTCTTGTCACCCAGGCTGGAGTGCAATGGCACGATCTCGGCTCACTGCAACCTCCACCTCCCAGGTTCAAGCAATTCTCCTGCCTCAGCTTCCTGTGTAGCTGGGATTACAGGCGCCTGCCACCACACCTGGCTAATTTTTGTATTTTTAGTAGAGACAGGGTTTCGCCCTGTTGGTCAGGCTGGTCTCCAACTCCTGATCTTGTGATCTGCCTGCCTCGGTCTCCCAAAGTGCTGGGATTACAGGCATGAGCCACTGCACCTGGCTGGGAAGGATTTTTCTAATTGCCCAAATGGAATCATCAGTAGAGCTAGACAGAATTCAGGAACTTTTATAATGTGTCCCTTATCCCACTTTTCCCCAAATATGTGAGTCTCTAACAACAACACATTTAAGTAATAATAATAAAAAATAATGATTAAGCTCAACTAGCTTTTCTTGAGTGCTTACTGTATGCCAGGCATTGTGCTAATTATTTTATATGGATAATGATAATGAATCCTCATGAGTGAATGAAACGGTTCCCAAACCAATTTGCAGATTGGTCAATCTAGACTCAAAACACAAAAATAAAGTGGCTCACACATGCAATTAAGTAGTAGAGCTGGGACTCAGATGCATCACTGTGACTCCACACCCCATATTCATGATCATTGCCTCCAACATAAACAATTTCTACTGCCCAGGTGCCCCCATCGACCCCATCTTCTTGCTGAGCCGCACCGTTTCCAACGTCATCAGTTCCGTTGTCTTCAGAAGTCGCTTCGACTATGAGGACAAGCAGTTCCTGAATCTGCTGCGGTTGATCAATGAGAGTTTCATTGAGATGAGCACTCCCTGGGCACAGGTGCCCACCCCACCACCTCTCTGTCCATGCACCAACCCCAGTTAACTAAGCACCTTCCTATACCCCACTTGATCCTCCCCACACCCCTGGGAGGTGAGTACAGTAGTTCCCCCTCATGGCTGGAGGATATGTTCAAGACCCCCGGTGGATGCCTCAAACCATGGATAGTACCCAATTCTGTAGATACTAAGTTTTTCTCATATATACGTATCATGACAAAATTCAATTTATAAATTGAGTGCAGTAAGAGACTGGCATTCATAAGTAATAAAATAGAACAATTATAACAATATATTCTAACAACAGTTGTGTGAATGTACTCTTTCTCTCTCGAAATATCTTATTATATGTGATATTTTTAGACTGCAGTTGACTGCACGTAACTGAAATGGTGGAAGGTAAACCAGGGTTAAGGGGGAACTACTGTCTCAATAGGACCCAACTTCTGGGAAGCAAAAGGGCCTCACCTGATTCTTAGACCCAGCACTGCACTTTGAGTCCAGCTGTCCAACTCCAGACTCAGCCCATGCTGGCCCCTGGAGCCCATCACTGACAAAGACCCCTTGCCTATTCCCACAGCTATATGACATGTACTCTGGAATCATGCAGTATTTGCCAGGAAGACACAATCTCATCTACTACTTGGTAGAAGAGCTCAAGGACTTCATTGCCTCCAGGGTCAAGATCAACGAAGCATCCTTTGACCCCCAAAACCCTCGGGACTTCATTGACTGCTTTCTCATCAAGATGCACCAGGTACCTCCTCTTCTTCCCCTGGTCCTTCCCTCTCACTTCTCAACCTCTAGTCGCTGCAACTTTCAACCAATCTGCAAGCATTGAGGACAAAACAAAACAAAACAAGCATTATTTCACAGCATTTACTTTTATCTATAGATGAATATAGAAACTGTAAAAGTATAAACTGTTACAGCTTTAAAACAGATTTTGAATCTAGAAATTTTAGGAATTTGGAAAATTTAGGAACTTGGAAACTTAAAATCTTACAGCTTATACATTCCAGAGAGTTACAACTGTAGTTTTGAGTCTTAGAATTTCAGAAATGTAGAACTTTTCTGAAGTTTAAAATTTAAGTTAACATTTAAGTTAAACATTTAAGTTAAAGTTAAAAGATGTGAACGTGTAGGGACAGTAGGGCATAGAGTTTAAATTTAAATTAAAGGTTCAATAACATAAAAATATAAATTTACAAATGTATAAAACTCTAAGAAATGATGATACAGAAGTATTAATCTTCTGAATTTGTATACAGATATATCTCTAATTCTATATCTGTATAGAGATATATCTCTAATTCTATGTCTGTATAGAGATATATCTCTATTTCTATATCTCTATAGATATATATATATCTATTTCTACATTTCTATAGAAATTTAGAAGGTTAATACTTCTGTATCATCATTTCTTAGAGTTTTATACATTTGTAAATTTATATTTTTATAGTATTGAATCTTTGCCTTTGGAAATTTAAATTCTATACACTACTATCCCTACATGTTCAAATATTACAAGGCATCCTACATTCTTCTCCTCCCATCCTCCCTATTGTTCACTTCATCTCATTCATCCCAGCTTCTGCCTTGCTGTTCCTCTAACACATCAGGCACGTTCCTGCCGCAGGACCTTTGTTCTGACTGTGTCCTCTCCCAGACACGCTTGGTTTACCCACCTGTTGTCTCCCTATACAATAGACAATAAAGCCAATGAGAAAATAACACAATAGGCCAGGCGCAGTGGCTCACGCCTGTAATCCCAGCACTTTGGGAGGCCAAGGTGGGCCTATCAACTGAGATCAGAAGTTTGAGACCAGCCTGGCCAGCATGGTGAAACCCCATCTCTACTAAAAGTACACACACACACACACAAAATTAGCTGGGCATGGTGGCGGGTGCCTGTAACTCCAGCTACTCGGGAGGCTGAGGCAGGAGAATCACTTGAACCCAGGAGGTGGAGGTTGCAGTGAGATGGGATCATGCCACTGCACTTCAGTCTGGGCAACAGAGCGAGACTCTGTCAAAAAAAAAAAAAAAGACAATAAAGACAGAAGAGAGTGATTCCATTCACAATCCCCTCACTTTCAGGATAAAAATAATCCTCGTACAGAATTCAACCTCAAGAACTTGGTCCTCACCACTCTGAACCTCTTCTTTGCTGGCACGGAGACGGTGAGCTCTACACTGCGCTATGGATTCTTGCTGTTAATGAAGCATCCTGAAGTGGAAGGTGAGTCCACCCTGAGCTGCCTATCTGGTACCTCCCCCTCCCAACATAAAGAAGACATCATCTTGAAAATTTAGAATCCCACGGCCTCAGGCTCTTCACCCTTTAGAACTTCAGGACTTGAAACATGAAATCCCCAACTTTGCGGGGTGATTTAACTTAATCTTCTACTTGGTGTCTGCGGCCTGTGGCTGCTGTAACAAATTACCAGGAACTTAGTCGTCTAAAACAACACAAATGTATTATCCTTCTGTTCTGAATTTCAGAAGTTCAAATAGGCTTTCACTAGCTGACACCAACGGACTATCTGATTCTCTGCCTTTTCCGGGTGTTAAAGCTGTACTCCTTGTAATCCTGGGTTCACGACTCTGTCCTCCATCTTCAAAGCCAGCAGCATAGCTGCTTCAAACCTCTGTTTACTTCTGGCATCCATCACATCTTTTATTCTTTTTCTTTGTTTTTGGAGACAGAGTCTTCCTCTGTTGCCCAGGCTGCGGTGCAGTGGCGTGATCTCAGCTCATGCAACCTCTGCCTCCTGGGTTCAAGCGATTCTCCTGCCTTAGCCTCCCAAATAGCTGGGATTACAGGTGTGTGCCACCCCATGCCCAACTAATTTTGTAGTTTTAGTAGAGACAGGGTTTCACCATCTTGGCCAGGCTGGTCTCAAACTCCTGACCTCAGGTAACTCACCTGCCTTGGCCTCCAAAATGCTGGGATTACAGGTGTGAGCCGCTGTGCCCAGCCTCACATTTTTTTTTCTAACTCTGATTCTCCCACTTCTCTCTTATACAGACACACGATATTATATTGAGGGCGAATCTCAACAACCCAGGCTAATCTTTTCATCTCAAGATTCTTAATTTACTGGCATTTTCAAAGTCTCTCTTGTGTTTTTGTTACCCTTATATATATAGCCTTCCAGGCATTAGGTTTTAGAGACTTGGAGGTGGTTATCTTTGATGGCCATTATTGAGCCAACCGCCCTGCCAAAGTTAAATAGAATCTGTCTCCAATAAATTATGATCTGGTCCATTTGGGTAACTTCAGTAATGAGGAACTCACTACTTGCTTAAGGAAAATTCCCAATTTTGGCCCCTCTCCTTAATAATGCAATTCAAAACAAGCCAAAGAATTTCTCCTGGTGCAGATGAGAGATGCTAACACACATCCACTCAAATGTTTCTAGTGTCACCTCCATTGTCTGAGTTGTCTTTCACTGGTCTAAATAATCAGGCTGGGTGCGGTGGCTCACGCCTGTAATCCCAGCACTTTGGGAGGCAGAGATGGGCAAATTGCTGAGGCCAGGACTTCAAGACCAGCCTGGCCAACATGGTGAAACCTTTTCTCTATTAAAAATGCAAAAAGTAGCCAGGTGTGGTAGTGCACACCTGTAATCCCAGCTACCTGGGGGGCTGAGGCATGAGAATCATTTGATCCCAGGAGGCAGAAGTTGCAGTGAGCCAAGATTGCACCACTGCACTCCAGCCTGGGGACAGAGCAAGACTCCGTCTAAAAAAAAAAAAAAAGAAAGAAAAAATATCAAATCAATATTTATTGGATGCTTCTGTGTGCCAAGCACTGTCCTAGTTCCTTGTACACCAGACTTTATGTAATGTTTACAACTCTATGACCTTGTCCAACTATCACACTCATTTTGAAGATGATGAAACACAAGTTCAGAGGTGAAGTCACACAGGCCAGGTGCGGTGGCTCACGCCTGTAATTCCAGCACTTTAGGAGGCCGAGGCAGGCGGATCACGAGGTCAGGAGATCAAGACCGTCCTGGCTAACACGGTGAAACCCTGTCTCTATTAAAAATATTTTAAAAATTAGCTGGGCGCAGTGGCAGGCACCTGTAGTCCCAGCTACTCGGGAGGCTGAGGCAGGAGAATGGTGTGAACCCGGGAGGTGGAGCTTGCAGTGAGCTGAGATCCTGCCACTGCACTCTAGCCTGGACAACAGAGTGAGAAGACTCCATCTCCAAAAGAAAATAGAAGGTGAAGTCACTCATCCCTAAACCCTAAAATGCGAAGAGGAGTAACTCTACCAGTGGTGATCTTAATCAGTCACATAACCGCTTGTCATTTGTGTCAACCCTGTCCTAGTCACCTAGCATGCCTCTTTCCCATTTTGTAAAAAACCCATGTATGAGAGCCAAGCTGGGACCATGGCTTTTTGGTGCTTTTAAGTAAAGACCAAATGTCCTGGCAGCGTTCAAGACTCCAAGCTGCCTGTCTCCCGATGTCTGATGAGTAATTGAGCATCACCAGTGTGTCAGTTGTTAAGTTAAAGAAGCGACCAAACAGGCCAGGTGCGGTGGCTCACACCTATAATCTCAGCACTTTGGGAGGCCAAGGTGGGTGGATCACGAGGTCAGGAGTTCGAGATCAGCTTGACCAGCATGGTGAAACCCCATCTCTATTAAAAGTACAAAAATTAACCAGGTGGGTGGCAGGTGCCTGTAATCCCAGTTGCTCTGGAGGCTGAGGCAGAAAAATCACTTGAACCCGGGAGGTGGAGGTTGCAGTGAGCCGAGATCATGCCATTGCACTCCAGCCTGGGTGACAGGCTGTTTAAAAAAAAAAAAAAAAGAAGGGAGCAAACATGCATGGCTTTCACTTGAGATCTCTTTCTGCTGGAGCTAGGAATGCAGGATTTGTCCTGGCTTCCCTAGCAAAAACACCTCCTGCTTTTGTTTATTTTTTCTCTGTTCTCAGCTATATTTTCTGGCCCCTTCCAGCTAAGATCCATGAAGAGATTAACCAAGTGATTGGACCACACCGGCTCCCAAGGGTGGATGACCGGGTCAAGATGCCCTACACAGATGCCGTCATCCACGAAATACAGAGACTGGTAGACATCGTGCCCATGGGTGTCCCCCACAACCTCATCCGGGACACTCAGTTTCGAGGCTACCTTCTGCCCAAGGTGGGGTTGCACCCTCATTGCCTCCCTTCCACTGCACTCCTCTCTCTCCCTGGTTCCCTACCTCTGTAGCCCAACACTGATTTCTCCTAACTGCCCCCATTTTCACCCCAGGGCACAGATGTATTTCCCCTGCTTGGCTCTGTCCTCAAAGACCCCAAATACTTCCGCTACCCAGATGCCTTCTATCCCCAGCACTTTCTGGATGAGCAGGGCCGCTTCAAGAAGAATGAAGCCTTTGTGCCTTTTTCCTCTGGTAGGTTTCTCTGGTCTGACTTCCTCCAGGCATGTGCTAAATCCACCCCCCAGCCACTGGTCTGTATTTGAAGTTCAAGTCACAATGTGAATTTGAAGGTTATATCATAGAACCACACAACATTTTAGAATCCCAGAATTAGTAAATATTAGAACGATTGACTCTGATAATTAGAAAAAAAAGTTGGCTCAGTAATAGCACTAAACAGGGCATAAACCAACTGGCTGTTAAGAACAAAATAAGACATATTTTCTATTTTTCCAGCCAGATAGTCTCTGAACCTTTGCCATTGATCTATGAAAGCAGCCATAGACAATATATAAATGAATGAGTGTGCATGTGAGCCTGAAAAACTGTTTACGGACACTGAAATTTGAATTTTGTTTTATCTTCATATAACACAAAAGAGTCTTTTTTCCCCAACCATTTTAAAATGCCAAAAGCATTCATAGTTTGCAGGCTGTATGAACACAAGCAGCAGGGCAAATTTGCCCAACAGACAGTCATTTGCCTACTCATGTCATAAAATCTTTATGCAGCAACATTTTAAGTGTATGTTGGCATGGCACAGTGGCTCATGCCTGTAATCCCAGCACTTTGGGAAGCCGAGGCAGGCGGATCACTTGAGGCCAGGAGTTCGAGACCAGCCTGGCCAACATGGTGAAACCCTGTCTCTACTAAAATTCAAAAATTAGCCAGGCGTGGTGGCGGGTGCCTGTAATCCCAGCTACTCGGGAGGCTGAGGCACAAAAATCACTTGAACCCGGGAGGCGGAGGTTGCAGTGAGCCGAGATCATGCCACTGCACTCCAGCCTGGGCGACAGAGTAAGATCCTGTCTCAAACAAACAAAAAACAACAACAACAAAAAGTGTATGTCATTTGGAACCTGGAGTCAGGACAGTGGTTGGGAATCTGGACTCCACTCCACCATTTAGAAATGGTGGAGCCTTGGGTGAGTCACTTCAGCTCCCATCTGTGAAACAGGGATTAATGCCTCCAAACAATTGGAAGAGTGGCTTACAAACAGTAAGTGTTATTAAGGGTGAGTTTTCACTTTTTTTGTCACCAGTGTCTGGCACCTAATAGGCATTTGACAAACCCTTGAGGAACTGAAATGAACACAACCTTGAAACTCATGGATCCTATAGAACCATTCCCTCTTGGAACGAGATGGAATCCCAGCCATCAGAGAAGTAGCAGGTCCTAGCTGAGCACTAACTATAGGTACCCACTAAGCCTGTGTAACACCCCTTTATAAAGCAGTCACAGTCATGAGCCCTGAGGTGCCGATGAGGCAGCTGAGGCTCAGTGGGGTGGTCAGTCCAGACACCCCGACATCCCCATGACCTGTGCAGGTGCGACCCTTCCTTCTGCCCTCCCCTGTGCCTCCAGGAAAGCGCATCTGCCTGGGCGAGGCCATGGACCGCATGGAACTCTTTCTCTACTTCACCTCCACCCTTCAGAACTTCTCTCTACACTCGCTGGTGCCGCCTGTGGACATCGATATCACCCCCAAGCTCTCAGGCTTTGGCAACATCCCCCCGACCTACGAGCTCTGTCTTGTGGCCCGCTGAGCTACACCTCCTGCGGGGCAAGGAGGAAGCGGTGAAGAACGCAGCTCTCCTCTCGTGTTCAGGAGCACCCCCTCTTCCTCATCTTACTAATCCTCAAGCATCCCTAAGAGGAGGCACTATGATTACAGAGTCAGCCAGGGTCACCTGAGAAGGTACAGCTGCGTGTCTTCCCCTGCCGTAGAAGAGCAACGCCCTGTGCAAGATTTGCACCTCTGCCTGCAGGTTTCATGGTCACATGGTCACCGTTGCTTAGGTTTCTGGCTGCATCAAATTATTACTGCAGTCCCTGTGTCTTCATATTGTCCCTTTTTGTGTGTGCTCTGATTTTGACCAAAATGTAGTCTAAAATCCTTTCTCTTTGGTTCTCATTTCCACCAGCCCCCGAAAAGTGAACAAAGACCTCAAGTCTGTTGAGCATAGCAAGTTTATTGTGTATTGTGTGTGACAGCGATGTAGGGCACAGCCAACAGTTTGAAATGTCTTTCTTGACTTGTTATTAGTTATAGTTTCTGCCAGCTGCTCTCCAGTGACTTCCCCTGGGTAAAATGCCCCATCCTCACCCATCTTGCTCCTTACCTTTCTCCGCCATCATCTCTTCTTCTAATCTTCCTTTCCAGTTGCTCTCAGCACAACTCCCAATTCCAAATACTCCCCAGTCCGTTTGTTTGTTTGGAGATGGAGTCTCACTCTGTGGCCCAGGCTGGAGTGCAGTGGCACCATCTAGGCTCACTGCAACCTCCACCTCCCGGGTTCAAGTGATTTTTGTGCCTCGGCCTCCCGAGTAGCTGAGATTACAGGCACGTGCCACTGCACCTGGCTAATTTTTGTAATTTTAGTAGAGATGGGTTTTCACCATTTGCCCAGGCTGGTCTCGAAATCCTGGCCTCAAGCGATCTGCCCACCTTAGCCTCCCAAAGTGCTGGGATTACAGGTGTGAGCCACCATGCTTGCTCTCTCCACTCCATTTTTGAGGATAGCTCAGTTGTTCCCACCTTCTATCATTCCGTTTCCAAACTCCATTAACTGACAGAAACGTTCCCTCTTTTTCATTTATTCAGGCAATATTTACTGAATACCCAACAAGTGCCAGCGTAGTCTTCAGGGACTTGGGATCCATCAGTAAGCAAAACAGACAAAAACTCCGCCATCAGGGAGCTAACATTCTAGTAAGGAAGGTGGACAATAAAGCATACATGAAACAAATATGCAAATGACATACTGCATTAGAAAAGCAAGGCTGGTAAGTGGGATATGCATTCTGTGATTGGAATTTAAATGGATGGTTAGGGGTGTTTTCACAAGGTGGTGGAGCAGCAAGCTATGAAGATATCTGGGAAGGGAGTGTTCCTGACAGAATGATTAACCAACAGCAGTGGCCAGGCGCGGTGCGGTGGTTCACGCCTGTAATCCCAGCACTTTGGGAGGTGGGCGGATCACGAGGTCAGGAGATCAAGACCATCCTGGCTAACACAGTGAAACCTCGTCTCTACTAAAAATACAAAAAATTAGCTGGCTGTGGTGGCAGGCGGCTGTAGTCCCAACTACTTGGGAGGCTGAGGCAGGAGAACGGTGTGAACTAGGGAGGCAGAGCTTTCAGTGAGCCGAGATCCTGCCACTGCACTCCATCCTGGGCAACAGAGTGAGATGCTGTCTCAAAACAAAAAAACAAAAACACAAAAAACAAACAACAACAACAACAACAAAAAACCAGCAGCGACTGAGCATGGTGGCTTACACCTGTAATCCTCACACTTTGGGAGGCCAAGGCTGGCGGATCACCTGAGGTCAGGAGTTTGAGACCAGCCTGGCCAACATGGTGAAACCCCTGTCTCTAAGAAAAATACAAAAGTTAGCCGGGACTGGTGGCAGGTGCCTGTAATCCCAGCTACTGGGGAGGCTGAGGCAGGAGAATCACTTGAACTTGGGAGGCAGAGGTTTCAGTGAGCTGTGATCACGCCATTGCACTCCAGCCCAGGCAACAGTGCGAGACTCTGTCACAAACAAACAAACAAGCAAGCAAGCAAACAAACAAACAAACAAACCAGCAGAGTCCTAAGGCAGGAGGCTGTGTGCATCCAGGAATCCACAGGGAGCAGGTGTAGCTGGCATGGAGGAGGGAGGCAGAGTAGGAGTGAAGGAAACGAGGCCAGGGAGGCGATGGGGGCCAGACTGTGTGGGGTCTTGTGGGCCAAGGTGAGGTTTTGGCTTTTACCCTGAGAGTGATCAAGGTCTTTGGAGGGATGGTGAGCAGAGGGTGATATGTACTGACATATTTTAATGGGCTCACACTAGCTATCATATGATGGATATGAAAGCAAAGACCTATTAGCAGGCTACTACAACTGGTGATGTTGACTCAGACCCAGCAGCAGCAGTGAAGCTGGGGAGGAGGTGGTAGATTTGAAAACTATTTCACTGCCTGAGATGGTGGGGTTTGCTACGGTATTGTATATAGGGTGTGAGAGAAAGTGGGAGTTCAGGCAGGAGTGCACACCTCATCTTTGATCACTTCTTCAACCTGTCACCTCCAGGGAACCTCGGGACCCATAACAGTCAGCTCACTGCAACCTCTGCCTCCCAGGTTCAAGCGATTCTCCTGCTTCAGCCCCCTGAAGTAGCTGGGGTACAGGCGTGCACAACCACGCCTAGCTAATTTTTGCATTTTCAGTAGAAATGAGATTTCACCATGTTGGCCAGGCTGGTCTCGAACTCCTGACCTCAGGTGGTCCACTTGCCTCGGCCTCCCAAAGTGCTGGGATTACAGGCGTGAGCCACTGCGCCCAGCCAGGGTTCCTATTTTTAAGCAATATAAAGTGACTTTGGTTATTTTAAATAGAAAGGCTGTTAGCTACTGGAAGGTGATTGTTTAGCTCACAAAATTAACAGCAATTCTGGAAAAACAGCGTAAGAATATGAGTAGAAAAAAGAGGCTGTGGTAGGGGACCACCAGCCAAGGTAATGTTCAAAGCTATTCGGTAGGACCTGCTGCCACACCACCCATCTCCTGGGTACTGAACACCTGACCCACCCCCTGGGTACTGCCATGGGACTCTAGACCCATTGATGCCACTATAGATGATTTCCTGATTGTGTCTGTGTTTTTGTCTCACATCCTCATGATTAAGAGTTCCAGATATCTAGCCACATGTTAAAACCTTAGGGTTCAAGGTGAGGTGAGGAAGAATGAATACCTCCTTCAGCTGTTGTAGTGGGAGGCAAAGCCTTGTCCCTGATCAAGAGCCACACAATAGGAGGTACTTAGAAAATCAGAAAAGAGTTTTGAGACTGTGTATATAATAAACAATAAATGCGGCCAGACATGGTGGCTCACACCTGTAATCCCAGGACTTTGGGAGGCCAAGGTGGGCAGATCACTTGAGGCCAGGAGTTCAAGACCAGCCTGGCCAACACAGTGAAACCCCATCTCTACTAAAAATAGAAATTAGCCAGGCGTGATGGTGCATCCCCGTAATCCCAGCTACTCAGGAGGCTGAGGCATGAGAATCACTTGAACTCGGGAGGGGGAGGTTGCAGTGAGCCGAGATAGTGCCACTGCACTCCAGCCTGGGCAACAGTGGGAGACTCTGTCTCAAAACAAACAAACAATAAGCACCATTATGTACATTTTGGGAATTACATCTTCTGGGAAGCTAAGACTTAGATGGAGTTAGGGGTTCATCATTTTATTGGAGGGAGGAGGGTAATGCATGTGAAAGACAAAAAAGGAAGCAGATGACACTAGTAGCAGAAAAAGTCTTCAGACCAGGATGCAGATCCAATACTTGTGAAAGAAAGGAAGGAAGGAGGATTGGACAGGGACAGGCCAAGACCACCAGGCAGAGATAACAGACCCATAATCCACAGAAAAATGCTGTTGGGGATGGCTTATGTTGGGCAGATAGGGTTATGCCCTGGATCCAAGAGTCCTTAATTACTATCTGGGGCTTCCTTGGAAAAGCATGGGTTCCGCTCCATGCTGAGGTGGGTCCTAATGGTGCTGCAACTGGAGACTCTCAGCTCACTGCCCTTATTGAAGCTGATTGGAAAGTTCTCCATGAATGAAGATTCAAGTAGCACATTCCTATGCCCACCACAGACACCAACATACAAACCCACATCATTAAAGCCTTGGCACCCCTTCTATAAATACAGCATCTCAGAGCTACAAACACACCTCACAAGTACACAGTACAATGGGCATCAAACATTTTTAGCTGTGAAAACCTTTTTTCAAATGATCTTACGTGCAAATAGAATACATAAAGCAGGCTGGGCACGGTGGCTCACGCCTGTAATCCCAGGGCTTTGGGAGGGCAAGGCGCGTGGATCACCTGTGGTCAGGAGTTCATGACCAGCCTGGCTAACATGATGAAACTCCATCTCTACCAAAAAAAAAAAAAAATTAGCCGGGCATGGTGGCATGTGCCTGTAGTCCCAGCTACTCGGGAGGCTGAGGCAGCAGAATCGCTTGAACCCGTGAGGCAGAGGCTGCAGTGAGCTGAGATCACGCCACTGCGCTCCAGTCTGGTGACAGAGCAAGATTGTGTCTCAAGGGAAAAAAAAAAGAATACATTAAGCAGGAGAGAGAATTGTTGATCTCTCTTTAGGTAAAGCACAGAAGAGCTATAGGTCCTCAAAATAGCCTTCATTTCTATTTATGACGCGAGCCTATTAGAAAGTTCCTAGAGGCTGGTGCGGTGGCTCACGCCTGTATTCCCAGCACTCTGGGAGGCTAAGGAGGGCGGATCGTGAGGTCAAGAGATTGAGACCATCCTGGCCTACATGGTGATAGCCTGTCTCTTCTAAAAATACTAAAATTCACTAGGTGTGGTGGCACGTGCCTGTAGTCCCAGCTACTTGGGAAGCTGAGGCAGGAGAATCACTTGAACCCAGGAGGCGGAGGTGGCAGTGAGCCGAGACTGAGCCATTGCACTCCAGCCTGGCTACAGAGTGAGATTCTATCTCAAAAAAAAAAAAAGTTCCTAGAAATTCTGAGGATATAAGATAAGACATTACATTGTAATTATTCAACACACATCAGGTTCTTTCAAGGGGCCCACAGAAGGACCTAATGACATAATGGTGACCAGGAAAAGCTCAGTGACTCACCACATAGGGCTCACAGCCCAGCAGGGAAGAGTGCTCCATCTCTCACAGTGACAGCCCAGCATAGCCCAGCATAGCTCTGATGAAGGGAGCACAGAGTAGAATGTGGAGGACTGTGATGGAGGAAGCCCAGGTGGATTAGGTAACACCAGGAAGTATGAGGCAGGTTAGAGAGAATCGGTACTCCTGCTATTCCCTGGAAGTAATTCATTTAATTAGAGTAAACATTTCTCAGAAACTAGGTGAATCAATTTTCTTCCTAGAACTAATCAAGACCTATAAGTCAGAGAGGACATTTTCTTTACTGTGAGCTTTTTTTCTTTTTATCTGTTTCTTTTCTTGTTAAAAACGCCTTTATTGATATAACTTACAGATCATAAAGTGTACAATTAAATGGGTTTGGGTGTATTAATCAATACTGCAACCACCACCATGGTCAATTTTAGAACATTTTCATCACCTCAAAAAGAAACCTCATACCTTTGTCTTACTGCTTTCCCCCCACACTCAATTCCCCGCCCTGAGTAACCACGAATCTACTTTTCTTTATAGATCCTCTATTCTTTTTTTCTTTTCTTTTCTTTCTCTCTCTTTTTTTTTTTTAGATGGAGCCTTGCTCTGTTGCCCAGGCTGGAGTACAATGGCATGATCTCTGTTCACTGCAACCTCCGCCTCCTGGGTTCAAGAGATTCTCCTGCCTCAGCCTCCTGAGTAGCTGGGATTACAGGCACTCACCACCGTGCCTGGCTAATTCTTGTATTTTTAGTAGAGATAGGATTTTGCCATGTTGGCCAGGCAGGTTTTGAACTCCTGACCTCAAATGATCCTCCCGCCTCGGCCTCTCAAAGTGCTGAGATTACAGGCGTGAGCCACTGTGCCTGGCCTAGATTCTCTATTCTTGACTTGTATGTAAATTGAGTCATATATTATATGATCTTTTCTGATTGGCTTCTTTCACTAACACTTTTGTAAGGGTTCATGCTAGTCATAGCATGAAGTTCTACTTCATTCCCCTTTGTGGCTGAACGAAATTGCGTTGTATGGATATTTATCAGTTTATCCAGGGATGAGTTTATTAGCTTCCTAGGGCTGCCTGGGAACCTAGGTACATATAACAAAGTACCACAAACTTAGTGGCTTAAAAAACAGAAATGGGCTGGGCACGATGGCTCACGCCTGTAATCCCAGCACTTTGGGAGGCAGAGGTGGGTGGGTCTTTTGAGTTTAGGAGTTTGAGACCAGCTTGGCCAACATAGTGAAACCCCGTATCTGCTAAAGAAATACAAAAATTAGCCCGGCATGGTGGTGCGTGCCTGTAATCCCAGCTACTCAGGAGGCTGAGGCAGGAGAATCACTTGAACCCAAGAGGTGGAGGTTGCAGTGAGCTGAGATTGTGCCAATGCACTCCAGCCTGGGTGACAGAGTGAGACTCTGTCTCAAAAACAAAAAGAAAAACCCATAAAACAAAAGCAAAAACAACAGAAATATATTGTCTCATAGTTCTGGAGGCTAGAAGTTCAAAATCAAGGTGTTAGCAGAGCCATGCTCTTTCTGAAACCTGTAGGAGATCAATCTTCCTTGACTCTTCCAGTTTTAGTATTTGCTGATAATTCTTAGAATTTCTTGGTTTGGATTTCTTGGTTTTGGATGCATTGCTCCAGTCCCTGCCACAGTCAACATATGGCCTTCTTCTCCCTGTGTGTCTCCCTCGTTCCCTCTGGTGTCAATAAGGACACCAGCCAGACTGGAATAAGACCCACCCCAATGACCTCATGTTAACCTGATTATATGTGATGGCCCTATTTACAAATAAGGTCACATTCTGAGAAACTGGAGGTTAGTACATCAACATGTATTTTTAGGGGACACAATTCCACCGATGACAATAGGCAATTGTGTTCTTTCCACCTTTTGACCATTGTGAATAATGCAGCTATAAACACTCATGTAGAAATTTTTGTGAACATATATTTTCTTGTTTTATTTTATTTTACTTTAAGTTCTGGGATACATGTGCAGAATGTGCAGATGTGTTACATAGGTATACATGTGTCATGGTGGTTTGCTGCAACTATCAACCCGTTATTTAGGTTTTAAGCCCCGCATGCATTAGGTATTTGTCCTAATGCTCTCCCTCTCCTTGCCTCCCACCCCCCCGACAGGCCCCGGTGTGTGATGTTCCCCTCCCTGTGTCCATGTGTTCTCATTTGTGAACATATATTTTCATTTCACTTAGCTTCATATCTAGGAATGGAACTGCGGTGTCATCTGCTCTTCGTTTAACCATTCCAGGGACTGCCAGACTGTTTTCCACAGCAGCTGCAACAGTTGCATGCCCATCAGCAGTTTATGAGGGCACCATTCTCTTGCTATCCTTGTCAACACTTGGTATTATTGTTTTACTACTTTTTTATTCCAGTGACCCTCATATATTTGAAGGGGTACCTCACTGTGGTTTTGATTTGCATCTTCCCTCATGGCTAATAATGTCTAGGATTTTTCATGTGCTCACTGGCCATTTATTTATTTCACTTGGAGACAAGCCCCATTTTTTAAACTTTTTTTTGTCCTTTTTTTTTTTTAATAAAGAAAAGAAGTTTATTTCTTACAGTTCTAGAGGCTGGGAAGTCCAAGATCAAGTCATAGTCCAGGCACAATAGCTCACGCCTGTAATCCCAACACTTTGGGAGGCCAAGGTGGGTGGATGGCTTGAGGTCAGGTGTTTGAGACCAGCCTGGCCAACATGGTGAAACCCCATCTCTACTAAAATACAAAAATTAGCCAGGCGTAGTGGTAGGTGCCTGTAGTCCCAGCTACTCAGGAGGCTGAGGCAAGAGAATCGCTTGAACCTGGGAGGTGGAGGTTGCAGTGAGCCAGGATCATGCCACTACACTCCAGCCTGGGCAATGGAGTAAGACTCCATCTCAAAAAACAAACAAACAAACAAACAAACAAACAAGATCAAGTCACTGGCATGCTTTGTGTCTGGTGAGGGCCTGTTTCCTGGTTCATAATCTTTGTGCTGTGTCCTCACATGGTAAAATGAACAAGGGAGCTCTCTGGGGCTTCTTTGTAAGGACACGAATCCCATTCATGAGGGCTCTGTACTTGTCACCTAATCATCTCCCAAATGCTCCACTTCCAAATACTATCACACTGGGGACTGGATTTCAACATACTGATTTTGTCAGGAAAGAACCATGCAATCTATAGCTGTTTCTTGCTACTCCTGTTTCTTTCCTGATTGTTTTTGTACTTCCTTTAGTTAAATTTATTCCTTTATCATGTGATTATGAATGGATGCTTTCTTAATTTCATTTTTCAGTGTAAAAGATTCCATTGATTTTGTATATTGATCTCATATCTTGCAACCTTGCTGAACTTGTTTTTATTAGTTATGACAGGTTTTTTGTGGGTTCCTTAGAATTTTCTATATTCAAAATCATGTCATCTTTGACTAGAGAGAGTTTTACTTTTTCCTTCCCAATCTGCATGATTTTAATTCCTGTTTCTTGTCTTATTGTCCTGGCTAGAACCACCAGTACAAATGTTAAGTAGAAGTAATGAGAGTGGACATTCTTGTCTTGTTCCTGATCTTAGTGGGGAAGAATTGGCCCTTTCACCTATGGGTTTCATCTATGGGTTTTTCAAAGAAGACCTTTATCAGGTTGAGGAAATACTCTTCTATTCCTAGTTTGTTCAATTTTTTTAAACATTGACCCTTTTATCATAATAAAATGTCTTTTTTCTCTATTGATATTTTTGTTTTAATTTCTATTTTGTTTGGTATGAGTATAGGTATTCCAGCTCTCTTGTGGTTACTATTTGCACTATATATATCTTTTCCATTTTTAAACTTTTATTCTATTTGTACCCTTGAATCTAAAGTATGTTTATGGTGGACAGCATATAGCTGAATCACATTTTTCAAACCTAGTCAGAAAAACTGTGCCGTTAGATTTGATTGTTGAATTCATTCATAGTTAACGTTATTTCTATGGTTACATTTACATCTGCCACTTTACTTTTGCTTTCTATATGTGCCTTGTCTTTTTTTCTTCCTCTAGTCCTCCTTTACTGCTTTCTTTTGAATTAAATGAATATTTCCTAGTGTAGAGTTTTAATTTTTTAAATGATTCTTGTACTATATTTTGAGTTTCTTCTGAACATAATATAAAGTATGTTTGATCTAGGTTTTACCTAGATCATCTTAACTTATCAGAATCAGATCCAGATTTATACTAGCTCAACTCCAATGATATAGAAAAATATTACTGCTACACAGCTCTATTTATTTTCCCCCCTTTAGTAGCATTATTGTATACATATTACAACTATTAATATCACAAACAGAACAATATATTGCTATAGTTATTAGCTCATTATCTGTAGTCATTTCCTTAGCTTAATACAGCTTTGCTGTCACCTACCTCCTTTGTGTGGCTATTGGCAAATATATTACACATATACAGATGTTCCTTGACTTATGATGGAGTTACATCCTGATAAACCCACTGTAATTTAAAAATATCAAGTGAAAAATGCATTTAATATGCCTAACCTACCAAACATCATAGTTTAGTCTAGCCTACCTTAGCCATGCTCAGAACACTTACATTAGCCTACAGTTGGGCAAAATCATCTAACACAAAGCCTATTTTACAATAAGGTGTTGAATAGCTCAAGTAATGTATTAAATATAGTATATTATATAGTATCAATTGTTCACCTTTGTGATTGCATGACTAAGTGGGAGCCGCTCATTGCCACCTCCCAGCATCACAAGAGAGTATCATAGCATACATTGCTAGCACACAAAAATATCAAAATTTAAAATTCAGTGTATAATTTCCACTGAGTATATATCACTTTCACACCAACATAAAGTTGAAAAATTGTAAGTCGAACAATTGTAAGTTGAGGACTGTCTGTGTCATGTTTTGTCGTATGTTATAGGCCCAACAATGTATTAGATACACATATTTTATACAGTTGTTTTAAAATCAGTTGGAAGCAAAATAAATATACATTTATAGTGTCTTCTACCGTTACATAATTGCCTTTCTGGTGCTGTTTGTTTTTTCACATGGATTCAAATTACAATCTGGAGTCACTTGCTTTCAGCCTGAGGAATTTCCTTTAGTTTTTCTAGTAAGGCGGGTCTGTTAGCAATGAATTCTCTCACTTTTTATCTTGGAAAGTATTTCATCTTCTTATTGGAAAGATAGCTTTTCTGGTTAAAAATTCTTGGTTAACACTTTTTTTTCTTTGAGTACCTTGAATATGTCATCCCACTGCCTTCTGGCTTCCATTGTTTCTGCTGAGAAATAGGCTGTTATATTAATGGGGTCCACTTGAAACTGATGAGTCATATTTCTTTTCTGCTTTCAAGATCTCCTGCTTCTTTTTGAATTCCAATATTTTTTATTATGAGGTGTCCATTTGTGGATGTCTGCATTTATCCCACTTGGAATTATTGTGCTTAATGAATGTGTAGGCTATTGCCATTATTTCTCTGAATATTTTTTCTGGCCCCTTTTTCTCTCTCTTCTTCTGGTATGCCCATTATGTGTAGATTGGTGCACTTAACAGTGTCCCACATTTCTCTGAGGCCCTGTATATTTTTCTTCATTCTTAATTTTTCTCTATGCTTCAAGTTGCATAATCTTAATCTATTTTCAAGTTCACAGATTCTTTCTTTTGCCAGTTTAAACCTACTATTGAGAATTCTCTCTAGATAAATTCCCTCTGGAAAATTTCTCATTTCAGCTGTACTTTTCAACTCCACATTCCCATTTAGTTGTTTTTAATTATTTCTATCTTTTTAAATATATTCCCTATTTGCTATAATATTGCCATCATTCCTTTTATTCCTTTACTTCTTTTTAACCTTTTCTTTGATTGTGGTAACAAACACATACCATGAAATTTGCCATCTTAAATATTTTCTTTTCTTTTCTTTCTTTCTTTCTTTCTTTCTTTCTTTTTTTTTTTTTTTTTTTTTTTTTTTTTTTTTTTTTTTTTTGAGACAGAGTCTCACTCTGTCACCCAGGCTGGAGTGCGGTGGCATGATCTCAGCTCACTACAACCTCCTCCTCCTCCTCCCAGGTCCGAGTGATTTCCCCTGCCTCAGCCTCCCAAGTAGCTGGGACTACAGGCATGAGCCACCATGCCTGGCTAATTTTTTTTAAATTATACTTTAAGTTCTAGGGTACATGTGCACAATGTGCAGGTTTGTTACATATGTATACATGTGCCATGTTGGTTTGCTGCACCCATCGACTCATCCTTTACATAAGGTATTTCTCCTGACGCTATCCCTCCCCTAGGCCCCCATCCCCTGACAGGCCCTGGTGTGTGATGTTCCCTGCCCTGTGTCCAAGTGTTCTCATTGTTCAATTCCCACCTATGAGGGAGAATATGAGGTGTTTGGTTTTCTGTCTTTGGGATAGTTTGCTGAGAATGATGGTTTCTGGCTTTATCTGTGTCCCTGCAAAGAACAGGAACTCATCCTTTTTTATTATGGCTGCATAGTATTCCATGGTGTATACATGCCACATTTTCTTAATCTAGTCTATCATTGATGGACATTTGGGTTGGTTCTAAGTCTTTGCTATTGTCAATAGTGCTGCAATAAACATAAGTGTGCTTGTGTCTTTATAGTAGCATGATATATAATCCTTTGGGTATATACCCAGTAATGGGATTGCTGAGTCAAGTGGTATTTCTAGCTCTAGATCCTTGAGGAATTGCCACACTGTCTTCCACAATGGTTGAACTAGTTTACACTCCCACCAACAGTTTAAAAGTGTTCTTATTTCTCCTTCTTAGGTATTTTATTCTCTTTGTAGCAATTATGAATGGGAGCTCACTCATGATTTGGCTCCCTGTTTGTCTGTTATTGGTGTACAGGAATGCTTGTGATTTTTGCACATTGATTTTGTATGCTGAAACTTTGCTGAAGTTGCTTATCAGCTTAAGGAGATTTTGGGCTGAGATGTTGGGGTTTTCTAAATATGCAATCATATCATCTGCAAAGAGGGACAATTTGATTTCATCTTTTCCTAATTGAATACACTTTATTTCTTTCTCTTGCCTGATTGCCCTGGCCAGAACTTCCAACACTATGTTGAATAGGAGTGGTGAGAGAGGGAATCCTTGTCTTGTGCCAGTTTTCAAAGGGAATGCTTCCAGTTTTTGCCCATTCAGTATGATATTGGCTGTGGGTTTGTCATAAATAGCTGTTATTATTTTGAGATACGTTCCATCAATACCTAATTTATTGAGAGTTTTTAGCATGAAGGGCTGTTGAATTTTGTCAAAGGCCTTTTCTGCATCTATTGAGATAATCATGTGGTTTTTGTCTTTGGTTCTGTTTATGTGATGGATTACGTTTATTGATTTGCCTATGTTGAACCAGCCTTGCATCCCAGGGATGAAGCCAAATTGATCTTGGTGGGTAAGCTTTTTGATGTGCTGCCGCATTCAGTTTGCCAGTATTTTATTGAGGATTTTTGCATCGATGTTCATGAGGGATATTGATCTAAAATTTTCTTTTTGTGTGTGTCTCTGCCAGGCTTAGGTATCAGGATGATGCTGGCCTCATAAAATGAGTTGGGGAGGATTCTTTCTTTTTTTATTGATTGGAATAATTTCAGAAGAAATGATACTAGCTCCTTTTCATACCTCTGGTAGAATTCGGCTGTGAATCCATCTGGTCCTGGACTTTTTTTGGTTGGTAGGCTATTAATTATTGCCTCAATTTCAGAGCCTGTTATTTGTCTATTCAGAGATTCAACTTCTTCCTGGTTTAGTCTTTGGAGGGTGTATGAGTCCAAGAATTTATCCATTTTTTCTAGATTTTCTAGTTTATTTGCATAGAGGTGTATTCTCTGATGGTAGATTGTATTTCTGTGGGATTGGTAGTGATATCCCCTTTACCATTTTTTATTGCATCTATTTGATTCTTCAGCTTTTCTTCTTCCAGTTTTTATTCTTATTAGTTTTGCTAGCAGTCTATCTATTTTGTTGATCTTTTCAAAAAACCACCTCCTGGATTCATTGATTTTTTGATGTTTTTTTTTTTTGGTCTCTATTTCCTTCAGTTCTGCTCTGATCTTAGTTACTTCTTGCCTTCTGCTAGCTTTTGAATCTGTTTGCTCTTGCTTATCTAGTTCTTTTAATTGTGATGTTAGGATATTGATTTTAGATCTTTCCTGCTTTCTCTTGTGGGCATTGAGTGCTATGAATTTCCCTCTACACACTGCTGTGTAGGGAAAAGAAAGAGAGATCAGACTGTTACTGTGTCTATGTAGAAAAGAAAGACATAAGAGACTCCATTTTGAAAAAGACCTGTACTTTAAACAATTGCTTTGCTGAGATGTTAGTAATTTGTAGCTTTGCCCCAGCCACTTTGCCCCAGCCACTTTGACTCAACCTGGAGCTCACAAAAACATGTGTTGTATGAAATCAAGGTTTAAGGGATCTAGGGCTGTGCAGGACGTGCCTTGTTAACAAAATGTTTACAAGCAGTATACTTGGTAAAAGTCATCACCATTCTCTAGTCTCAATAAACCAGGGGCACAATGCACTGCAGAAAGCCACAGGGACCTCTGCCCTTGAAAGCTGGGTATTGTCCAAGGTTTCTCTCCATGTGATAGTCTGAAATATGGCCTCATGGGATGAGAAAGACCTGACCGTCTCCCAGCCTGACACCCGTAAAGGGTCTGTGCTGAGGTGGATTAGTAAGAGGAAAGCCTCTTGCAGCTGAGATAGAGGAAGGCCACTGTCTCCTGCCTGCCCCTGGGAACTGAATGTCTTGGTATAAAACCCGATTGTACATTTGTTCAATTCTGAGATGAGAGAAAAACCGCCCTATGGTGGGAGGCGAGACATGTTTGCAGCAATGCTGCCTTGTCATTCTTTACTCCACTGAAATGTTTGGGTGGAGAGAAACATAAATCTGTCTTACACGCATGTCCAGTCATAGTACCTTCCCTTGAACTTAATTATGACATAGATTCTATTGCTCACATGTTTGTTGCTGACCTTCTCCTTATTATCACCCTGCCCTCCTACTACATTCCTTTTTGCTGAAATAATGAAGATAATAATCAATAAAAACTGAGGGAACTCAGAGACCAGTGCCGGTGCAGGTCCTTGGTATGCTGAGCACCAGTCCCCTGGGCCCACTGTTGTTTCTCTATACTTTGTCTCTGTGTCTTATTTCTTTTCTTAGTCTCTCGTCCCAACCCGACTAGAAATACCCACAGGTGTGGAGGGGCAGGCCACCCCTTCACTGCTGTAAATGTGTCCCAGAGATTCTGGTATATTGTGTCTTTCTTCTCGTTGGTTTCAAAGAACATCTTTATTTCTGCCTTCATTTCGTTATTTGCCCAGTAGTCATTCAGGAGCAGGTTGTTCAGTTTCCATGTAGTTGTGTGGTTTTGAGTGAGTTTCTTACTCCTGAGTTCTAATTTGATTGCACTGTTGACTGAGAGACAGTTTGTTGTGATTTCTGTTCTTTTACATTTGCTGAGGAGTGCTTTACTTCCAATTATGTGGTCAATTTTAGAATAAGTGTGATGTGGTGCTGAGAAGAATGTATATTCTGTTGATTTGGGGTGGAGAATTCTGTAGATGTCTATTAGGTCTGCTTGGTGCAGAGCAGAGTTCAGGTCCTGGATATCCTTCTTGACCTTCTGTCTCATTGTTCTGTCTAATATTGACAGTGGGGTGTTAAAGTCTCCCATTATTATTGTGTGGGAATCTAAGTCTCTTTGTAGGTCTCTAAGGACTTGCTTTATGAATCTGGATGCTCCTATATTGGTTGCATATATATTTAGGATCGTTAGCTCTTCTTGTTGAATTGATCCCTTTACCATTATGTAATGGCCTTCTTTGTCTCTTATGATCTTTGTTGGTTTAAAGTCTGTTTTCTCAGAGACTAAGATTGCAACCCCTGCATTTGCTTGCAACCTCCATTTGCTTGGTAGATCTTCCTCCATCCCTTTATTTTGAGCCTATGTTTGTCTCCACATGAGATGGGTCCCTGAATATAGCACACTGATGGCTCTTGACTCTCCAATTTGCCAGTCTGTGTCTTTTAATTGGAGCATTTAGCCCATTTACATTTCATGTTAATAGTGTTATGTGTGAATTTGATCCTGTCATTATGATGTTAGCTGGTTATTTTGCCTGTTACTTGATGCAGTTTCTTCCTAGCATCGATGGTCTTTACAATTTGGCATGGTTTTGCGGTGGCTGGTACTGGTTGTTCCTTTCCATGTTTAGTGCTTCCTTCAGGAGCTCTTGTAAGGCAGGCCTGGTGGTGACAAAATCTCTCAGCTTTTGCTTGTCTGTAAAGTATTTTATTTCTCCTTCACTCCTGATGCTTAGTTTGGCTGGATATGAAATTCTGGGTTGAAAATTCTTTTCTTTAACAATGTTGAATATTGGCCCCACTCTCTTCTGGCTTGTAGAGTTTCTGCTGAGAGATCAGCTGTTACTCTGATGGGCTTCCCTTTGTGGGTAACCCAACCTTTCTCTCTTGCTGCCCTTAACATTTTTTCCTTCATTTCAACTTTGGTGAATCTGACAATTATGTGTCTTGGAGTTGCTCTTCTCAAGGAGTATCTTTGTGGCATTCTCTGTATTTCCTGAATTTGAATGTTGGCCTGCCTTGCTAGATTGGGGAAGTTCTCCTGGATAATATCCTGCAGAGTGTTTTCCAACTTGGTTCCATTCTCCCTGTCAGTTTCAAGTACACCAATCAGACATAGATTTGGTCTTTTCACATAGTCCCTTATTTCTTGGAGGCTTTGTTCATTTCTTTTTATTCTTTTTCTCTAATCTTCTCTTCTCCCTTTATTTCATTCATTTGATCTTCCATCACTGATACCTTTTCTTCCAGTTGATCAAATCGACTACTGAGACTTGTGCATTTGTCACATAGATCTCTTGCTGTGGTTTTCATCTCCATCAGGTCCTTTAAGGACTTCTCTGCATTGGTTACTCTAGTTAGCTATTTGTCTAATCTTTTTTCAAGGTTTTTAACTTCTTTGCCTTGGGTTCAAACTTCCTCTTTTAGCTCGGAGAAGTTTGATTGTCTGAAGCCTTCTTCTCTCAACTCAACAAAGTCATTCTCCATCCAGCTTTGTTCCATTGCTGGTGAGGAGCTGCATTCCTTTGGAGGAGGAGAGGCGTTCTTATTTTTAGAATTTTAAGTTTTTCTGCTCTGTTTTTTCCCCATCTTTGCAGTTTTATCTACCTTTGGTCTTTGATGATGGTGATGTACAGATGGGGTTTTGGTGTGGATGTCCTTTCTGTTTGTTAGTTTTCCTTCTAACAGTCAGGACCCTCAGTTGCAGGTCTGTTGGAGTTTGCTGGAGGTCCACTCCACACCCTGTTTGCCTGGGTATCAGCAGCGGAGGCTGCAGAACAGTGAATATTGGTGAACAGCAAATGTTGCTGCCTGATCATTCTTCTGGAAGTTTTATCTCAGAGGAGTACCCGGCTGTGTGAGGTGTCAATCTGCCCCTTACTGGGGGATGCCTTCCAGTTAGGCTACTCAGGGGTCAGGGACCCACTTGAGGAGGCAGTCTGTCTGTTCTCAGATCTCCAGCTGCGTGCTGGGAGAACCACTACTCTCTCCAAAGCTGTCAGACAGGGACATTTAAGTCTGCAGAGTTTTCTGCTGCCTTTTGTTTGGCTATGCCCTGCCCCTAGAGGGTGGAGTCTACAGAGGCAGGCAGGCCTCCTTGAGCTGCGGTGGGCTCCACCCAGTTCGAGCTTCCTGGCCACTTTGTTTACCTACTCAAGCCTCAGCAATGGCAGGCGCCCCTCCCCCAGCCTCACTGCTGTCTTGCAGTTTGGTCTTAGACTGCTGTGCTAGCAATCAGCAAGGCTCTGTGGGCATAGGACCCTCTGAGCCAGTCACGGGATCTGATCCCCTGGTGTGCCATTTGCTAAGACCGTTAGAAAAGTGCAGTATTAGGGTGGAAGTGACCCGATTTTCCAGGTGCCATCTGTCACCCATTTTCTTTGGCTAGGAAAGGGAATTCCCTGACCCCTTGCACTTCCTGGGTGAGGCGATGCCTTGCCCTGCTTTGGCTCACGCTCTGTGCACTGCACCCACTGTCCTGCACCCACTGTCTGACAATGCCCCATGAGATGAACCTGGTACCTCAGTTGGAAATGCAGAAATCATTCGTCTTCTGCGTCACTCACACTGGGAGCTGTAGACTGGAGCTTTTCCTAATTGGCCATCTTGGCTAGACTCTCCCCCATTTCTTGTATCTTCATATACCTAGTAATTTGAGATTTCATCCTGGATATTACAAGTGATAAGTTGGAGAGACCATGGATTCCATTATGTTCTGTTGAAAAATACTGATTTTGGTTGTTTGTTTAATTTGGAAAGCAGTTAACCTGGCTAATCTCAAACCCTCAGCTCTGAAATCTCAATTAAGTTCCTTTAGCCTTAGCAGGGTACCTGGAGTTCTCCAGCAAATAAGTAGTTCAACAATTGGTCAGAAATTTGGACAGAGTTTATTTACAGAATTTGGGGCTCCCCCTCTCTGGCTCTTTCCTTTTTGCAATTCTACCACCACTATCAGTAGATGCTATAATCACCTTGAATTCTGTCCTCTGGTTCTTGAAGTCAAAAAAATTAAAACATCTCTATCTGGGATTAAGCCACCCCACAAGGCACTTTCCAGGGTCTGCCTTTAGGCCGAAAGCATTAAAAAAAACACCCAAAATAGGAAACCTGCTTCATCCAACCCCCTTCAGTATCTGCTGCTTTCGTTCACTCTCCAGTAATTTCAGAGAACTGGGTTCTTAAAAATGTTTTCTTCAGAGTTAATAGCTGTTATTCACAGGATGCTTGATCCAATAGAAGCTACTCAAACATTACCAGAAGAAACTCTCCAGACACTTGGATACTGACACCTTCGCCCTGTGATTTAAAAAGTTGTTCATCCCTGTCATCTACCCAACTTCTTTCCTACCTCTCTACTCTAAGCCCTGACATTCTACTGGTAGGGAAGCCCTTTATGGCCAGGAATGTGAGCTATCCAAACACTCAGGAAGAAAGAATCTTGACTTTCCTCTCTTCTTTGACCTTCTTCACTCTATTTCAGCCAATACTTCCACAGGCCCACCTTTATCCTTGTCATCACTCTGAAATATGAAACACAGACATTTCACTCTCCGCCCACAACATCTAGTTTCCCAACTCCTGCACTGTCTCACTGCCAATGGCCTGAGGGGTATACCAGCTGACCGTATCTTTGGTTAATCTTCCAAAGAATGCAAAAACTAGAAGTTGAAGTCTCCCTCCTATTAAAAGACTTTTTTTCCCCCTGACATTTTGGAATCTTTTGTTATGTGCTTACAGGGAAGTTTTTCAAGAACCACAGGAGATTAGGGGCAATTTTCTGATGTTTCATAAAGAAAACAGGTGGGGCTTGGCAGTCCAGGGTGGTGGTTGACAGCATGGACTTGACAGTCACACAAGGCCGTACTCCAGCTCTACCCTCATTCATTGTAGAACCCAAAGCAAGGGACTTCCAATTTTGGGAGCCTTATCCAACTCATTTGCAAAATGAAGATGATAAAACCAACCTCACAGGCTTACAGTGCAGCGTGTAATTAAGATCATGCTCATAAAAAGCTTCACATGGTTTTTTTTTTTAGAAGAGAAATGGATCTGGGCTAGGGATATTTTTGAATCCAGACACAGAGAGGTACAGGCAAATACCACATGTTCATGTGTACACAACAGGGCCCACATGCCTGCATACAGACACCAAAATGTATGCATAAAACATCCAAACACTTATATGTAGTCACCCAGTTGTGCATGAATCCACACAAATGTGAACATGCAGCCATACATCAGGTTGGACAAAGAAATGCACGTCATAGGTACCCCCCAAGTGGCATAACACAAAGCATGCACTCAGGCTACATGCACAGACAGACAGAGACTGGCAAACATTCAGGAAAGGTGGCAGGAACACACATGCACCTCATCAGGTACTCACAAAGATGTGCATGTGTAGACATAAGTTGGAATGGATGCCCACTTATCAAGCACAAACACACACTCCACAAAGCCTGGTGCATGCATAAATTCATCTGTCAACAGGGACATGCTGAAACATACATGCACACAGGAACCTCAAACATGCACTCAGACTGACACACACACAGACAGACGTATAAATAAGGATAAACATGGCAGAGGCATCTAGGAGAAACCACTGGACAAAATCATGCAAAGTTGCAAAGTTGCAGGAGCACACAGGGCAGTTAAGGGTAAGGTTGACTTGCAGGGAACGAGAAAGAGGAAGACAGAAAGACAAGATCAGAGAAAACGGGAGAGAGACAGGTGAGCAAAGTCCTGTGCAGGGCTCCAGGCCCATCCAGAGTAATCTGAGGGCCTAACACTGGCCTTTCTTCCTGCGGATACTGCTTAACTCAGCGCCATGCTCTAGGAGGCAGCCTAAGTTCAATTTCCTATTCACAGCTTCATGGGTAAGGCTTGGCTATGCTAAGGAAGGGATGTGGAGAGAGGTTCCCAAAAAACTCTGTCTCCCTTCCCCCTTCTCAAAGGAAAAGTTTTGATAACGTTAGAGCAGAGAATTGTAAAAGCCAGGAGGGGGCTTAGAGAACATCTCGTCCATTCTCTTCAACATACAGATGAATAAAAACAGCTAATATTCATTGAGCACTTACATGTACCTCCCCTGCTTTGACCCATATACTTCTCACCTAAATAGCTGAAGAGCTAGGAGCTGTTTTTGGCTCCATAAGGTTCAGAGAGACGAAGTCAGCTGTTCAAGGTCACACAACAAAGACGGGATAAGGTTTGGATTCCAATCCATGCCTTAACCTTGCTCTTAACCACTGTACCATCCATCCAGAAAGGCAAACAGAGGCCCAGCAATGGAAAGGGATTTTCCTGGGTTCACCACTAACTCACTCTGAAAGCCTGTACCCGCACCGCCACTGGGACAAGTCCCTCCCACTTAATTTCAGACACCGTTCTCTTACTCCACACTTCAGAGTAATCAACAAGGCCAAAATTGCTTGAACTCTATGTCCCCAAATACTAGAGTTCTCCCAACCTGACTCTCCCCACCCCCACCCTGGCCAGGTCATGGCAGCCTGTCTGAACACTCAGTGCCCTTCCTAGTGCCAAACTCACTGAGAAACAAACTCTCCAAATTTCTACCTCTCTCCTTTTTAAGAAACAAGGGAGAAGAGGAAGGACCCAGGCTTGTGGCCAGCCCAAGTGCAGGCTGGTGACCAGGATTAGATGGATTGATGTCTGCCCAGCTGGTGCTAATCCTCCTTCCCACCTCTTCCCCCACAAAATCAATAAACAGCTTTCCTCTCTCTGCTTTGTTCTCTGCTCTTTGATTCCTCCACACAGGTCTCAGAGCTCAACAGCCAATTTGAGCCAGTTAGAGCCAGTCCTGGGAGTGTCAACCTCACCCACATCCACTTGTCCAAATTTGGTGACCTAGAGGAGAGGTGCAACCCTGGAAGGACCAACCATCAGAGCCTGTCCTGTGGCCATCTGGGGCCCCTCTCAGGATCTGGCTGAGGCTCATCTCAGACCCACATAGGACCAATATCAGCACCTGCCTCATGCTCATGTCACAGCCCACTGGGACCAACCTCAGACCCTATATGGTGCCATTCTTACGCCCTCCTGAAGCAGGACACACTTATGCCCTCAATGAAACCTGAAACAACACACAGAGCCCTCTTGGCACCAAACATGACTTCAATATTCTCCTGGTATCAAGTTCAGTACCAACTTGTTTCCCATCCTCGCATACACCTGGGGGCAGTCCCAAAGCCAACACGATGCCTTTCCCTCCCTGAACACACCTGATGCTGATATCAGAACCCGCCAATGTCATCAGTGTGTCCACTGCTGATGCCAGTCTCAGCACTCACCTCCTGCTAAGCCTGGCCTGCACTTGACTCCCAGGGTGATCTAGGCCAGTCAATGACGGGGGATGAGAAGAAAGTTCACATCCCAGCTCCCTCACTTATTCCCTGTGTGACCTCACTCAAGAGGATTTATGGAGTCTAGATCTGCTCATCTTCAAAATGAGGATGATCATGATGAACAAACCTCACTGTTACAAAGATTCGACCAGATCATACACACCTAGACTTAATCTTCCCATATACGACCATGCTCACCAAAGGGTAACTGCCCCGTTTACTAAGGAAGAATTTCCCTGAGGGAAGGACAGGAGGGCTACTCATCCCTTCTCCACTCACACCCACCCCAGGATCTACCTCTGTGCCTAACACTGGAGTTTACCCCAATCTCTTCTGCGATTGTTCCCTCTGCCTGCTAATAGTAGTAGCCCCTGACAAAGCAGGAATCGCCCTTAAAGGAGACTTAACTCACCCTCAAATATGATCTTTTCCTAAATACTCCCTTTCTACTGGTGGGAAAACCAAATCCAGAAAGGGGAACTAAGTACTCAGAGCAGGAGAGATGGGAGTTCAGGGCCACTCATGCATGTCCCCTGCCTACTGTCTGTTTTCTGTCCTCTGTAGACCCTTATATAAAATGAGAAAGATAAACAACAATCATAATATTAATAGGGATGATACAATCAATCTAGTGGGTTTCCCTAAGGATCTGGGTTGGAAACCAGTGGAGGTCTTTGTAAATTACAACCCTTGGGACACTTGAGCTTTTTCCACCATTTGGGGGTTGTTGTTACTATTTCTCCAGACCTGGCCAATCCCTCTGCCAACTGATAACACAAGGTACTCTTCTCCAGGTGTGTGGAAATTTCCCTTGAAATATGGCTCTGGTCTTCCACCCCTTTGCCAACCAGAGATGGTCAGTGGAGTTTCCATGGCACCCATCCTGGCCTCACTCTGAGGTTCCAGTGAGGATTCCGGGCATCAAGAGACAGCTCTGGGCAAAAGCAAAATCAAGTCAGCCCCTGGGCCCAGTGCTGGGCTGCTGGGCTTTCTGGGACGACCTACTGGGCTTGCTACACACTCCTCCTCCCAGAAACTCCACACCCACAGCCCTGGGTCTTCCTAGCCCCAAGACTCTCAAGTCCATATGCCTGGAATCCCCCCTCCTGAGACCCTTAACCCTGCATCCTCCACAACAGAAGACCCCCAGATGCACAGCCACACTTCCATCTCACCCTAATAAAACCCAGACCTTTGCATTCTTCTCCTCGGAACCCCCAAATCCACAATTTTGGGGTGCATTCTCACTCCCAGATCCCAAATCCAAAGCCCAAGTGCTCCCCTATGCAAATATTCCCAACTCCTTTGTTCTACAGCTTATCTGTTGCCCGCTCCTAAATCCACAGCCCTGGGGCACCCCTCCTGAGGTACCACAGATTTAGTCGGGAGGTACCCTCTCTGTTCAGCTTCCCTGGGGTCCCCCTCCTCCTCCTTTGCTGGTTGTGTCCAAAGCTAGGTGGGGTTCACGGAGAGGATGTAGTTGGGAGGTGAAATGAGGTGATTTTATAACCAGCCAAAGTCCACCCCTTTTTTTCAGGCAGTATAAAGGCAAACCACCCCAGCCGTCACCATCTATCATTCCACTGCCACCATGCTGGCCTCAGGGCTGCTTCTGGTGGCCTTGCTGGCCAGCCTGACTGTGATGGTCTTGATGTCAGTCTGGCAGCAGAGGAAGAGCAGGGGGAAGCTGCCTTTGGGACCCACCCCATTGCTCTTTATTGGAAACTACCTGCAGCTGAACACAGAGCACATATGTGACTCCATCATGAAGGTGTCCCAAGGCAGGGAGATGGGTGGCACGGGGTGGGGGCTGCCCAGTTGGCTGAGGCTTTGTGGCAGGGGATTGACCAGTGTGGACCAGAGTCTTAGGAAAGGGAGTTTTGGAGTTTCAGCATCAGGGTCCTAGGCTGGAAAGACAGGATCTTGGGATGTCCAGCTCCCTGACTGTGAGAACCTGGGGGCAAAACATCCCAGTACATGATATCTCGGTGCTGCGCCCATTCAGAGTGGGGGCTGCTCCCTCTAACCACTCCCACCTGCCTCCATCAGATCAGTGAGCGCTATGGCCCCGTGTTCACCATTCACCTGGGGCCCCGGCGGGTCGTGGTGCTGTGCGGACATGATGCCGTCAAGGAGGCTCTGGTGGACCAGGCTGAGGAGTTCAGCGGGCGAGGCGAGCAGGCCACCTTCGACTGGCTCTTCAAAGGCTATGGTGAGGGGGTGCCCAAGAGGGGGAAGGTGGCCAGGCCGACTCGATGGCCTCCGTGTCCCCAGCCTTCTCCCTGACTCTCCTGCCCACTGAAGGCTGCGGCAGAGCCCCCTGTCTGGCCTTCGCTCCCCAGCTCCCTTCATTGCGGCCTCTCCCTCTTGCCTGTCTCCAGCATCCCTGTCCCTGTCCCTGTCCAGATTTCTCCCTGCCTCTCTCACTGGAGTCTCCTCTTTCCCCATCTCTGAGGACAATCCTGGGTTTCTGTTTTCCAACCCTGGTTCTCTGTCTTCATTTGTCTTTTTGTCCTTCTCAGCTTCTGTGCTTCTCTGAGTTTCTCCTCTGTCCACTGACCTCTCCTTCTTCTTCCTCTGTCTTAGGATTTCGCGGTATTCCTACTTCCACATCTCCAGCCTCCTCTCCTGATAACAGTCTCTCCTCCTTCCCGACCGTCTCTGTTTCTCTTTCCGTAGTTTTCTGTCTTCACCAGCTCAGCTTAGGAGTCTTTCACCATTTTTACGCTTGAACCTGGAAGGTGGAGGTTGCAGCGAGCGGCCAAGATGGCGACAATGCACTTCAGCCTGGGCGACAGAGCGAGAATCCGTCTCAAAAACAAATAAACAAACATACAAACAAAAAAGACTCTTTCACCATTTTTATTTTCTCCTCGCAGATCTCCCCATACCTCACTTCCCCCCCTTCCATCATCTTCTCCCATCTCTGTCTTTTTCTCTCCCTCCTTCCCTCCCTATGCTCCATGGAGTGTCCCGTCTCCCTCTGTTCTGCTGTGCATCTGTCTGTCTGGCCTGTCTCTTTTCTGATCCTCTTGTTCCTGTTCGGTCTCTGTTTCTCTCTGTGTTTCTCTGACTGAGTTTGCAGTTCTCCTGCGCGAGGCTTCTGTGCCTGTTCCCACGGCCTGACCTCTCCCCACCCCTGCGTTCCTCTCCCAGGAGTGACCTGCCGCACCTGGGAGCGCACCAAGCCGCTCAGGCGCTTCTCCATCGCCACCCTGCGGGACTTCGGGGTGGGCAAGCGCGGCATCAAGGAGGTATCCAGGAGAAGGCGGGCTTCCTCATCAAGGCCGTCTAGGGCACGCGCGGTGAGCAGAACACCCCGAGTGTGGAGGCGGGAGAAGGAAAACGCCCAGGGCGAGGAACCCGCGCGCGTTCTGTCTGGGGACCGGGCCTTGGTGGGGAAAGGCGCCCGCGCTCCCAGCCCTGTAGTCTGGCGCTGGGAATGTGGCTCATCAGGGCAGTGCCTCCTGGAATTCTCAGACTAGCATCAGAGCTCTGAGTTGACTCTCTTCCCAACCCCCTTCTCCCCCAATACACCGCCACACCCGCAAGCTCCAGCATCTATCCCACCTTCTTCCTAAGCCGTACCACCTCCAATGTCATCAGCTCCATTGTCTTTGGGGACCGCTTTGACTATGAGGACAAAAGTTCCTGTCACTGCTGTGCATGATGCTGGAAAGCTTCCAGTTCACGGCACCCTCCACGGGGCAGGTAACCGGCTGCAGCCTGGCTGTCACGCCCCTACCACAACCTGCCAACTGCTCCCCTACATGGGGACAGGTGCCCCAAACTCCCACCCCCCTCCAGACAGTGTCCCCTCAAAATCAGCCCCCAATATTGGACAACCGGAAAGTTGCACCAGAACCCAGGATGGGTGCCCAATACCCAGTCTCCAAGGACACCTGGATAGCTCAACAGATGATCCCCAAAACAGAGCCTGAAGGCAGGATGCATACCCTCAGCTCAGCTCTCTCACCTGGGCACATGTTCCCATCCCCAACTTACCATAATTTCTAACAGATGCTCCCTACCCAGTTCTTCTGAATATTTTAACACCTGGACAAGTGACTGCCTCAACCCGCCTCCTGCATACCTGAACACCTGGTGCTGCAAAATCCAGCCCATCATAATCATTTCACATCTACACAAATGTCCCAGATTAGCCCACTGGAATATCTGGCCAAGCGCCCTCTACTTCACCCACTTAAATACCTGAAAACATGGACAGGTGCCCTAACCAATACCCTAAACACATAAATATCTAGACAGATTATTCCCCAGACACCCAAATAAGTGTTCCCCAACCCTTTCCAATCACACACCTTACAGAGGTGCCCCCAGTGCATCCCACTTGGATAGGTAAACACCTCAACAGGTATCCCCTCCTCTTCAACATCTTCACCAGCCCCACTTTAATACCTGAACATCTGAACAAAAGCCCCCAATCCAGACCCAATAAGTATCTCGGTAGTTGTCTTCAACCAGGCCCACCTGAATGCCTACATACCTAGACAGGTGACACTCCCCTCATACCAGCCCCGTCTGAGTAGCTAAACAGTTGAACAGGTGTTTTCCAACACATCCTGCCTTGAATGTCTGAACACCTAGCTGTGCGCTCCAATCCACCTTCATTGAAACCTGGATGTGTGCCTCAGTCCATGTTACCTAAATTTCTGGACAGTAGCCTTCTCACTTAACCCTCATGAAGACTTACATATATGTTCCCATCCAGCCCCACTGAAATACCTAAACACCTGGGCAGGTAGGTGCCTTTAACCCAGTGCCTTTCTTGCTCTGACACAGGTCCCATTCCCATCAGTTCCTGCCTCCTGACAGCGGTCCTTCCCTTCCCATCCTCTCTCTGCAACCCCAGCTCTATGAGATGTTCTCTTCGGTGATGAAACACCTGCCAGGACCACAGCAACAGGCCTTTAAGGAGCTGCAAGGGCTGGAGGACTTCATTGCCAAGAAAGTGGAGCACAACCAGTGCACGCTGGATCCCAATTCCCCACGGGACTTCATTGACTCGTTTCTCATCCGCATGCAAGGGGTACACCCCAGCAGCCAATGGGAGGAGCTGCAAAGCCAGGCAGAGGGAAATCAGGCTGGCAGTGGGGAGGGCAGACAACACAGGCCCATTCAAATTAGCCCCTGTCATAATAATCCTCACAATCCCAACTATATCAACCATCGCTGTTCCATCTACTGAGCCCTCACCCACAGGCAGGACCTGTGCACGTGAATTAAAATAGCAAGCACTTCTACAGAACTACCATGTGCCAGGCACTGCATTAAGTGCTTTAAGATAGTATCCCCTATAGCACTCACAACAGCTCTTGAAGGAGGTTCAATCACGGCCTCAATTTTACAAATGAGGAAACTGAGGCCCAAAGAGTATAAGTGGCTTACCTGAGGTCACACAGAGAGGAAGCTGAGGTCCCCCAAGCTCAAATCCTGGTCTCTCTGAGTCTAAGGCTGGTGCTTTTTTTGAGACAGAGTTTCGCTTTTGTCACCCAGGCTGGAGTGAAATGGCGCAATCTCAGCTCACTGCAACCTCTGCCTCCTGGGTTCAAGTGATTCTCCTGCTTCGGCCTCCCAAGTAGCTGGGATTACAGGTGCCCACCACCACACCAAGCTAATTTTTGTATGTTTAGTAGAGATGGAGTTTCACCATGTTGGCCAGGCAGGTCTTGAACTCCTGACCTCAGGTGATCCAAGGGCTGGTGCTTTTAGCCACCACACTCTCTAACCTATCATGCCCTGGTTATCAGACACACCTCTGTGGACAGGTGACCTGGCTTTACATTGCAGGGTCCCCACCTCCATCTGGATGTCAGTTTCTCATGTGGGAAGGCTTAAGAGAGTCTGAAGCTCAGGGATAAAGGATCGAGCTCACACCAGCAGGGGCCTCCCTCACCCACCTCCTGCTCACACCAGCAGGGGCCTCCCTTACCCACCTCCCCTCTCTGAGGTGTAGCCTAGTATTTCTCCAGCTTGGAAGTTCCTGTTAGAATCTACCCTTGAGCCACCAGCTGATACTCCCTTAACTACAAAGCACCCAGTACCTGCGCCCAGGCAAAAGGGAAGGAAACATCATACCCCTTTCAGAGGCAGGGAAAACCAAGGCCCAGAGTGAATCAGAGATTTATTCATCTAAGGTCACACAGCAGATTCTTCATATCCCTAAAAAGTAGATGACGACACAGCAGTCATATTTACGAGTGTATCTGGAGGAAGGAGCACCTAAACCTCCCATTATTTTTCTAGTACCTCTTGTGTACCAGGCCCTGACAGACCTGATCTCTTTTAATCCCAACAACAAGTCTCAGTGATAATCATTACAGCTCATTCTTACAGCACACAATGATATCCCAGACACTTTTTGCAAGTGCAAAAAGCTCTTTGCACATACCTCACCGAATCGTCAAACAGCCCCACATGAGAGGTGCTATGATGATCTCCGTTTACAGAGGCAGAAATAAGGCACATGGAGGGCTAAAGTCACTTCTCAAAGGCACCAGCAAGGAGCTGGGATTCAACATCCAGACAATCTGGCTCCAATCAGTGATATTATCTCCTTCATTCCTGAGAGACAGAAAGCTGAGAACTCTAAAGATGTGGCCCCCAGATTTGGAGAAGTGGGAGTTCTTATACAGGCATCAAAAGATCAACCAGAGGAGCCAATGAACACCCTGAAATAGTCCTGCAGCTGGGTGGCATCGTGCCCACCTAGAAAAACTCCGTGCAAGTATTTTGGACCCCTTGAAGGCTCAGCTCTTATTTATTCTACAAATATTTATTGTGAACCCTACCATGTGTCAGGCACTTGTTTCAAAGGGTGGGGGAACCCACAGGGACCAAAGCAAACCATGACAGCAGTAATACTTAAATAAATGAGAACCAGCCAGGTGCAATGGCTCACACCTGTAATCTCAGTGCTTTGGGAAGTCAAGATGGGAAGATCATTTGAGACCAAGAGTTTGAGACCAGCCTGGGCAAAATAGCAAGACTCCATCTCTCCAAAAAATTTAAAAGCCAGCCAGAGGTGGTGTCACACACCTGTAGTCACCACTAATCAGGAGGCTGAGGTGGGAGGATTGCTTGAACCCAGAAGTTGGAGGCTGCAATGAGCCATGATCATACCACTGCACTCCAGCCTTGGTGATATGGTTTGGCTGTGTCCCCACCCAAATCTCATCTAGAATTGCAGCTCCCATAATCCCCACGTGTTGTGGGAGGGACCCGGTGGGTGATCATTGAATCATAGGGGTGGTTTCCCCCATACTGTTCTCATAGTAGTGAATAAGTCTCATGAGATCTGTTGGTTTTATAAGGGGAAACCCCGTTCTCTTGGTTCTCATTCTCTCTCTTGCCAGCCACCATGTAAGACGCAACTTTTGCCTTTCAGCATGATTGTGAGGCCTCCGCAGCCATGTGGAACTGTGAGTTTATTAAACTTTTTTTCTTTATAAATTACCCAGTCTACGGTATGTCTTTATCAGCAGCATGAAAATGGACTAATACAATGGACAATAGAGCAAGACTCTGCCTCTATAAATAAATAAAGACAGACGGATAGATAGATATATGATAGATAGATAGATGATAGATAGATAGATAGATAGATAGATAGATAGATAGATAGATAGACAGGAAATAAGAACCCTGCCTTCCTAGAGCTGTCATTTTAGCAGGAGAAGGCATTATCAGAGCCAATGCCTTGTTGCTCCTGGAAGGTTCCAAGCTTGCTTTCTTACCTCTGGGTCTTTGACCTTGCTGTTCCCTCAGCTGAGAAGGCTTCTCCCCACACCTTCCCATGGCCAATTCTCAGAAGTCTTCTCAAAGGAGCCCTCTCTGACCACTCAATCTGAAGTAATCCCCATGGAACCCTTGTACACTGTTGGTGGTAATGTAAATTAATAGAGCCACTTTGAGGAACAACATGGAGTTTCCCTAAGAAAAAGAAAAAAAAAAGTAGAATAGGCCAGGTGCGGTGGCTCATGCCTGTAATCCCAGCACTTTGGGAGGCTGAGGTGGGCGAGTCATCTGAGGTCAGGAGTTCAAGACCAGCCTGGCCAACGTGGTGAAACTCCATCTCTACTAAAATTACAAAAATCATCCAAGCGTGTCGGCAGGTGCCTGTAGTCCCAGCTACTCAGGATGCTGAGGCAGGAGAATCGCTTGAACCCAGGAGGTGGAGGCTGCAGTGAGCTGAGATCATACCACTGCACTCCAGCCTGGGTGACAGAGTAAGACTCCATCTCAAAAAAAATGAATAAAGAAATAAAATAAACAAACAAAAAGAAAGAAAACCACTAAAAATAGAGCTACCACACAATCCAGCAATCCCACCGCTAAATCTATATCAAAAAAAAGGAAATCCGTATACTGAAGAGATATCTGCACTCCAGTGTATTTTGCAGCTCTGTTTGCAAGAGCCAAGTTATGGAATCAACCTAAGTGTTCATATGGTGCCCATACAGAAGGGAGTACTATTCAACCATTAAAAAAGAATGATATCCTGCTATTTGCAGCAACATGGATGGAACTGCAGGACATTATGTTAGGTGAAATAAGCCAGGCACGGAAAGGCAAACTTTGCACATTCTCACTCATTCGTGGGAGCTAAAAATTATGACAATTTAACTCATGGAGATAGAGTAGAATGATGGTTACCAGAGACTGGGAAGGGTGGAGGTGAGGGACTGGGGATGGCTAATGGGTACAAAAATAGAGTTCGATACAATGAATAAGATCTAGTTTTTGATAGCACAATAAGGTGATGGCCGTCAGCAATAATTCATTGTACTTTTGTTTGTTTGCTTGTTTATTTTTTTGAGATGGAGTCTCACTCTGTCACCCAAGCGGGACTGCAGTGGCACAATCTTGGCTTACTGCAAACTCCACCTACCAGGCTCAAGCAATTCTCCCGCTTCAGCCTCCAGAGTAGCTGGGATTACAGATGCATGCCACCATGCCTGGCTAATTTTTTTTTGTATTTTTGTAGAGACAGGGTTTCACCATGTTGCCCAGGGTGGTTTCGAACTCCTCAGCTCAGGCAATCTGTCTGCCTCAGCCTCCCAAAATACTGGGATTATAGGCATGAACCACTGTGCCCAGCCTGTGGTACATTTTAGCATAACAGAGGGAATATAACTCTAATGTAACACAAAGAAATGATGAGTGCTTGAGGTGATGGTTACCCCATTTACCATGATGTTATTATTATATGTGACTATACACTTTATGCCTGTCTACATTGTATGCCTGTGATTATACATTGTATGTCTGTATCGAAATATCTCACTTACCACATAAATATATACACCTGCTATGTAGCCACAAAGATTTTTAAAAATAAAAATAATTGCATAGACTCCTCAAACCCCAATCTCCAGTACTTTTCTTGTCTTGCTCCACCCCAGGACCACATCTCAAAGCCTCAAGTCTATCAGAATTTCACCCTCCAGTCTGTCTCCTCTCCATTTCACCTTATAAAATTCCAGAAGCTTCTGTAGTTAATATATAAGCCAGAAAGGAATTCCCAAGCTTGTCTGTGGAATCCCACCCAAAGTACGACCCCAACTGCCTTGCTGCCTGTGAGCTGTTTCCCGTCTACCCACCTCCTCCTTTTCCATCCCTTCCACACTCTCCCATCTCACCACCTGGACAGACTTCAGAAAGCCCTGTGGTTTATTTGCAAAATGCTCCCCCAGGAAGGGCAGAGGCCAGGGCCTAGGAGAGAGGCAGCCCTGGGAGGTGGGATGGCCCCAGAACCAGAGTAGCAAGAGGCCACTGGGGACAATGAGGAGTGAGAAGGCTGAGGGCACCGTGGTCCTCATTCTTCCCGCCTTCCATTCTGCTGTCGCTCTTAAAAGACATGTTGCTCTGTTTGTTATTTCTGTGGTTGGTGAGGGAATGTGTGCCATGCATTTGTACTGGCAGAGTCTCTGTTAACTCTTCAGAGGCTACAAGGAGCCCAAAGATGGCAGATGCTGCAGACGCCAAAAGGTTAGCATCTCAGGGTGGAGTCCCAGGGCCAGCTTCCCACTGGCCACAGGCTGGCTGATGTATCCTTGTGATAATGATATTAAACTTGCAGCACCTCCCTCAGGGAAGGGTGGTGGTCCTGCTGGTGGAATGTTTGGAGGCTGGATTTATTTATTTATTTATTTATGAAACGGAGTCTCACTTTGTCACCCAGGCTGGAGTGCAGTGGCGGGAACTTGGCTCACTGCAACCTCTCCCTCCTGCATTCAAGCGATCACCCTGTCTCAGCCTCCCGAGTAGATGGGACTACAGATGCACACCACCATGCCCGGGTAATTGTTGTATCTTTTTTAGTTGAAACACGGTTTTTGTATGTTGGTCAGGCTGGTCTCGAACCCCTGACTTGAAGTGATCCACCCGCGTCGGCCTCCCAAAGTGCTGGGATTATAGGCATGAGCCACCGCGTCCAGCCTGGAGGCTGGATTTAGAGTGGTTCCACTGCAAGAATAGCGCTAAGCTTTATCAAAAGGTGGCATTGCAGCACGGGGTATCGAGAGTAACTGGTAGGCAGAATGGGGGCATCCTGGGCCCTTTGGGGATGAGAATTTATTCTGGACCTCACAAGAAAGTGGGATATGGAGGAGATATAGTCTGATGGAGGAGGCCTAGCTCCATTTTGGGTGGGCTGTGGGGGTAGGGGGTGGCTGATTTAGCCACTCATTCATTCATTCCTCACCAAATATTTTGAACACCTGTCATATGCCACACGCTGTGTTGAGAGTACAGGGATGAGCAAGACAATGGTTTGGCCCTTCACAGAGTTGGCATTGAGGTGAGAGAGGCATTCTCACCAACATTCCTTCCAGAAAAATCCCTAGAGACCCGACAATAAAAGAATCACACACAAAATGGCACAGATCACCTCTTGACGTGGGGAGGTCAGGCTTTAGAGATGTTTATTTAATTCTCAGCAGATTTGAAGGAACATATCAGGGAATCCAAAGCACCAGTGCAGAATCCCACAGCTCAGGGAACCTGGGCCAAGGGGGCTTTTTGATAGACGGAAGCAGTAGGAAGAGGCAGCTGGGAATGAGGACTGGGGAAGACTACAGCAGTGTGTGACTGTGGTCTACAACAGGCATGAACCTCAAAAATAGCATTCAACATGAAAGCAACCAGACACAAAAGATCACATATTATGCCTGTAATATCAGCACTTTGGAACACTGAGGTGGGTGGATCACCTGAGGCCAGGAGCTCACCACCAGCCTGGCCAACATGTCCCTACTAAAACTACAAGAAAATTAGCCAGGCATGGTAGTACATGCCTGTAATCCCAGCTACTTGGGAGCTGAGACTGGAGAATCTCTTGATCTTGGAAGGCAGAGGTTGCAGTGAACAAAAATTGCACCATAGCACTCCAGCCTGGGAGACAGAGCAAGGCTTAGTTTCAAAAAAAAAAAAAAAATCAAATATTGTATGATTCTGTTTATGGGAAATATTCAGAATTGGTAAGTCCATAGTGACAAAAACCAGATTGACAGGGGCCGAGATGAAAAAGAGAATGGGGTATGGGGAGTGACAGCTTGATAGGTATGGGTTTTGTTGGGGGAGAGATAATGAAAACATTTGGAGCTAGGAGAATCACCTGACATCAGGAGTTCAAGACCACCTAAAAATACAAAATTTAGCCAGGCGTGGTGGGGGACGCCTGTGATACCAGCTCCTCCAGAGGCTGAGGCAGGAGAATCACTTGAACCCAGGATGTGGAGGTTGCAGTGGACAGAGATGGCACCACTGAACTCGAACCTGGGTGACAGAGTGAGACTCCATCTCAGAAAAAAAGAAAATGTTTGGAACTAGATGGTGGTGGTTGTACAGCTTTGTGAATGAACCACACGCCACTAAATTTTACACTTTAAAACAGCTAATTTTATGTTATGTGAATTTCAGCTTAATTTTTAAAATTATATATATACATGGCTGGGCACGGTGACTCACGCCTGTAATCCCAGCACTTTGGGAGGCTAAGGTGGGTGAATCACTTGAGTTCAGGAGTTCGAGACCAGCCTGGCCTACACAGTGAAACCCCATCTCTACTAAAAATACAAAAATTAGCCAAGCGTGGTAGTGCATGCCTGTAATCCCAGCTACTAGGGAGGCTGAGGCAGGAGAGTTGCTTGATCCCCGGGGGTGGAGGTTGCAGTGAGCCGAGATCACGCCACTGCACTCCAGCCTGGGCAACAGTGTGAGACTCTGTCTCAAAAAACAAGAACATATATATATATATGATTTTGTATATTATAATTTTCGATAATCTCACTCCTGCACTCACTTGCAATGTGACCTCAGACAACTGGTGCCATGGAGGGGAAGGAAGCTGGCTTGTAGCAGGTCTCTCAGAGGCAGGAAGTTGCGGGGAGTCAGAGCCATTGTCTACAGAGGCGGGGACACTGAATGACCCTGGAATCCTTTGACCCCCTTCCCTCAGCCCCTTCAGCGGGGCAGGAAGCGGATCTGGTATGTTGGGGGTATTTTGCCCACACCACACTCCTGGGGTGTCAGATCGATGTCTTCTGGGGCCACGGGGCTGGCCATGGAGAAGTTCTGGAGGATGGTGGTGAAGAAGAGGAACAATTCCGCACGGGCGATGCCTTCACCAAGACAAATCCGCTTCCCTGTGGACACAGAAGGTCACCAGTGTGGGCACAGGGCAGGTGCATACACTTCGCTCTGCCATGTCCCTAAGCCCAGACACAAATGTCCACTGCAACAGATTTGCATAAGACTGGCCTTTAACCTACAATTCAGGGTGGACTTTTAGGAAGCTGCTCTGAAACCAGATGCAAATCTTTGAGTGGATGTGCCACGTTCATTTCTCTCTCTCTCTTTTTTTTTTTTTTTTTTTTTTTTTTTTTTTTTTTGAGATGGAGTCTCTCTTTGTCACCCAGACTGGAGCACAGTGGCACCATCTTGGCTCACTGCAACCTCCACCTCCCAGGTGGTTCAAATGATTCTTGTGCCTCAGCCTACCAAGTAGCTGGGATTACAGGCACCTGCCACCACGCCTGGCTAATTTCTTCTATTTTTAGTAGACATGGGGTATCATCATATTGGCCAGGCTAGCCTCGAGCTCCTGACCTCAGATAATCCACCTGCCTTGGCCTCCCAAAGTGGGATTACAGGCATGAGCCACTGCACCCGGCGCCATGTTCATTTTTATATAAGAGAGTTTCTAGCTTCTGTTACAGTTCCAAAGGGTTGGTGAAACCCACAGAGTATAATGACCCATTTCTGGTTCTGTGTGTGTGTGTGTGTGTGTGTACCTGTACATGTGTGAGTGTGAGCACATTTATGACAACATTCTTAGTGTTCTTCACTTCTCATATGGGGAGAATGGCACCTCCCTCAAAGGGCTCTTGTGAGGTTAAAGGAGACAATTGTAAAAATTCTTAGAATAGCACTTGGCTTGTGCTAAGGAGGCTTAAGGTTTGGTTACTGCCTTGTGTTTGTTTCTGGGGTATGTGTGGGGTATGTGTTTCTGGCCATGTGTCTGTGTCTGTGTCTCTAGGCTGTCTTCTAGTCTCAGCCTGAGATCCACAGGCTTCAAGAGCTCAAGGGGGGAAAAGCCCAATTGTATATAAATTGTGAATGGGACTGATGCGTATGAGACAGGGAGGGTCTATGGCTTCCACTGATTCTCAGAGGTGCAAGGAACCCCCAGTAGATTCTAAACCACAGATTGGGAGAAAAATAAGAACAAAGGGTGCTGGAAAAAGCTCAGGCAGAGACAAAGGGAGCCTTTCCCTTCACTTCAGTGTTTCATAATCTGCAAACCTTGGAAAGGCCATGTCAAGTGTGAGTTTTCAGGCATTCCCTATGCCTGTCAAGTTGTTGGACAAGTGTGTCTATGTGGAGGTGTTTGGAAAAGTGTCCACATCCCTTTGGCATACCCAGAAGGTGGGTGACATGAGCTTAGAAACAGGCAGGTCTCTGGGCCTGTTCTTCTGTAACTCTTTGTGTGACCTAACATTTTTCACAACAGCCTGAGGCTTATTATCTCCCTCTCATCACGCCCTCCCCATCTCTGGGGCCGTCTGTTTGGACACCTTTCGAATTTCTTTGGCTGCAGTACCCTTTTGGCTTGGGTTATACCTTTCTTTCTGCCCCTGGCAGCCCTACTCCTGTCTTTTTCTCTGTCTATACCTGTCAGACACAGCTTTTCTTCTTTTCCTCTCCTTTTTTTGGCTTTCTTCCATCTTGCTTAACTTCCTATCTCCATCTATTTGAATCTGATTTCTCCCCAATCTCTTTCTCTCTCATTCTTTCTTTTCATCTCCCTCTAAAGATACCTTATTTGTCTTGTTCATTCTTTCTTCCTCTCTTTTTATGTCACTCTCTCTTTTTCCTATCTCTTATTCTGTTTCTCTCCTTTCCCTCCTTTCTCCCCTCCTCCTTCCTTTTCCTACTCTCTCTCCTCTTATTCCTCCTCCTCCTCCTTCTCCTTACGTGACTCTCTCTCTCTCTGTGTCTCTCTCTCTTCCTCTCTGTATACTGTCTGAGGTTTGCCCTCTGTCTTTCTGCCACTGGCTCCCCATCTCTATCTCTATGTGTTCCCTCTTTGTCCCTAACTCTGTTTCTCAGTCTCATTATCTTTGTTACTTATCTGTCTCTGTCCTTATTTCCCTACATCTCTGCCTCTCTTAAAACAAATTAGCAGGCCAGTCGCAGTGGCTTATGCCTGTAATCCCAGGACTTTCAGAAACTGAGGTGGGCATATCACAAGGTCAGAAGATCAGCACCATCCTGGCTAACACGGTGAAACCCAGTCTCTACTAAAAATAAAAAAAAATAGCCAGGCATGGTGGCATGCGCCCGTAGTTTCAGGTACTCGGGAGGCTGAGGCAGGAGAATCACTTGAACCTGGGAGGCAGAGGTTGCAGTGAGCTGTGATCGTGACACTGCACTCCAGCCTGGGCAACACAGGAAGACTCCGTCTGAAGACAAAAAAAAAAAAAGAAACTTCAGATAGCAAAATTGAGAGAAGACATTGACATTCAAGCCATCACCACACATGTTCCCAATTTTCATTGAAGATAAAATGTGGAAGGAGGTCACTGTACTGCGCAAAACCGGGGGCTGGGCCAAACCCTGGATCACTGAAGTCACTGATGAAACTCAAGACTGGGGGTTTGTTTCTGGGGCCTTTCATGGATGGTGCATGTTAAATTCAATTAAATTTGGCCTAAAGCAGCCTCCCTACATAACAAATTGTAATGTAACTCAACATGTAAACAAACTTGAGAGTATATTCTTGTAACAAGTAACCTTGGACAATCAGGGCAGCCAAGCTTCAGCCAGTCACAGGCTACAAGCTGCCCAGACATGCTCAGATAAGGCAAACACAGAGCTGTAACCAATCAGGCTGTTTCAGTACCTCAGTTCCTTTCCCTGTGGATAAATAGTGCCTGACCACATTGCTGGATGGAGCTCTCTGAACCTTTACTGGTTCCTTGTGCTGCCCAATTCATGAATTGTTTCTTTGTTCAGATAGACTCTGCTAAGTTTAATTTGTCTAAAGTTTTTCTTTTAACCAGCCAAAGAGTAGAGGATGAGAACTGGGACAAGTCAGAGCACGTCAAGACCTTTTCCACCTTCCCAGTGCTAGACCATAAATCCAAACTCCTCCTGCAACCTTCAAGGTCCTGCCCAGATGAGCCCTTTGTCTTATTTCCTTCTGCAATCTACACCCAAGGCTCACTGGACTTCCTATAGGTTCTCAATGGTGCCATATCACGTTTCTACCTTTGGCCTTTGTCCTTGCTGTTTCCTTTGCCTGGAACACACTTTGCAATGGTTGATTGATGCTCACCCATGAACATGTTAGCTTGGAAGCCAGTTCCTCTGGTAAGCTTTTCCTTACGGACCCACCACAAGATTAGCTACTATTTCCTATTTTGTGCTCCCAAAGCTCCCTTTAGAGCACTTATCACAATTATGTCTAATTATAATAATAATTGCCCTTGTGAGCATGTCCTTTGTGCCAGGCAGTTCTAAGCATGTTGCAGGCATTCATTCATTTCATGAGATGATTATTTTATTATTATTTGATGAATGCCCATCTTCCCTGCTGGACTTTAAATTTCCTGGGGCAGGAACCCTGTCTCTGTGTGACTTGTTTGATGCATTATCTTCAGCCCCCAGTACAGCACTGGGCTTACAGTGGTGCCCAACAGATTTTTTCTTTTTAAGAAAATGAACTCACTGAGGTTTAGAGATGTTAAAATACTTGCCCAAGGTCCTGCTTGCCAAGATGTGCCTTTGGGAATGTAATCTTCTTTCTCAAGCCTCCTTATAGGGTTGTAGTGAAGATGGAATGGGATAAGGCAGGTGAAGCAATCAGAATATATTAAGTGCTCAAATAATCAGTATCTCTCGTTGTTTTTCTCAAGTTGGGGATAGTACCTGCCCTCTGGTGTCTGGGAAAGAAATTGTGGGTCCAGCTTACCTAAGGAGAAGGGGATAAAAGCTTCAGTCTTTTTCAGTGCCCCATTGGCATCCAGAAAGTGGTCAGGATTGAAGGCGTCTGGTTTTTCAAAGTAGTGTGGGTCATGGAGAGCAGTGCTCAGGATGAGAAATACTTCTGTGTCCTGAGGGAGGATCACAAGATCAAAAGATATTGCCATTCCCTCCAACCCTCCACACACTCCACAAAAAAGAAATACAAAAAACAAAAACAACGGGACTCAATTAAGGAGCTAACAAAAGGTTGAGTTCGGGGATTAAGAGAATCCAGGATGCCCAAACAGGAGGGCTATGGGGTTCCAGCCGGTCTTACCTTGGGGATGATGTACCCTCGGAAGCTGGTGTGTTGGGTGACAATGTGGGGCACACCCATGGGGAGAAGGTCGGAAAATCTCTGAATCTCATAGATGACTGCCTCTGTGTATGGCATTTTGGCTCGGTCATGAAGCTCTGGAGGGCGATGTGGGCCAATCACCTGTTCAATCTCCCTGTAGACTCTCTCTGTACAGAAAAGAAGACCAATGAATCTCATTTTAAAGAGGCATTTCAGGCCAGGCATGGTGGCTCATGCCTGTAATCCCAGCAATTTTGGAGGTTGAGGTGGGTGGATTCCTTGAGGTCAGGAGTTCAAGATGAGCCTGGCCAACATGGCAAAATCCCGTCTCTCCTAAAAATACAAAAAATTAGCTGGGTGTGCTGGTGCACACCTGTATTCCTAGCTACTCAGGAGGCTGAGGCAGGAGAATCACTTGAACCCAGGAGGTGGAGGTTGCAGTGAGCCGAGATCATGCCACTGCACTCTAGACTGGGTGACAGAGCAAGACTCCATCTCAAAAGAAAAAAAAATTTTTTTAAAAAGAGACCTTTCAGCAAGGACACTACTTTCTATTGACCAATGAAAAACCTATAGTAAAGGGTTAGATCCTTGATACCCCTCAAAGTAATCAGCATGGGGTGAGGGGAGGAGGGAGGAAGCAACAAGAATTCTCACTGCTTGAAATCTAATGAATATTACAGATCCTCTTCCCACATGCCCAGGTACACACACACACATGCACACACACACCACGATTTTGCATGGAATTTCAGATTAAGAACTCCAGGCTACAAACCTCTCAAAACACCCTCTCTAAGATGAGTAGAAAATGAACTAATATTTATTGTGTTTATAATATAGTTGAGACACTATTCTTGGTCCTCAGGTATATAACAGTGTAATAGAACAATAGATGAATTCATGAACAACTGGATAAAAACATCAATCAATCAATCAATAGATCAATTCATGGATGGAAAGATTGATGAATAAATGAACAAACCAATAAATGGATGTCTGTATTTACTTATCAATTAATAGATGGATTGATTAATTAATCACTAATGAATGATCCATAGACAAAGAAATCAATGAACCCAATTAATGAATAATCACATGAATGGCTAGATTTATGGAAGAGCAAGTGAATAATTAAATTAGTGAAGTATGAGTAAATAAAGGAGTAAATGAAAGGCTGGATTGAATGATAAGTAGATCAGAGGTGAATAAATGAGTGAATTATTGTGATAAATGAAGGAAATCACGGATGGATTAAGGGTGAATTGAAAGGTTGACTCATGGAAGGATAAGAGTGAAACCTAGTTCGTAGAAGGATGGATGAATGCATGAATGAATGAATGAATGAGCCAATGAATCAATGACAAATAGTCCATCAACATACCACTGTTTCAAAGGATCAACTTGTGGATCAAGTAATCCAAATAAATGAATGACAGTATATGTCCTTAGATGAATCATAAATGAAAGAATCAGTAATTATACATTCTTTAATTAATGAATTAAAGAATGAATAGATGAAATGATAAGTGGATGGATCGATTTTTAAGTGATGGCACAGAAAGTCAAATATTGCATGTTCTCACTCATGAGTGAGTGCTACAAAATGTGTACACATGGACACAGAGAGAGGAATGATACACAGTGAAGACTCAGAAGAGTGAGGGAGCAGAAGGGGGGTGAATGATGAGAAATTACTTAATGGGTACAATGTACACTGTTTGGGTGATAAATACCCTAACAGCCCAAACTTGACCATTACAAAACCTACGCATGTAACAAAACTGCATATGTACCCCCTAAATTTGTACATCATGAGGTCAGGAGATCGAGACCATCCTGGCTAACATGGTTAAACCCCATCTCTACTAAAAACACAAAAAATTAGCCGGGTGTGGTGGCAGGCGCCTGTAGTTCCAGCTACTCGGGAAGCTGAGGCAGGAGAATGGCGTGAACCCTGGAAGTGAAGCTTGCAGTAAGCCAAGAGCATGCCACTGCACTCCAGCCTGGGTGACAGAGCGAGACTCTGTCTCAAAAAAGACAAAAAAAAAAAAACCAAAAAACAAAAAACAAACAAACAAACAAAAACCTTAGAACAAAAAATCCTTAAGTGATGGAAGAAAACAGTGGGAGAACGCATGGACAGATTCTTCATGCATCCATGCATCCACCAACAGAATTGGCTTGGTTGGAATCTAGCCCAGAGCCTACAGTGCTCCCAGAATAGGAAGCCAGCATCCCCTCTCTCATCCAGGTGGTACCCATAGCCCCATTTCTGCAGCTCAGAAGGAGGTCAGAAGACCCCCTTGACTGGCTGTCCCTGGCCCACCTGCAACATGAGGGTATTTGAGCATGAGCAGGAAGCCGTAGCGGAGAGTGGTGCTGGTGGTCTCAGTGCCAGCAAAGAAGAGCGAGAGCGTGTTGAGGTTGAGGTTCTGGTGGCTGAATTCACTGTGTGCGTTGGATTTCTCCTGCGTCCACAGTAGGGAAGGAAGGGGAGGGTCAGGGGAGGCTGTAGCCTTGCTGTGTATACGCCCATCTCCCTGGCTGCCCTCCGTTGGCCTAAAGGTCTTTGACACTATCTGGCCCAGTTTGCTTTTCTCTGTCCTCTACACATCCAACCGCGTATCTCTAACTCATCTCTCTCAGCCTCTCTTTAGTCTTCCTAACTCTGTTTCTATCTCTCTCCACATCTCTTTGATGTGTTTCTCTCTTTTTGTCCCCGTCTCTTTCTGCCTCTGTGAGTTTTTTCTCTTGTTGCTGTATTTTTGTCCCTTGCCCCGAATTCCTTCCTCAGCCAGTCTTCTCTCTCTCTCCCTCTGTCTTTCATTCTGTCTTCCCACCTCCCCTCTCTCCCTGTCTCAGTTCCTCCTCCCTATTTTCTCCCTCCTTTCACCTCATCTTTCTTTCCTTCCTCATGTTCTCTCCTCCCTTTCCCTATTCTCCCCTCCCTAGTCTTTCTTCTTCCCTCCCCATCTTCCCCTTCCCTACCCCTTTTCCCTCCCTCTTCTCACCTCTCCATCTTGCCCTCCCTCCCCTCCCTTCCCTTTTTCCTCTCCCAGACCCCACTTTTTCCATGTGGAGCAGGTAGGTGTCGATGAGGTCCTTGGGGGCGCTGGGGTCCAGGGTTTCACGGTGCTTCTCCACACTGTGGCCAATGTAAGCATTGATTTCCTGCAGGTTTTTGTAAACTTGCCTGTGTGCCCCAGGAAAGTATTTCAAGAAGCCAGAGAAGAGCTCAAACAGCTGCAAGAAAGAAGGGGTGGTGAGGTTTGCCTAGGGCTGAGCTAGCAGGTCACAGGGAGAGAGCGCCTCCTGGGCCCCAATCCCTCCATGGGAACCCCACTTCCCCACTCCCCTCTGCCTCTGAACCCCTCACTCACTGACTCTATATCTCCTTTGATCTATCTCACATTTACCTCTTTCTGCATCTTCCTCCCTCATCCTTCTGTCTTTTTCTTGGCCTCTGCCCCATCTCCCTGCCTCTCTCCTTTCTATCTCTCTTAGTCTCTGTCTCACTTCCTTTCTGTGTCACCCATTGTCTACCTCAGCCTGTTTATTTGTCTTTCTCATACTTTTCTCTCCCTCTTCCCACCTCTCCTCATCTCCCTTGCTGTGTCAGATATTAATAAAATGATTCTTACACAAGATAAGCCTGCTGACATGTTAGGACTACGTATTTTGGAGGTTATTTCTATTACTTTGATGAAGAATGGAATGCCTAATTTATTGCAAATAATTGCAAAAATGCAAACATATATAGTCAGATGTAAATTTCCTTCTTAATCTCTCCTTCTAGAGATAACCATTGTTAACTGTCTGGTGGGTCTCCTTCCAGACTTTTCTCTGTGGTTCTCGGTGGGAGGAGAACATTAGAATTACTGGTCGGGCTTGTTACAAGTACTCACCTTGGGCCCCATCCCAGACTTTCCAGATCAGACCGCCCAGAAAGTAGGGTCCTGAAAATCCATAACTGTGACAACCCCACATGTGAATCCAACATACATCCCTGCTTAATAGCTGTAGCTATGTTGACCAGCCTGGCCGACATGGTGAAACACCATCTCTACTAAAAATACAAAAAAATTAGCTGGGTGTGGTGGCGCTCGCCTATAGTCCCGGCTGCTCGGGAGGCTGAGCCATGAGAATTGCTTGAACCTGGGAGGTGGAGGTGGCAGGGAGTTGAGATCACACTACTGCACTCCAGCCTGAGTAACAGAGCAAGATACTGTCTGAAAACAACAACAACAACAAACTACAGCTATGCATACTGTTCTGCAGCTTGATATTCTTAAATTTAATATGTAATAGGCATATTTCCAGGTTAATAAATAAGGAGACATTTTAGTATTTTGTTTTAAAAGAGCAGAAGACTGCCTTTACAATCTGGGGAAAGTTAAAAAAAAAAACACAGAGGGAGAAGGAGAAATGGGAGAAAATGAAGAAATGCTGTTCCTTATTGTCATTTATCCTTCATTTTCTTTAGGTGGAGAGCTTTACCAAAGACTGAGAAGCAAGGATACAGAAGAACCAGAAGCAGTCTGGGCATGGTGGCTCACACCTGTAATTCCAGCACTTTAGGAGTCTGAGGCGGGCAGATCACTTGAGGTCAGGAGTTAGAGACCAGCCTGGCCAACATGGCGAAACCCCGTCTCTACTAAAAATACAAAAACATTAGCCTGGCATAGCGGCAGGCGCCTGTAATCCCAGCTACAGGAGGCTGAGGCAGGGGAATTGCTTGAACCAGGGAGGTGGAAGTTGCAGTGAGCTGAGATTGTGCCACTGCACTCCAGCCTAGGCAACAGAGCGAGGCTCTGTCTCGAAAAGAAAAAAAAAAAAATTAGCCAGGTGTGGTGGCACATGCCTGCAGTCCCAGCTACTTGGGAGGCTGAGGCAGGAGAATCACTTGAACCCGGGAGGTGGAGGTTGCAGTAAGCCAAGATGGCAACACTACACCCCAGCTGGAATGAAACAGCGAGACTCCGTCTAAAAAAAATAAAACAGAAATGACATCCAGGAGCAGAATAGACATGAAGCCCAAAGCCTTATTCGTTCTCTCTCTCTCCCTCTCTTTCACACTCATTCTCATCAACTCTGTCTCTCAGAATCTCTTGATTTCTGCTCTTCTTTGTCTTGTTTTTGCTCATCTTCCTTCTCTCAGTCTCTCTCTGACTCTATTTCTGCCTCCCCATCACGCCTCATTCTCTCTCTCAGTGTCTCTATCCCTGTCTCACCGTCTCTCCTCCCTCCAGGTCTCCATGTCCCTGATTCTTCACATGTCTGCGTTTCTTCCAAGGATAAGCTGCATTTCTGAGCCCCCAAGACAGGTCATCCTTTTCTCGTGTGTTCTGGGTGTTCACCTCACCCCCACACCCCCTGTCCCTCTCCGTCTCCCTGACCTGGCCGAATACAGAGCTGATGAGTGAAAAAGTCTGGTAGAACAAGTTCAGCATCTTCAGGAACTCTTGATCTTGGTAGTGGAATCGTTTTCCAAAGACGATGGAGCAGATGATGTTGGCGGTAATGGACTGGAAGAGGAAGGTGGGGTCCATGAGGGCCCCTAGGAAGAAGCAGCAGGTCAAGGACACAGACTGAAGTGCCTGGGGAACATCAGGCTGTCACCTATCTCTGTGTGATTGTCTGCCATCACTCAGTAATGGTAAACATGAGAATAACCGTAACAGCTAATTATGTACCAGCACGTCACGCGTAATTCCATTGAACTCTCACTACAACAATGTGAGGCAGATGCAATTTGATTATTAGCTCCAGTTTATAGATGGGCAGACCGAGAGGCTGAGTAATTTGACCAAAGTTGCACAGCTACTCATTACTGAGGCCAGGATTTAGACCCAGGCAACACAGCTATAGAGTCCATGCAGCCGGTTCTCACTCTGCACCTCCTCTCAGGCCCCACCTCTGACTCTGGGAGTGAGTACAGTTAAATCCCAGGGATAGGGGCTGGGCAGAGTAGGTGTTCAATCAATTGCTTATATAAATTAAAAAGCCCTGGGTGGGCACAGGGGCCCATACCTCTAAACCCAGCACTTCGGGAGCCTGATTCAAAAGGATCAGGAATTCAAGACCAGCCTGGGCAACATAAGGAGACCCTGTCTCTACAAAAAAAAAAAAAAAAAAATGTAGCTAGACATGGTGGCACATGCCTGTAGTCCCAGTTGAAATAGTCCAGGGGCTGAAGTGGGAGGATCACATGGGCCCAGGAGTTTGAGGCTGCAGTGAGCTATGATCGTGCCACTGCACTCCAGCCTGGGTACAGAGTGAGACCCCGTCTCTAATTTAAAACAAATAAAAAACCATCTTTCCACCCCTACCTATTACTCCCCCTTAATCTCTTCTTTCCACATCTAGGGCTCTCCAGTCTTCTGGGAATTATTCTGTACTTGTTAAGTGATACCTGTATACACCAGGCTCAGCACTGGCCCCAGCTGGAGGGAGAGTGGTCTGTAAGGACCCAAGAACATCAGGTTAGTGCAGCCTCTCTCTGGTTCTCACTTGCCTGTCTTCTCTCATTCCTCTGCAGACCTTTTCCTAAGCTTTGTCTGTCTGTCTCTCTAATTTTCTCTGCCTCAATTTCTCTTTGCCTTTGTTTCTTTCTGTCTCTCTGTGTGTATATTTGTCTCCCCCCTGCCGTTCTTTATTTTATTATTATTATTATTATTTTTGGAGACAGAGTCTCACTCTATCATGCAGACTGGAGTGCAGTAGTGTGATCTTAGCTCACGGCAACCTCCATTTCCCAGGCTCAATCAATTCTCCTGTCTCAGCCTCCTGAGTAGCTGGGATTAAAGGCACGTGCTACCAAGCCTGGCTAATTTTTGTATTTTTAGCACAGATGGGGTTTCACCATGTTGGCCAGGCTGGTTTTGAACTGCTGGCCTCAAATGATCCGCCAGCCTCAGCCTCCCAAAGTGCTGGGATTACAGGCATGAGCCCCATACCCAACCTATATTTTTTTGTTTTGGTCCCTCCATCTGTCTCTTTCCTCCTGCCTGTGTCACTGTTTCTTCCTGTCCTTCTCTTCAGTCTTCTTGTCCCCGTTTCCCTATAGCTCCTGGGTCTCTACCTCCCCATGCAGCCTCTGCATTTACATCCCAGAGTCTCTTGAGAAATTTTGATAAGAGAGATGGTAAACACCTGGCATGAATGAGATGGAGGTGCTAGCCAGAGACCCTTCACCTACATGTCTCACAGACACCAAGTTATGGAGAACTCAAAAATAACCTAGTGATTCTTTGATGACCCCTCCAGCTGCACCCGGGCAGAACACCCCACCTGGCCTGTCTGCTCACTGCCAGCTCATCAGCACTTCACCCAGGGCAAGGAAAACACAGTTCATTATTTGTTAAATGTCTGTAGTTTTTTTCTTTTACTTAACTTCCGTTTTTGACTTTGACAGACACAATTGATCCATGAAATTATATGTCTTTGAGGGTTTGTTTGTTTGTTTGAGACAGGATCTTGCTCTGTTGTCCAGGCTGGAGTGCAGTGGTACAATCACAGCTCACTGCAACCTCAACCTCCTGGGCTCAAGTGATCCTGTAGTCCCACCTTAGCCTCCTGAGTAGCTGGGACTACAGGCACACACCACCATGCGTGGCTCACTTCTTTTCTATATTGTGTAGAGACAGGATCTCATTATGTTGCCCAGGCTGTTCTCCAACTCTTGGCCTCAAGCAATCCTCCTGCCTGAGCTTCCCAAAGTACTGGGATTACAGGTGAGAGTCATCACATCCAGCCTCTTTGAGTAACTCTTGGACATTATACACCTGGCATCTCTCTCTTTCCCTGGCTCTCTGTGTTTCTCTCCTGCCCATCCCCATCCCTCTCTATTCCCCTGTCTCTCTCCCTCTCTGTCTCTATCCCTCTGTCTGATGGTGTCTCCAGTTTCGTCTGTCTCTGTCTGTGCCCTTATATACCTCTCTGTCTTTCTATTCCCGTGCACCTGCATCTCTCAGTGTTTCATTGTCTTTCTTTCCTATTCATCCCCCAGGACTCACCCTTGGATTTCCGAAGCTCCTCTATCAGACACTGAGCCTCCTCCTGAATCCGCTCCTCCACACTCCGCTTTCCCATCCCGAAGTCCCTCATAGTGGTCACAGAGAATCGCCGAAGCACCTTCCAGCGGTTTCCATTGGCAAAGATCACACCTGGGGTGCAGGGGAGGTGTGGGTTGGTTGTAGAAGAAGTTGGAAGAAGGCTCTGAGTCCTTCTTCCTCCCATATACTCCCTTCCCTGATGCACCCCCCACCCGCCCCCTCCCAGTGCCTCTGAGGCTCTCACCATATCCCCGGAAGAATGGGTCGACCATGGCGATTTTTCCCCGGCCAGAGAAGGCCTCAGCCTTGTCCACAAGGGCCTCCCGTATGGCCTCTACTCCACACAGCATGACCACGGGCCTCGGTCCCAGGTGTACCGTGAAGACGTCCCCATATTTCTCTCGGAACTGCCAATCACATCCACACCAGGGGTGGCTGTTAGTCAGCATACACCTCATTTGTAAAACTATCAAAATACTTACATACCAGATTGGTAATTAGCCCCTCCCCAACATCCGCCTCCCCAGGCTGCCCTTTCCCCTGCTGGGACCCAGCAATTAAGGGTTAATGGTTAACGCTGTCCAAGGGAGAGAATACAGTCATGGGTTCTTAGTTTCCGTTTCTGGTTGGGCCAGTAAAGCCCCTTCCTCATCCTTCCTTTCTGTGTATCACTGGAGACAGAAACTGAAAACCATGGCTTCAGGCTGCTAAAAAGCTAAAACAAAACAAAACAGAACAACAACAAAATAAGGCAGGTTGGACAAGCTTAGGTTAATGGGTGGCCCAGCCAGGGTCTGCTCTGATTGGCTTGTGCCCTAAACAGTAAAGATGGTTGATAAAATACGATGAATATCACCCCCACCGCATACTTCTTATGATCTGTGGTTTTGCTTTTTGCAGTTTCAGTTACCTGCAGCTAATCGCAGTCTGAAAATATTAAATGGAAAATTCCAGAAATAAAGAATTCGTAAGTTTTAAGTTGTGCATCATTCTGAGTAGGATGATGATATCTCTCACCATCCACTCTGTCCCACCCCGGACACGAATCATCCTTTGTCCACCATGTCTGCACTGTGTATACCACCCTCCCTATATAATGTGATTGTATAGGAAAAAAAAAGAGTATGCATAGTGCTCAGTATTATGTGGGGTTTCAGGCATCCACTGGGGGTCTCAGAAGATATCTCCAGTGGATAAGGTGGGATTACTGTGCAGCCACTTGGGGAACTGCTGGGCAGTATTTCCTGAAGCTGAACAAATGGATACCCAGGAAACCAGCCACTTCACTCCCAGGTACATGCCCAGCAAAAATGTGTATGTGTGTTCACCAAAAAATGAACAAAATATTCACAGAAGCTTTCTTAATAAAATGCTCATCAATATAGATATAGACAATCAGTGAGGGTTCTCACAATAGACTAGTATACAGCAACAAAAAAGAACAAACCACAGCTACAGGCGACAACGTGGCTGAAACTCACAGGCATAATGTTGAGTGGAAGCAACTAGGCACAAAAGAGTCAATGCATCATAATTTTATGTGTATGAAGTTCAAACACAGGGCCAGGCGTGGTGACTCACATCTGTAATCCCAGCAATTTGGGAGGCTGAGGCAGGCTGATCACGAGGTCAGGAGTTTGAGTCCAGCCTGACCAACATGGTGAAAACCCATCTCTACTAAAAATACAAAAATTAGCCAGGCATGGTGGCTCTCACCTGTAGTCCCAGCTACTCGGGAGGCTGAGACGAGAGAATTGCTTGAGCCCGGGGAGGCGGAGGTTGCAGTGAGGCGAGATAGTGCCACTGCACTCCAGCCTGGGCGACAGAGCAAAATTCAATCTCAGGAACAAACAAACAAAAACAAAAAAGAAGTTCATACACAGATAAAATCAACCCATGATCAAGATGGTAGGTGGATAGTGAATAGAAAAGAACAGGGTGCAGGGTTTCGGGGCATTCTTGCTACTTGGCCTGCATGTCAATTACATGAGTATGTTCAGTTTGTGAAAATTCATTGAGCTGTGCGCTTTTTACAGTGATGTTCAAGTTCAATAAAAACTTGACATAAAAGTCATAAAATTTGTTAAGTTTACTTACAAATGCCCTGCATTGATCTCTGCAAAGCCCCTTCACTGGACTTCTGGATGACATGCTTACTCCACTTAACAATTGTTTCACTGCCCCACAAGCCAGGGTAACCCCACTAAAATGTAAAATAATTAATATCCACGTGCTCACCAAGGCCTACAATATTCCCACTTTGCTGAGAATAAGATCTGAAGTCTCCACTGAGGGTTCACATGGTCCTACATGACGTGGCCCTATTACCGCTCTGACTTCTCCTCCCACTCATTCCTCCATGTTGTTCTCTGACATTTTTCCTGTTTCAGGATTCTTGTAGCCACCCCTGCCTCCTTCTAGTGCCTTCCACCTGAATCTTTCATTGTCTCTGCTCAGAAAAAAAAACAAGACAGTCTTCCCCTAACCACTCAATCTAACGTAGTTCTCATCACTGTCTGAAATATCCCCCTGCTTTAGTTTAATTGTAGCTCTTCTCCACCTAACATTTCCTTATCTGTTTATTTTTTGCTTATCTGTCTCTGCCAATGGAATGTCCATAAGCGCAGTGACCTCGTATGTCTTGTCCAAGATGCCACATCATCAATTCCTAGACTATTTCCTGGTACATAGAAAGTGCCCAGTGAATTGTTATTGGATTCGTGAATAAATGAATGAGTGGATCAAGGTAGTTGCCATTTAATGAGCACTTATTATATACTAGCTGTATGCAATATCCCATTTAATCCTCACAACCACCTTAGGGGCACACATTCTCATTGTCATGATCTTAACTGACGGAAGAGAAAACTGTGACTCAATGCATACGGGTTGAATCTGAGACACGAGCCCACATCCCTCTGACATCAAAAAGAATCTGGAAGCTTATTGGGAAATGGAGAAGCAACAGCGCCACCTTCCTCAGCCCTGATGCACACTTGCTCATGCCCTCCCTCTTTACCCCACCCCCAAGAGATGCAATCATAATAGATGGTCGTGAATACCTAGAGGATCCTTGGAAGGTTTATGAAAGAGTTTTAGGGAGTGTGTGAAGCCTCACAACTTTATGCAAACATGTATGTGCCTATTTGGAAAAGAGGGGGCCACAGCTTTAATCAAACTCTATGAGAATTTCATAATCCACAAATTGTTAAGCAGCTTTAGTCTAGGAGGGCTTTGGAGACAGACCTCCTGCTGGATCTCAGCTTCCCCTTTTCCCAGTTGTGTGCCACTGGACAAATGCTTTCCCCAGGCTGAGCATCACTATCACTAATTTTGTTTGTTTGTTTGTTTCTGTTTGGGTTTTTTTTGAGATGGAGTTTCACTTTTGTTGCCCATGATGGAGTGCAATGATGCAATCTCAGCTCAGGGCAAACTCCGCCTCCTGGGTTCAAGCAATTCTCCTGCCTCAGCCTCCCGAGTAGCTGGGATTACAGACATGTGCCACCATGCCCAGCTAGTTTTGTGTTTTTTAGTACAGACAGGGTTTCTCCATGTTGGTCAGGTTGGTCTCGAACTCCCGACCTCAGTTGATCCACCTGCTTCAGCCTCCCAAAGTGCTGAGATTATAGGCATGGGCTGCCATGCCCAGCCACCATCCCTAATTCTAAGATGAGGGTAGCACCTCATCTTGTCCACAGGTAGTTGTAAATGACACCTGGAAAATCCCCATGACAACACAGATAATTCCTAGACACATTAGTCTAGTGAGAAAACTAAGTCCATTGATTCACATGATTGCGTGATACTCTTGTCACACATGGAAAATGATGAAAAGAAAACAATAGGCACTTGGGACCTTTACCTGTATGATGCAACTCTATTTGGTGAAGAGGGATCCCCAGATCTGCCACCCCCTACTGAGGGCCAGGCAGCACTTTGTAGGCCCTGGCCGACTGCCAGTTCCGCTGAGTCAGGCTTGGAGCTTTCACTCACTGACTCCTTCATTTGTTCCTGTTCACATATTTACTAAATGCCTATTGTGTACCAGGTACTATGTTCAGCACTGTGCTGATACCTCACAGGCCTTCCTTGTCTGGAAGTGTGAGGGAGAGCTCAGCCACAGGATCACAGGTAAATGCAGCACTATCAAGGACATAGGCTCAGTAAGGAGGGGCAGCTGGTGTATGAGAGCATATGATGGGGACCTGGGGGTCAGGAAGTCTTCTCAAGGGAGCTGCTGCCTGCCTGAATAGCTAAGGAACCCCAATAATGAGGAGCAGACACCGTTCTTGCACTGACATTAACCAAGATGACCCACCCACATCCTCAAATAACAATAACAACGACAAAAACAATTTGCCCCAAGTCCTCCCTGTGAGAAAATGGAAATCTTTGCTGCAATAAAGGAAGGGAGAGGGTCAAACATGTCTATGCAAAACTTATCCCAATGCTTTGGGAGGTTGAGGCAGGAGGATTGCTTGAGTCCAGGAGTTCGAGACCAGCCTAGGCAACATAGTGAGACCGTCCCCCAAACACATCTCTACAAAAATAAATAGTGGGGCATGGTGGCTCACACTTTTAGTCCCAGCTACTCTGGAGGCTAAGGTGGGAGAATCTCCTGAGCACAGGAGTTCAAGGCTGCAGTGAGCTATGACTGTGCCATTGTACTCCAGCCTGGGTAACAGACTGAGACCCTGTCTCTAAAACAATTAAAATGAAAAAAATTCTTTAATATCATTCCAGACAAGCCTCCACTTTCTATGAACTAATAAGGTAGCCACAAAGATCCTTTTGAAAACTCATTTTAGTATACAAAATCAATTCAAGATGGATTAAAGACTTAAACGTTAGACCTAAAACCATAAAAACCCTAGAAGAAAACCTAGGCATTACCATTCAGGACATAGGCATGGGCAAGGACTTCATGTCTAAAAAACCAAAACCAATGGCAACAAAAGACAAAATTGACAAATGGGATCTAATTAAACTAAAGAGCTTCTGCACAGCAAAAGAAACTACCATCAGAGTGAACAGGCAACCTACAAAATGGGAGAAAATTTTCGCAACCTACTCATCTGACAAAGGGCTAATATCCAGAATCTACAATGAACTCAAACAAATTTACAAGAAAAAAACAACCCCATCAAAAAGTGGGCGAAAGACATGAACAGACACTTTTCAAAAGAAGACATTTATGCAGCCAAAAAACACATGAAAAAATGCTCAACATCAATGGCCATCAGAGAAATGCAAATCAAAACCACAATGAGATACCATCTCACACCAGTTAGAATGGCAATCATTAAAAAGTCAGGAAACAACAGGTGCTGGAGAAGATGTGGAGAAATAGGAACACTTTTACACTGTTGGTGGGACTGTAAACTAGTTCAACCATTGTGGAAGTCAGTGTGGCGATTCCTCAGGGATCTAGAACTAGAAATACCATTTGACCCAGCCATCCCATTACTGGGTATATACCCAAAGGACTATAAATCATGCTGCTATAAAGACACATGCACATGTATGTTTATTGCGGCATTATTCACAATAGCAAAGACTTGGAACCAACCCAAATGTCCAACAATGATAGACTGGATTAAGAAAATGTGGCACATATACACCATGGAATACTATGCAGCCATAAAAAATGATGAGTTCATGTCCTTTGTAGGGACATGGATGAAATTGGAAATCATCATTCTCAGTAAACTATCGCAAGAACAAAAAAACCAAACACCACATATTCTCACTCATAGGTGGGAATTGAACAATGAGATCACATGGACACAGGAAGGGAAACATCACACTCTGGGGACTGTTGTGGGGTGGGGGGAGGGGGGAGGGATAGCATTGGGAGATATACCTAATGCTAGATGACGAGTTAGTGGGTGCAGCGCACCAGCATGGCACATGTATACGTATGTAACTAACCTGCACAATGTGCACATGTACCCTAAAACTTAAAGTATAATAATAATAAAAAAGAAAGAAAGAAAACTCATTTTAGGCAAATACAAATTTCATTGACAGTTTTGCTTGTTTCCAAATTTGTAAAGGATTGGGATATTCAATGACCATACCAGCTTTCATAAAGAAAGCGGGCAGTGGGATACCAAGAGCTAGAAGGAACAGCAAATTCTGTTAACAGAGGCATGATTTGTGCCCAGATAGCGTCTGCAGAGCTTGGGAAAAAACCCTTAGAGAGAAGGTTCAGCGAATTGTGTAGGATGTCTTTGACCAGCATTTAAACCTATACACACGTTCCTAAATGTTATCACTCCTCACATTGCAGATGATTTTTTTTTAAGAGACAGGGTCTTGCTCTGTGCCCAGGCTGGAGGGCAGTGACGTGATCATAGCTCACTGCAGCCTCAAACTACAAGGCTCAAGTCATCCTCCTGCCTCAGTCTCCCAAGTAGCTGGGACTACAGGCACATGCCACCATGCCTGGCTAAATTTTTAAAACTTTTTTGTAGAGCCAGGTCTTGTTTGGTTGCCCAGGCTGGTTTCTAACTCCTGGCTTCAAGCGATCCTCCCACCTCAGCCTCCCAAAGTGTTGGGATTACAGGTATAAGCCACCACCTCTTTGAGTGTTGCCCAGTGGTGTCGTGAGCCACCCAAACAACATCTTATCTAATCATAAGACTCCTTGGCTCCCTCCATGTCATTCCCCTGAAAAATCTAAATGTTTCATAATTTGAGAGTCTGTGACCAATTACCTTGTATCTTCCAGGTAAAGTGACAGTGTCTAACTGATAACCAAAGACCACATGTTTTGACTAAGTGTCTAAGATAAATATATATGTATGACAATTATCACATTCATCATTTGTATGTCCATGTATTCTGTCTGAGCAAATAATTTAAAAATTCATAGTAGTATTGGCATATATACTCTGTACTTGGTATCATTAAAAAGACCATTGATCAGAAATTAAAAAAATAACTCTATTAATAGTAAAAGGATAACGAGCCTAAGATTCAGGAGTATGGTCAACATGGGAGGGGGAAGGGGAAGAGGAGCTGGAAGGTATTGTCAGTGTTCTAATTCTCCCATTGGAAAGTGGGTTGATGGATTAGTAATGATAAGTAGATAATTAATCATAAAATCAGGCATGGTAAGCAGTGATAACCCAGGTAAATACTGAGCCAGTGGCAGTTACCGGTATAGGGCACTATGTGTACTGTTGATGAGCACTCCCTACCCACACTCCTCTCCTGCTCTCCCTCTCTCCTCCACTCTCCTGGCACTGACATGGGCTAGTCTGCTCTCTCTCATTGGCACAGCAAGATCTATTTGATTCGTGCCACCACCTCTTTTACCTCATTCTTTCAGTGGCAGGCAGGTACCCAGGATGTAACAGAGGATGGCAGAGAAGAGTGAAATTCTATACCTGTGGCTCATACCCAGACACCTCTTCATGCCCATTCACCCCTCCAAGGACAGTGCCCCCGTGCAGTTCCAATTCAGAGACAGGGTCTCAATCTGTTACCCAGGCTGGAGTGCAATGGCACCATCAAATTACCTATGATAACCTATTTAATAAACCAGTGTTATGTACCTGAATTAGAGAAGCATAAATTGCAACTCATTGTATTAAAATTTGTACTTTAGAGTCTGTAATTCCAATGTGAAGCATGCACTCATGGAGACCCTAGATGGCCGCCTGGTCCTTCCTGAGTTCTTAAAATTTCCATTACTAAAAGCTCCGTATTCCATGACTCATCATAGAAGAGAGAAAATGATCCAAACAGTGAAAAAATATTGATGAGGTGACTATTCTAAGATTACTAAATGGTTTATAACTAATATTTGGTTTATCAAATCCATAATTCTAGTAAGACAACAAAAACCTCAGGTGATATATTTCTGGCACTTGGTAGATCATTTGAACACTTGAAGCTGGAGTTAATTCAACTGCCAGCTTCATTGCATGTTTTCTGGTTGTATTAAAGCATTTCTATGCACAAAGATCAATCAATGCCATAACCGTAGATAAAAGGTTATTAGAAAATGTATTTCCTTACTGGGCATTCCTGGAGAACTCTCCAGTGACAGAGGTACTTGTTTCACTAGACAAGTGGTAAAACAGTTAAATAAGGTATTGAAGAAGGAATTAATGAAATCAACTATAACCTAATAGTAGTAGTAATATAAATTTTAAAATCCTCTTAAGGTTGCTGCAAAGTATGACCACACCTTACATTCAAGTTAAAAGAGAATATTAACAGCCTGTCTTCTCTCTGTGGACAGTGGACCTTACCTATACTCCCCAACTCCACATCCCTCAAAGTTTATTACAGGCCCAGTGAGTTCCTGCACAGCTGCAGGGTCACCGGACCGATAAGGTTAGGTTGCAAGACATGTCTTTCTCAAGATGTAAGAAATGTTATTTAACTGCTTTGTTTCTCACTTCTGAAACTGGCTTCCTGCCTCATGTAGTTCCCACCTTAATATGTTTAAAAGTAGGAAAAGCCTTTGTTCGGGGCTCAGACTTTCTGGATGTATGTCTGGCTGAACCGGTGATCACCTTAATTTAATAAACTCTCCTGAACCTTTTTTGGTCTCTCCAGTCTTTGATTGTCCCGCAACAGTATTACAAACAAATATCATTAGGCAAAGCATGCTGAATTGATTGGAGTCCCTTGGTCTCAGGTATTATTGATTGATGGCAATCAGATCCACTCCTACTGGAAAGACATAGATAGATCTCTTGTAAAATAGTAATAGAGGGCCTATGCCCCTAATAATAGAATCTCATGTATCTCCCACTCTTATAAACTCTGATATGACTCAATAATGCAAGGCTATAATACTTTATGCCAAAGCATGTTTTCACCAGGTAAAATGAGTCATTGATGACACATCGGTTGATGACAACCAGACCTTTCATGATCTAGAATTTAGAGGTTGGGCCCTTTGGAAATGACACCAGACAAACTGTCCTTGAACTCCATTGGAAGAGACCGTACCAAGTTCTTCTAAGACTGTTCCTTGTACTCCATTGGGAAGGACAATGCCAAGTTCTTCTCTGTAGCAAAATGTCAGGGTCTCGGATCTTGGATCCACATCTCTCCATTGGAAAGGACCCTTCTAGACTCCTAGAACTGTATGTCTGTTGGAGACCTTAAGGCAAAGCTGACCAGGGAAGTTTTTCCCCAGAAGCAGTTGGCATCTTATATGCGGACAGCTTTTCCAAGATTGTGGATCAAGATTTCTCTTCCATCATGAAAGCATTATCTTTTATCCTTTCTTCCCCATTTCTTGCTGTCCTAACCCTTTCCCTTTCCTTACAAGAAAATCCATAGGACTATAATCTGTGAATGGCTTTAGCAAAGGCTTATACTCTAGCAAAACAAGCAAACAAACAAAAAAAACAAGGAGTTGTTGAGTTTCTGAACCAACGCCCCAAAATCAGGAAATAATTTCACTGGTGCCAATGCCTCTTCATGTTCCCAATGAGAATCACCCAGAAACCCCAAAGGAGGAGTGGAAAGCTATATCTTGATATTCTAGACATCATTGCCACTTGCTTTTTTGCACTCACTGGAAATATTTAGTAGTGATTATGTTATTAGTTAGTTAATATAATAACAGTACGTAATAACATACTATTAACTAGCTAATAACATAATCACTACTAAATATAGGAAATGTATCTGAATAATGGCTGCAAAAGGCATATTTTGCTTCCAGGCATCCCGTATGCAAGACCTGGGGACTACCTATGGGGGTGTGGGCAATTGCGTGTGTAATGTTACTGGATTAAATATGTAAAGTGGCCAGGCATGGTGGCTCATGCTTGTAATCCCAGCACTTTGGGAGATTGAGATGGGAGGATTGCTTGAGGCCAAGAGTTCAACATAGCACGACCCCAACTCTATTAAAAACAAATAAATAAGTAAATACAGTAAAGTCTCTTTCCAACTAAATGTGGTTATGCACCTTCGCAGCATGCTAGAAAAAGACCACAAAAAAGTAAGTTTCCCACCTTGTTCAGGAGCTATGCAGACTTATGGGTAAACAAATCTAACTGATCTCTGCTCTAATGCCAGTAGGTGACCCTCTTTTCCAACACCACGAGTGCCTACCTTGAGTATCTTGAGGTTTGCTTACTCTGTTCTTTCTCCTCACAGGTCCAGAACTTGCTATTTGGCCTAGCTCACTGCTGCTTTCCAAATTGTTTCCCTGAGAGTTTCCTAATACCTCCCATAGTTAAAAGCCAAAACAGTCAATAACTGAAATTACTATCAACCTCAAAATCGACGAAGATAAGTTGGTTTCTGTTCAGAAAAGGTTCCAGTTGGGTTCCTGGGTGCTCATTCTTGGTGGTATTTGGGTGACAGTTGTATGGAATCTGAGGCTAAGTTATACATTAAGGGACATCTTGAATTTTGCAGCTAATTGAACCTCCAAGGAGTTCAGATGGGTAGAAGCCACTCTCCAAACTGAGATGAGAACATTTGTGGCAACAAAAACGCTTAATGGAACATCACGCAATTTTAGATCTCCTCTATGCCCATCTTGGAGGCTTGTGTATGGTGCTGAAGAAAACCAAATATTGCTCTTATCTTTCCAGTGAATTCACTAGTGCAGATAACTTAATTTAAAATGCGGCTGACACTGCTGTTTCTCTAGACACTGCCACAAATACACTAAGGACATTTCTCAGGGGAAAGAAACAGATATGTGTTTACAGGTGCAGCTAGCAGTTGGTTTGCAAGCATCCTGAATGGTGATGGTAAGTGATATGGTTTGGCTCTGTGTCCTCACCCAAATCTCATCTTGAATTGTAATCCCCAGGTGTGGAGGGAAGGACCTAGTAGGAGGTAACTGGATCCTGGGGGCGGTTTCCCCCATGCTGTTCTTGTGATAGTGAGTGAGTTCTCACAAGATCTGATGGTTTTATAAGAGGCTCTTCCCCCTTGGCTCTCTCTCTTTTTCCTGCCACCTTGTGAAGAAGGTACTTGCTTCTCCTTCACCTTCCATCATGATTGTAAGTTTCCTGCTTCTCATTCACCTTTTGCCATGAATTGTATTTTCCTGGGGCCTCCCCAGCCATGTGGAACTGTGAGTCAGTTACATCCCTTTTGTTTATAAATTACCCAGTCTCAGGTATGTCTTTATAACAGTGTGAGAATGGACTAACACAGCAAGCCTGGCTATCCCAAACTTTTCTACTCTTAATGTTTCTTCTAGTGGGTCTCCAGGATACTATATGTTACCAGGCCAACTACAAATGAATGTCTCTATAAATCAAGTTATTTTATAGCAAGCTCTGGTCCTTAATTACCATCATGCCCTGAACAAAATCTATGACCAATTGGACTCTAATACTATTGAACTATCTTTATTGTCTGAACTTCGAATTATTCGATTTTGATCAGTTTGGTTCATGGACACACTCAAGTTAAAAGAGACTATTAACAGCCTTTCTTCTCTCTGTGGACAGTGGACCTTATCTATACCCCCAAGTCCACATTCCTCAAAGTTTATTACAGGCCCAGTGACTTCATTTTCTTCGTATTACCCTCCTGAGAGCCATCATAACAGTCTCCCTGATGTGTTGTATTTTCTCAAGAGTCTTGGCCGGGTGCGGTGGCTCACACATGTAATCCTAGCACTTTGGGAGGCCGAGGCAGGTGGATTGCTTGAGCCCAGGAGTTTAAGACCAGTCTGGGCAACATGGCAAAACCCTGTCTCTACAAAAAATACAAAAATTAGCTGGGCGTGGTGGCATGCACCTGTAGTTCCAGCTACTTGGGGGGCTGAGGCAGGAGGATCACTTGAGCCTTGGGAGGTCAAGGCTGCAGTGAGACGTGATCATGCCACAGCACTTCAGCCTGGCTGACAGAGTGAGGCCCTGTCTCAGAAAAAAAAAGAGTCTTAAATGCTCATATGCAGCCATTCTTTGTACATCCAGTGGGCTCATTACAGTGGGAACAACAAAAACATGAAGAAAAGGTAAAGAATCACTCAACTACGTTGACATTGTCCATTGTGAATTCCATACTGAGAGCAGACAAGTCCATTATGATGGTGACAGAAGTAATGTTGATGCCCAAGGTTTTGGTCAATCTCAAAATTTTGAGGCTGACCAAAAGGGGAGAATTGTTTAATTAAATTAAATTTGACCTAAAGCTCTCTCTGTAGAGTGAACTGCAACCTAACTTGGGAGTATATTCTTTTTTTTTTTTTTTTTTTTGAGAAGGAGTCTCACTCTGTCACCCAGGATGGAGTGCAGTGGTAAGATTTTGGCTCACTGCAACCTCTGCCTCCTGGATTCAAGTGATTCTCCTTCCTCAGCCTCCTGGGTAGCTGAGATTACAGGCACGCATCACTATGCCCAGCTAATATTTGTATTTTTAGTAGAGACAAGGTTTCACCATGTTGGCCAGGCTGGTCTCGAACTCCTGACCTCAGGTGATCCACCACCTCGGCCTCCAAAAGCACTGGGATTACAGGCATGAGCCACTGCACCTGGCCCAAATGAATATATTCTTGTGACAAGTAGCCAAGTGTTGGCTAATCAGAGCAGCTGGGCTTTCAGTCCACACAGGCTGCAAACTGCTCAGATTGTGACCAAGTAAGGCAAGCTGTGATCTGTGGCCAATCAGGCTGTTTCTGTATGTCACCTCCTTTTTCTGCCTGTAAATACCACTTGACCATACTGCCGTGTGGTGTCTTTCCTGGTTTAGGGAGCTGTCCAACTCATGAGTCACTTCTTTGCTCAAATAAACTCTGCTAAATTTAATTTGATGCTTTTCTCCTAATAATACCACCCATCATGCTTCACCATGCTCCGTACTCACCAACCATGCCCGTGCCACCCCTGACTCTGGAAGTCTGCCTCATTCTGTTTGGTGAAGCTTCCCCAAGTACCAAGGCAAGAAGCAGCTCACCCTCAGACCCCATTCGTCTGTGTCTTACCCTCAGAAAGGATTTGAGTAGGCCTCTTCTATCCATCTGCAGAAGGTTTCCCAAAAGGGGCAGAGGGCGGGGCCCTGGTGGGAGGCGGTCATGGGTGTTAGGGTGGCGCTGAACCAGGAGTAGCAAGAGTCCTGTGAGGAGTGCAAGGAAGAGGAGGACGCTGAGTTCCATGGTCCTGGTCTGACTGCCCTGCACCCTGCTGCAGCCTCCAACTGGGCCTTTTATCCTGACCCTGCCTCTGCACCCTGTTATAAAATTTCATCCATTCCCCACCTCCTTTTTCATCATCATCCAGGAGCATTAGCTTAGAAAAAGTTGTTAGGGAACCCAGACTTCCTGCTTGGGCAACCCAGTGACCTGATGCCTATCCCTTTACCCACTCTGTAGATATTGGCAGGGATACAGTGGTAGAGATATCAAAGTCCAGGTGAGCAAGTGAATGTGTGGGTGTGTGGGTTTGTGGGTATATGTATGTCTATTTTTGTAAGCATAGGTGAGCTTGCACTTTTTTACTTAGCTTTGTCTGTTTGTCTGTGCTTGCATGCATTTGTCCATGCCTGCTTGCATCCCTGTATGTGCTTATATGATTTTTACATGTAAAGGGGTGTTTGAATTTATGCAAATGTACTGGCGTATATTTCTGTGGTTGAATCTGGGGGTGCTTATGTGTGTATCCTTGCATGTGTATGAGCTTCCTTGTATTTATACAGTTTTATATACGAAAGTGCATTTACATTTGTGTGTTGTGGAGGTGGTGGTAGTGCATGTTCAAAACTGAGAGGCTGGCTGGGTGCGGTGGCTCACACCTGTAATCCCAGCACGTTGGGAAGCTGAGGGGGGCAGATCAATTGAGGTCAAGAGTTCGAGACCATCCTGGCCCACATGGCAAAACCCCATCTGTACTAAAAACACAAAAATTAACCGGGCGTGATGGTGGGTACTTTTAATCCCAGCTACTCGGGAGGCTGAGGCAAGAGAATCACTTGAACCTGGGAGGTGGAGGCTGCAGTGAGCCAAGATTACACCACTGCACTCCAGCCTGGGTGACACAGCAATACTCCATCTCAAAAAAAAAAAAAAAAAAAAAAAAAGGAGAAGCTGATGAAAATAAGGAATTATTCAATTCAATCAAATTTGGCCTACTGCCTTTGTAGCATAGCAAACTGTAACCTAGCAATACATGAACCAATTGTGTGTATCTGTGTGTGCTGGTGTATTTGTGCTGGTGTGTTGGTGGATCTCCTAGCCCCTCTCTTTGGAAGCCTGCAGATGCTGAGTCTATCTCCAGTGTCCCCTCCTTCATCCGCCCTTCTGTGACAGCCACAGGTGGAAGTGGTCGGAGAAACAGAAGGAGGAGCAAGAGATGCAGAACTGGTGAGTCTCAGAGGAAGAGGTGGTCAGTTGGAAGGAGACAGAAACTGAGACCTGGCAGGTACAGCGATCAGGTCCTCTTGGTTTCTGATCACTCTAACTAGTGCTAAGGAGTTTCTTCCCTGCCTCTGACTATCTTCACGGTGCAGGAAATTTCTCTGGCTCTCTCTCTGTCTGACTTTGTGTCTCTGTTTTCCCCCTGGAGACTCTTGAGCTCCAGGTGTGTGCAAACTGAGTCCAGTTTGATTGATGTCTACTGGACTCCCATATGTCTCTATCCTCACTGTGCACCTTCACCCACACATCCTCTGACAGGGTCAGTCCATCTTTGCAAAACGTGGGTGTGAATGTGTGCGTGTCTGCCTGTCTCATCCTACGCCTGACTTTTGACCATGAGGCAACATCTTTCTTGCAATGTTAAGCAAACCCTTTGCTGGATCCAGGACCTGAACCCGAAGTTACTTTGACCCAGGAGGAGCAGACAAACAGTCCTATTTGTAAGAGGTGGAAACTGTACTTTCCTGACCCTGAAGAGGTGGCAGCATGGACTTTCCTGAACCAAGGGCCTCGGTCTTGCTGTGCTGTGTCATCTGACACTAAGATTGGGTGCTCATTGCAGCCCCAGGGTGAAGCACCGATGGGGAGGCGTGAAGTGCTTTACACACAGTAACTCAGTCTTTACACTCTTAGTGAGGTATTGTTGCCATCCCCATTTTATAGATGGAGATATTGAAGCAATGACAGTTTGCAAGTCTTACCCAAGGTCATACAGTGGGTTGGGGCTACATTGTCCAATGTGATAGTCACTTGCTGCATGTGGCCACTAATTAAGTACTTGAAATGTGGTCCAAATGCTATTTACAATAGCAAAAATAGGGAATCAACAGATGAATGGTTAAATAAAATGTGGTATATATACACCATTGAATACTATTTAGCCATAAAAAGGAATAAAATAATGTCTTTTATAGCAACATGGATACAACTGGAGGGGATTATCTTAAGTGAAACAAGCCAGGCACAGAAAGTGAATATCACATGTTCTCATTCATAAGTGGGTGCTAAACAATGTGTACACATGGACATAGAGAGTGGCATTATCAGGGGAAATTCAGCCAGATATCGGGCAAAATTCACCCCCAATATTCCACGTAGGTTCTTTTCTGTTCTCCCTAAGTGTCGGCCAGCCTGAGAAATAAAGGGACAGAGCACAAAAGAGAGAAATTTTAAAGCTGGGGGTCCGGGGGAGACATCACATGTCGGCAGGTTCCATGATGCCCCCTGAGCCGTAAAACCAGAAAGTTTTTATTAGTGATTTTCAAAAGGGGAGGGAGTGTACGAATAGGGTGTAGGTCACAGAGATCACATGCTTCACAAGGTAATAAGATATAACAAGGCAAATGGAGGCAGGGCGAGATCACAGGACCACAGGACCGGGGTGAAATTAAAATTGCAATGAAGTTTCGGGCAAGCATTGTCATTGATAACATCTTATCAGGAGACAAGGTTTGAGAGCAGACAACCGGTCTGACCAAAATTTATTAGGCAGGAATTTCCTCATGGATCCTTTGCTCGATTGATCCTTTTATCATTATGTATTGACCTTCTTTGTCTCTTTTTACAGTTTTTGACTTAAAGTCTGTTTCCTTTATAAACATAGGTATTGCTGCTCACTTTTGGTTTTTATTTGCATGGAATATCTTTTCTCATTTCTTTACTTTCACTATATATGTCTTTCCTGGTGAGATGTGTTTCTTGTAGGCAGCATATAGCTGGGTCATGCTTTTTAAATCCATTCAGCCAGTCTCTTTCTTTTAAGTGGAAAGTTTAATCCATTTAATTCAAGGTTATTATTGATATGTGAGAGCTTAATCCTGTCATATTATTAGTTGGCTTCTTTATGTATGTATATCCTTTCTTCCTTTCTTTTTCTCTTATTGTTTATCATTGTAGTTTTGAGAGACAGGACTAGCTGGATTTCCAGATCTGTTACTATCCGAGGGGTCCTAGGACAAGCAGTCACTAGTTACTTCGCCCAGCCACTAAGTTGTAACTGGGGGACTTTACTCTTTTCACATGCCTTTCTAATTATGCCTGAAAGCCCCACTCCTTTGTTAGGGAGAGACATCCTAGCAAAAGCAGGGGCCATGATACACTAGAATTAGGAGAAGGGAAAAGGGTAAATATATATAAACACTCTAATTATGCTTACCTTCTCCTCCATGCCTACACAAAAATATGGTGAGAAATGGAATTCCTAACTTCTGAGGGAACACCTATTAAACATCAGGAAGCCATTATGAGTTATTATGGGCTGTACGGAAACCTAAAGAGGTGGCCATCTTACACTGCTGGGGTCATCAGAAAGGAAAGGAAAGGGAAATAGAAGGGAACCACCAAGCAGATATTGAAGCCAAAGAGCCACAAGGCGGGACCCTCCATTAGAAATGCTTATAGAAGGAACCCTAGTATGGGGTAATCCCCTCCAGGAAACCAAGCCCCAGTGCTCAGCAGAAGAAATAGAATGGGGTACCTCACAAGGACATAGTTCCCTCCCCTCAGGATGTCTAGCCACCAAAGAAGGAAAAATACTTTTGCCTGCAGCTAACCAATGGAAATTACTTAAAACCCTTCACCAAACCTTTCATTTAGGCGTTGATAGCACCCATCCAATGGCCAAATCATTATTTGCTGGACCAGGCCTTTTCAAAACTATCAAGCAGGTAGTCAGGGCCTGTGAAGTGTGCCAAAGAAATAATCCCCTGCACTTCAGGCCAGACATTTCAATCCCTGTGTCTTTAACCTCCTTGTTAAGTTTGTCTCTTCCAGAATTGAAGCTGTAAAACTACAAATAGTTCTTCAAACGGAGCCCCAGGTGCAGTCCATGGCTAAGATCTACGGCAGACCCCTGGATCTGCCTCCTAGCCCATGCTCCAATGTTGATGACATCAAAGACATCCCTCCTGAGGAAATCTCAACTGCATGACCCCTATTATGCCCCCATTCAGCAGAAAGAAGTTAGTACAGTTGTTGGCCAACCTCCCCAACAGCACTTGGGTTTTCCTGTTGAGAGGGGGTACTGAGAGACAGGACTAGCTGGATTTCCTAGGCCGACTAAGAGTTCCTAAGCCTAGCTGGGGAAGGTGACTGCACCCACCTTTAAACAAAGGTCTTGTAACTCAGCTCACACCTGACCAATCAGGTAGTAAAGAGGGCTCACTAAAATACCAATTAGGCTAAAAGTAGGAGGTAAAGAAATAGTCAAATCATCTATCATCTGAGAGCACAGGGAGAGGGACAATGATTGGGATATAAACCCCAGGCATTGGAGCCAGGGGTGGGCAACCCCCTTTGGGTCCCCTCTCTTTGTATTGGAGCTCTGTTTTCACTCTATTAAATCTTGCCAATGCACACTCTTCTGGTCCATGTTTGTTCCAGCTTGAGCTGAGCTTTTGCTCGCTGTCCACCACTGCTGAATGCCGCCTGCCGATGTGCCACTGACTTCCACCCCTCCAGATCCAGCATGGTGTCCGCTGCACTCCTGACCCAGCAAGGCACCCATTGCTGCTCCCAATCAGGCTAAAGGCTCACCACTGTTCTTCCATGGCTAAGTGCCTGGGTTTGTTCTAATCGAGCTGAACACTAGTCACTGGGTTCCACGGTTCTCTTCCATGACCCATGGCTTCTAATAGAGCTATAACACTCACTGCATGGCCCAGGGTTCAATTCCTTGGAATCCATGAGGCCAAGAACCCCAGCTCAGAGAACAAAAGGCTTGCTGCCATCTTGGAAGTGGCCTGCCCCATCTGGGAGCGGCCCATCACCATCTTGGGAGCTCTAAAAAGAAAGACCCTCCTGTAACAGTTTGGTGGGTTTTTTGTTGTTGTTGTGCTTCCATTTGAGTCTATTCTCTTCCTCATTTGTGTGTTTTCTCTACCAATGGGTTTTATATTTTGTGTGCTTCCTTATGGTAGATATCCTCCTTTTGCTTCTATGTGTAAGATCCCTTTAAGCATTTCTTGTAGGTATGGTTTAGTGATGATAAATTTACTCAGCTTTTATTTGTTTGGGAAAGACTTTATTTCCTTTTCATTTACAAAGTATAACTTTTCTGGGTACAGTATCTTGCAGATAGTTTTTTTCTATCAGTGGACACCATGCTGGATCCGGACGGGTGGAAGTCAGTGGCACGTCTGCAGGCGGCATTCAGCAGTGGTGGAGAGCGAGCGAAAACTCAGCTCAATGAATATATGATCCCATTTTCTCCTGGCTTGTAAGGTTTCTGCTTGCAAATCCACTGTTGATGGGCTCCTTTATAGATGGCTAAATGCTTTTTTCTCACTGTTTTTAGAATTTGCTCTTAATCTTTGACTTTAAGCAATCTGAATACAATGTGCCATGGAGAAGAACATTTTGCATTGTAACTACCTAGGGGTCTCTGAACTTCGTATATCTAGATATCTAAATCTCTTGATAGATTTTAGAAGAATTTAGCTATTATTTCATTAAACAGGTTTTCTATCCCTTTTGTTTCCTTTTTGCCTTCTGGGATAGTCAAAATTTGAATAGTTGGTTGCTTTCTTATGTTTTATATATCAGATATGCTTTGCTTATTGTTTCTTATTTTTTTATTTTTTTCTGGACTGAGTTATTTCAAAAGACCTGTCTTCAGGTTATGTAGTTGTTAATTTTTTTTTATCTAGTGTATCATTGAAGCTTTTGAATTTGTTTTGTATTTAATTCAATGAATTCTTCAGTTCCAGAATTTGTTTGGATCTTTTTTTCTATGATAGTGATCTGTTTGGTAAATTTCTCATTCATATTCTGAATTTTCTGACATTTTTGTATTTTTTTTACTTCTCTTGTGTTTCACTGAGCTTTTTAAATATCACTCTTTTGAATTTTAAGGCATTTTATGGATTTCTTCTTCCTCTTCTTCTTTTTTTTTTTTTTTTTTGAGATGGAGTCTCCCTCTGTAGCCTAGGCTGGAGTGCAGTGGTGCGATCTCAGCTCACTGCAAACTCCACCTCCCAGGTTCAAGCAATTCTTATGCTTCAGCCTCCCAAGTAACTGGGATTACAGGTGTGTGCCACCACTCCTGGCGAATTTTGTATTTTTAGTAGAGGTGGGGTTTCACCATGTTGGGCATGTTGGTCTCGAACTCCTGACCTCAAGTGATCCACCTGCCTTGGCCTCCCAAAGTGCTGGTATTACAAGTATTAGATACCGCACCTGGCCTAGATTAATTTTTTTTAGAATCTCTTGCTGGAGAATTATTGTGTTCCTTTGGGGGTGTCATGTTTTCTTGCTTTTGCATGTTTCTTGTGTCTTTACATTGATATCTGTGCATTTGGGATCATGGTTGCTTCTTTTAATTTTTTGAATCTGCTTTCATAGGGGAGGACATTTTCCCTGAAGTTGTACCTATGGTGTTGGTTGGGTTGGGCACTTTGACTTTGACTCTGAGTGCACGCATTAGTGTGGTTCCCATACGATTTCTTCCTCTGTAAACAGTGTCAGTAGTGTCTGTGATTTCCCCATTGGCTTAGGGTGTGGTTGTTAGTGGAAGCCGTGGTAAAGTTGTTCTGAGATGGGGACATTAGGTGCGCCAAGGGGTGGCAGCAGCATGGTGAGTATGCCTGTCCTTGGGTCTGAGGGTAGCATACACTGGCAATGGTGTTAGTGGATCTAGGTGGGCCAATTCTTGGGCCTCCAGGTGACTTTCTCAGGTTCTGACAGTGGAATGGTGGGCTGGGCTGGTAGGTGGGACCTCAGGCCCCTGCGTGGTGGACATGGCATGAACAGTAGCTGTGGCAGGATAATCCTCTAGCTCCAAAATGGTCCATGCTTTTGTGGTTGGTGGTATAATGGGCTGGATAGGCCAGTCACCAGGCCTGCTGGTGGCACATGCAGGTGGGTGCCAGCCATGGTGGTAGCGGCAGGTTGGGTGGGCCCACCTCCTCCCTGGGAGGAGTACTCAGGTGCCGAGTACTTTGGTACTTTGATACTCAGCTGCCAAAGGTGTTGGATGGAGCAGGATGATACCTAGTCCCCCGTATGACATGTTTGGGCACTAGAGGGGTGGAGCTGGATCAGGTGGGCCTGTCCTCAGACCCCTCAATTGTGTGTGGGCACTGACTGAGGTAGGCAGGAGGGGCTAATGCCCGGGTCTTCAGCAGATGCTCAGCGGGGTCTCTTGAGGAGAGCAGGGTTGCTTTCAGTGGCTGTGGAGCATTGCTTCACCCCCAGGTGGGAGTCATAAACCACTTAGCAATTTTCAAATTTAGCAAATTTCAAGTAATTGCTTTTCAATTAATGTATAGTTAACACAATCCATTGTTATTAACTATAGTCACCCATTTATGTAATAGATCTCCTGAACTTATTCCTCCTAACTGACATTTTGTATCCTTTGATCAACATCTCCTCACCCTCTCCACCAACTCCTGGTAACCCCCATTCTACTCTTTGCTTTTGTGAGTTAAACTTTTTTATACTCCACTTAAAAGTGAGATCATGCAGTATATATCTTTCTGAGCCTGACTTATTTCACTTAATGTAACATGGTCCAGGTTCACCCCTGGTGTTGCAAAGGACAGGATTTTCTTCTTTCTTAAGGCTAAATAATATTTGTGTGTGTGTGTGTGTGTGTGTGTGTGTGTGTGTACATGCATGCATAGCACATTTTCTTTATCCATTCATTCATCTGTTGATAGACACTTAGGTTGATTGTATATATTGGCTGTGTGAGTATGCTACAATAAACATGGGGTGCAGATAGCTCACAGAGGAACTTTACAGTAACTAAACGTTCTTTAAGAAGAAGAAAGATCTCAAATCAATGCAACCCCCCTCTCTTCCCATTGCCCCCTACCTCTTCCCCACCCTCTTCTATCCCCTTCTGTGTCTCTGTTTCTCTAGAATCTGAGATCCAGAAGCACAGATACTGGGTCCAGTTTGATTGATGTCCCCTAGGCTTGGGTCTGTCTCCATCACTGCTGTGAGCCTGTCCCCTCCCTGCCCCTGGCAGGGGTCAGTCCCTAATCACCCAACATGTGAATGAATGTGTCCACATCTGCTGTCTCTGCCTGCTGCTTTTTTTCTCATTTAAAATGGGAAATCTGCATCTTGCTTGCATAGCTAAACAAACCACTTGCCGCCACTGAAGATGCTGATTCAGGGAATGGAGGTGGCTGAGTCACCCCACATCCATGTGGATTAGACACAGGCAATGCATTATCTGAGGCTGAAAGTCAAAGCTGCCAGGAGCAGCTGCACCCCATACTTCCCCAACCCACGAGGAGAGGACCAACAAAGTACAACCCACACTTTCCTGACCTAGGAAAGATGCCACCATGGACTTTCCTGACCCCAGGACCTGTCTCCTGCTGTGTTGTGCAATCTGGCACAGTCTTTATAGCAACACAAGTATGGCCTAATACGGGTACTCTGGGTCCTCATTCCACCCTTGGGGAGCACTGATAAGGAGGCATGAAGTGCTTTCAATAGAGTAATTCACTTAGTTGTCACCCTTTGATGTAGTAATTGTTTTCACCCCCATTTTGTGGATGGAGAAAGTGAAACACAGAGGGGTTGAGACTTCTCCCAATGTCACGCAGCAGGCTAAAGGTAGAATCAGTTGTCAAACCCAGAAAGTTTGGTTCTACAGCCTACTGTTTTAATCACTACCCCATGATGCCTCTCTCAGCAGAATGTGGAGACAGAGAGAGATAGTAAAGAGTAGGAGGCAGAGAGAAAGAGAGAGAGTGTGAGAGGCAGAGGAAGAGAATAAGTTCTGGAGAAAAGGGATTCTGCAGGTAAATAGCAAGGGAGAAACTGGGTTAAATGACAGGAAGCCAATTTCTCACCTGCAGGACTTCTCAGGGTCTTTAGAATGTTTATGTGCCTTTAAAATAACATCAAGAGGGGAGGGGGCTGACAGCAGCTGTGCGGACTATTTGGCTTCTCAGCTTTTTCTTTTCCATCACAGCACTCGTCACTATTTCTCAGGTCCAAGGCTCTGAGGGGCACACTCTGGGAAGTCAGAATAAAGGACTAATTTGAGTCAGACATACCTGAGTTCAAATCCCAGCTTTGTCATTCATTTGTTGTGCTAAAGATGCTCAGGCAAGTGCAAGCTCAGCTTGGAGCCTAAAGTTTCCTTATCTGGAAAATATGGATACCTAGTGATATTGTTTGGCTGTGTCTCCACCCAATTCTCATTTCAAACTGTATTTCCCATAATCCCCACACGTTGTGGGAAGGACACTGTGGGAGATGATTGACTCATGGGGACGGGTTTTCCCGTGATGTTCTTCTGATAGTGAATAAGTCTCATGAGGTCTGATGGTTTTATAAAAGGAAGTTTCCCTTGCTTGCCTGCTGCTCTCTCTTGCCTGCTGCTATATAAGACGTGCCTTTGCTACTTCTTTGCCATCCACCATGATTGTGAGGCCTCTCCAGCCATGTGGAAATATGAGTCCATTAAACCTCTTTTTGTCTATAAATTACCCAGTCTCAAGTACGTCTTCATTAGCAGCATGAGAATGGATTAACACAGTAAATTGGTACTGGGAGTGGGACACTGCTCTAAAGATACCCAAAAATGTGGAAGCTACTTTGGAACTGAGTAACAGGCAGAGGTTGGAACAGTTTGGAAGACTCAGAAGAAAACAGGAAAATGTGGGAAAGTTTGGAACTTCCTAGAGACTTGTTGAATGGCTTTGGCCAAAATGTTGATAGTGATATGAACAATAACGTCCAGGCTGAGGTGGTTTCAGATGGAGAAGGGAAACTTGTTGGGAACTGCACTAAAGGCCACTGTTGCTATGCCAAGAGACTGGTGGCATATTGCCCCTGCCCAAAAGATCAGTGGAACTTTGAACTTGATACAAATGATTTAGGGTATTTGGCAGAAGAAATTTCTAAGCAGCAAAGCATTCAAGAGGAAGCAGAGCATAAAAGTTTGGAAAATTTGCAGCCTGAAGATGCAAGAGAAAACCCCAATTCCTGGGGAGAAATTCAAGCCAGCTGCAGAAATTTGCATAAGTAACCAGGAGCAGAATGTTAATCACCAAGACAATGGGGAAAATGTCTCCAGGGATCCCCTGCTATGTGCAGCCTTGGGACTTGGTACCCTGCCTCCCAGCCACTCCAGCCTTGACTAAAGCTGGCCAAGTGTTTGCTTCAGAGGGTGCAAGCCCCAAGCCTTCAAAACTTCCACGTGGTGTTGGGACTGTGGTGCACAGGAGACAAGAACTGAGGTTTGGGAACCTCCACCTAGATTTCAGAGGATGTATGGAAACACCAGGATGTCCAGGAAGAGGTCTGCTAAGGGAGCAGAGTCCTCATGGAGAACTTTGCTAGAGAAGTGAAGAAAGGAAATGTGGGGTTGGAGCCCCCACACAGAGCCTCTGCTGGGGCACTGCTTAGTGGAGCTGTGGGAAGAGGGCCACCGTCGTCCAGACCCCAGAATAGTAGATCCAACAACTTGCACTGTGCACCTGGAAAAGCCACAGACACAAAATGCCAGCCCGTGAGGGCAGCCAGGAGCGGGGCTGTACTCTGCAAGCCACAGGGGCAGAGCTGCCTGACGTCATGGGAACACACCTCTTGCAACAGTGTGACCCGCATGTAAGACATGGTGTCAAAGGAGATCATTTTGGAGCTTTAAGATTTGACTGCCCTGCTGGACTTTGGACCTGCATGGGGCCTATAGCCCCTTCATTTTGGCCAATTTCTCTTTTTGGAATGGGTGTATTTACCCAGTGGCAGTACCTCCATTGTATCTAGGAAATAATTAACTTGTTTTTAATTTTACAGGTTTATAGGCATAAGCGACTTGCCTTGTACCAGATGAGACTTTGAACTGTGGACTTCTGAGTTAATGCTGAAATGAGTTAAGGCCTTGAGGGAGTGTTGGGAAGGCATGATTTATTTTGAAATGTGAGGACATGAGATTTAGGAGGGGTCGGGGTGGAATGATATGGTTTGGCTGTGTCCCCACCCAAATCTCATTTTGAAATGTAATTCCCGTAATCCCCACATGTCATGGGAGGGACCCAGTGGGAAGTAATTGAATCATGGGAGTGAATTTTCCCATGCTGTTTCGTGATAGTGAATAAGTCTCACGAGATCTGATGGTTTTACAAAGGGCAGTTTTCCCTGCACACACTCTGTCTCTTGCCTGCCTCCATGTAAGATGTGTCTTTGCTCCTCCTTTGCCTTCTGTCATGATTGTTAGGCTTCCCCAGCCATGTGGAACTGTGAGTCCATTAAACCTCTTTTTCTTTATAAATTACCCAGTGTCAAGTATGTGTTCATTGGCAGCATGAGAATGAACTAATACACCTACCCTATAGAGTCATTGTGAGGATGGAAATGAGACTCAATATGCCATGGGGAGGACACACTGTAAGTGTTTGAGGAATGTGTAATTGGCACAGGGAGAGATATAGACATTCATAGAGAGGTGGAGGGAGCTAGAGACAGGTCCAGGGAGCTAAACATGGGCTGGGGGAGCTACTGATGGGCTGCCACAGCTAAAGTACTCCACTCCAGCCTGGACAACACCCCAGCCTGGGCAACAGAGTGAGACTCCATCTTAAAAAAAAAAAAAAAAAAAAAAAACTAGCAATAAAAGAGCCCTGTATCCCTAGACATTTCTCTGTGTATCTCTCTCACACCCTTCTTGAGAAGGACATAAACTCTGTGGACAAAGCAGGTGGGGACCCTTAATCTCCTGAGGAATTCTTCTGAACTGCGTTCTTTTTTTTTTTTTTTTTTTGAGATGGAGTCTCGCTCTGTCACCCAGGCTGGAGTGCAATGGAGGCATCTTGGCTCACTGCAACCTCCACCTCCCGGGTTCCAGTGATTCTCCTGCCTCAGCCTCCTGAGTAGCTGGGATTACAGGCAAGCACCAGCACACCCAGCTAATTTTTGTATTTTCAGTAAAGACAGGGTTTCACCACGTTGGCCAGGCTGCTCTCGAACTCCTGACCTCAGATGATCCACCCACTTCGGTGACCTGTGTTCTAATATCACCCCCACTCCATGCACTCCTGTGGCCAAGGCAAGGGCCTCCACCTGGACAGCCCTGGAATACCTCAGGTACTTATCTGTGCCCTGTAAAGAGGAATGCAGTGTTCAAATCCTACCCTTGCCTGTACAGTCCTAATGAAGACATTTCCCCTATTTCCCCTCACTGAGCCTCCGTTTCTCATCTGTAAAATGAGAATGGAGTGGCCATGCAAAGGAGAATAGATCTGAAGTAACTGTTCTACCTGAATTCTGGAACAGCCGCTAGTGATGTGAAGTTCAGCAAATGTCTTCACTCCTCTGTGCCTCTGTTTCCTTATCTATAAAATGGTGATGCAGCCAGGCACAGTGGCTCATGCCTGTAATCCCAGCACTTTGGGAGGCTGAGGCAGGAGGATCGATTGAACCCAAGAGTTTGAGACAAGCCTGGGCAACACAGTGAGACCCCTTCTCTACAAAAAAATTTAAAAATTATCCAGGCTTAGTGGCACACACCTGTAGTCCTAGTCAGGAGGCTGAGGTGGGAGGATCACTTGAGCCCAGGAAGTCAAGGCTGTGGTGAGCTGTGATCATGCCACTGCACTCCAGCCTGGGTGATAGAGTGAGACACTGTCTCAAAAATAAATTAAAAAAATAAAATGGGGCTGAGAATAGCACTCCTCCACAGGGTTTTTTGGGGGCTTTGATGGGGGCAGGTTTTGTGACAGAGTCTCACTGTGTTGCCCAGGCTGGAGTTCAGTGGTGTGATTTTGGCTCATTGCAACCTCTGCCTCCTGGGTTCATGCGATTCTCCTGCCTCAGCCTCCTGAGTAGCTGGGATTACAGGCGCACGCCACCACACCCAGCTAATTTTTATATTTTTAATAGAGATGGGGTTTCACCATGTCGGCCAGGCTGGTCCTGAACTCCTGCCCTCATGTGATTTTCCCGCCTCGGCCTCCCAAAATGCTGGGATTACAGGTGTGAGGAACCGTCCATGGCCCACAGTGTTGTTTTGAAGACTCAGTGAGGACATGTGTGTACTAGACCTGGTACACAAGAGTTGGTCAAATACATTTACTGCTCCCCACCCTTCTAATAAACCAAATGCAGCTGTGGGATGGTAGGGGGAGCACTGGGATAACTAAGCAGGGAGGGGATCCTGGGGCTCCAGGGATGGGCAGAGGACTCAGATGCTCAGATCTGATATGGAGCCCCGTGACTGAACCCCACTGAGGTTTTGGGTTCTTTAATACAACAGTGAACCTTTCAATGACTATGACACCCAGGAGCCATCCTAGCCTAGCCCTTGGACTCCATCTGGTGCCAGAATGGCCCAGGGCTTGGATATCTCAAAATATCAGCTGACAACAGGTCAGTAAATATTCTGAGAAAATGAAAAATGGACAACCTGAACCCCAAGCCTTGCTTCCGCCTGAACGCTGACCCAGACCTCGGTCACATTCTGAGACCAGATCCTGGTCACTCAGTGAGCACTGGACCTGGACCACCCATCCAAGCTACTGACTCCACGCTGATCCTGGCCACAGCCTGAGCCATGAAAGGCACCTCAGGGAGGAGGAACAGCAAGAGGAAAGGGCAGGAGGCTTGGAACTGTGTTGTGTTTGGCTAGAGGTAACAAGAGAAAAAGTTTAGCCCAGAGGGTCCATCGGGGGAAATTTTGGGACATGGACCATGAGAGGTCCTTTGGATTCTTAGAAAAATCTCTGAATGTCCCACTGAGGAGTTTTGACTTTTTCCTAGAGCCTTTGGAGCCATGGGAGATTTAAAGTAGGGTAAGTCACAGTCAAATTTGTGCTGTAGAAAAATCACTCTGAAGCCAGACACGGTGGCTAATGCCTGTAATCCCAGCCTGGGTGACATAGCAAGACCATGTCTCTACAAAAAATAAAAAAATTAGCTGGGGGTGGTAGCATGTGCCTGTAGCCCCACCTACTCAGGAGACTAAGCGGGGAGGATCGCTTGAGCCGAGGAGTTCGAAGCTGTAGTGAGCTGTGATTGCACCACTGCACTCCAGCCTGAGCAACAGAGTGAGACCCTGCCAAAGAAAAGAAAAGAGAGAAAGGAAAAGGAAGGAGGGAAGGAAGGAAGGAAGGAAGGAAGGAAGGAAGGAAGGAAGGAAGGAAGGAAGGAAGGAAAGTAGGAAGCAAGCTCTGGACCTTGAGGGGAATCCACAGAACTGGACCTGCTGACAGATGTTGGCTAAGTCACTGAAGGCTGGTGGGAACAAAGATATCTATCAGGGCATCTGCAGGAAAACAGCCTGAAAAATGTCTATATTAATTAAGGTAAAGGCCAGGTTGTTGTAACCAACAGATCCCATAATGCAGTCACTGAAATAAAATACAAGTTTCTTTCTCTATTTTGTGTCCCTCTTGAAGTAGACAGTTAGTCCAGCATGGCAAGGTGGCTCCCCTCCTTGTGGTCAATCATGGACCCAGATTCCTTCAAACTCGTTGCTCTGCTATAGTTCAGTGGTTCTCAAAGTGCAGCCTCCAGACCTGCAGCATCAGCATCACCTTGGAACTTTTTTTTTTTAGACAGACAGACAGGGTCTTGCTCTGTCACCCATGCTGCAATGCAGTCGTGCAATATCAGCTCACTCCAGCCTCGACCTCCTGCACCCAAGCAATCCTACTGCCTTAGCCTCCCAAGTAGCCAGGACTATAGGCATACACCACACACTCAGCTATCTGAAACTTGTTAAAAACACGAATTCTTAGACCACACCCCAGACCTACTAAATCAGAAACCGAAAACCTGTGTTTCAACAAGGCCTGCAGGCAATTCTGAGGCATGTTCTCAGCAGAGCATCACTACCCTACAGTATTATCATAATCTGCATGGTCAAAGAGCAGAAGGTTTTGTATTTTTCCCCCTTTTTTCATTTCTTTTCTTTTCTTTTCTTTTTTTTTTTTTGAGATGGAACCTCATTCTGTCACCCAGGTTGGAGTGCAGTGGTGTGATCTTGGCTCACTGCAACCTCCCCACTTCAAGTAATTCTCATGTGTCAGCCTCCCGAGCAGCTGGGATTCCAGGTGCGCACCACCACACCTGGCTAATTTTTGTATTTTTAGTAGAAATGGGGTTTCACCATGTTGGCCAGGCTGGTCTTAAACTCCTGAACTCAGGTGATCCACCCACCGCAGCCTCCCAAAGTTCTGGGATTACAGGTGTGAGCCACCACACCTGGCCAGTTTTCTACTTCTTGAATCATCCACTCCAGTACAGAAGATGGAAGGGATGGAAGACCTCTAGCTGTTCAAAGACCTCAAGCCCAGAAGAAACTTGAATTTTGGGCACACAACATGGGTTACGAGGGTGAGGGAGTCCAGTCTAGCATAATGGTGAGTAATATGGGTTCTGGAGACAGGCTGCCTTATTTTAAATCCCAAATGTGTGACTTTCCACAAGTAACATCTCCTTGAGCCTCAGTTCCCTCTTCCATAATATGGAAATCATGACAGTATTATCTGTCTCATGATGTTGCTATGAGAATTCATGGTGTTATGTTCCTGATATATAACAAGCCCTCAAGTCTTAGTTTAATATTAGTCTTAATATTTTAAGGTTGATAGGAGTGTCTTTTTGTGCCAAGCCTTGCGTTAAAGGATTTCCTACAGTATCACACTGAATCCTCATGGTGTAGGCATCATGATTGCTGTATGTTATACAGAGATAGGTTTTGTTAAAATACTCATTTTCTAAAGGAGGGAACTGAAGGGCAGACTGGTGATGTCATTTATCAAAGGAAATAGAGATTGTAGGTGCTGGAACTGGAATTCTAACTCAGGTATGATTGACGTAGCCTCAAGTCTTCATCACCTCTCAAGAAAACCAGCTTTCTGCCTGGCATGGTGGCTCGTGCTTGTAATCCCAGCACTTTGAGAGGCTGAGGTGGGTGGATCACAGGAGGTCAGGAGTTCCAGACCAGGCTGGCTGACATGGTGAAACCCCATCTCTACTAAAAATACAAAAATTAGCCAGACGTGGTGGCGGGCGCCTGTAACCCCAGCTACCTGGGAGGCTGAGGCAGGAGAATCCTTTGAACCCTGGAGACGAAGTTTGCAGTGAGCTGAGACTGTGACACTGCACTCCAGCCTGGGCAACAGAGTGAGACTCTGTCTCAAAAAAAAAGAAAAAAAAGTAATGAAATGAAATGAATACAATGAGGCCTAGAGCTAATAAATGTCTCAGCTAGGCATGTAGTGAAATGTCTCGACTAGGCAGTGGCAGAGCAGGATTCAAATTCAGGGCTGTTGAGATGCACCCCCAGACTCTGAGCCTGAGTAACCTGTGGAGCTGGAGGAATACAGCGCCACCTGGTGGTAACTTGTCTGTGTCGCTTCTGGCCTGGAAGAACAGCAACTAACACAGCATTTGCTATGTGCCAGCCATTGTTCTAAGTGCTTTACTTAGATTTAATTTTTTCTTCTTCTTATTTTATTTTATTTATTTTTTTATTATGCTTTAAGTTCTAGGGTACATGCACAACGTGCAGGTTTGTTACATATGTATACATGTGCCATGTTGATGTGTTGCACCCATTAACTCGTCATTTATGTTAGGTATATCTCCTGATGCTATCCCTCCCCATTCTCCCACCCCACGACAGGCCCCGCTGTGTGATATTCCGCTCCCTGTGTCCAAATGTTCTCATTGTTCAATTCCCACCTATGAGTGAGAACTTGTGGTGTTTCGTTTTCTGTCCTTGTGATAGTTTGCTGAGAATGAGGGTTTCCATCTTCATCCATGTCCCTGCAAAGGACTTGAACTCATCATTTTTTATGGCTGCATAGTATTCCATGGTGTATATGTGCCACATTTTCTTAATCCAGTCTATCATTGATGGACATTTGAGTTGGTTCGAAGTATTTGCTATGGTGAATAGTGCCGCAATAAACATACATGTGAATGTGTCTTTATAGTAGCATGATTTATAATCCTTGGGTATATACCCAGTAATGGGATGGCTGGGTCAAATGGTATTTCTAGTTCTGGATCCTTGAAGATCCATGTACCCTAAAACTTAAAGTATAATAATAATAAACGTAAAATAATATGGGAAAGGAAAGTATTCCTTTCCTCCAGGGTAGGCAGCAACAAGGTGCCACCTTGGAAGCAGAGAGCAGAACTTACCAGACACCAATCCATCTGGTTCCTTGATCTTGGACTTCCCAACCTCCAGAACCATGAGAAATAAATTTCTAATCTTTATAACTTGCCCATCCTCAGGTATTTTGTTTTAGCAGCACTAACAGCACACACAGGGCATAGCCAAAAGCCCAGAGGACAGGATCAAAAACTATGGAGAAGTTTTCCTGGGCCCTGAAACCTAACCAAGGGGCTTCAGCTGGAGTTTTTCCATCTGGATTTCAAAAGTGCTTTGAGCTGGGCACTCCTTTTTATCTTCCATTTTCCCTCTCTTGAACTTGAATGTCTATAACTCTTATCCTATTGCCTGTCTCATCATTGTATATTGAGAACAGATAACTTGTTTCTTCACTGCTGAGGGTCCACAGATGTCGAGAAATTATACCTAGAAGTTTCATCCACACCGGATTTATATAACGAGATTTGGTACTTGTGAGCTGATTATATGCAGATAAGATTTTAATCTTTGAATTGATGTAATGGAACAAAACTCTTAGGAACCTCAGGGGAGGAATAATATATTTTGCATGTGAAAGGGACATGAATCTTTGAGGGTGGGAGGGTGGACCAAGGTAGGCAAAATTTCTAAAAATGGTTTCACAAGATATTTCACTGAAATATTTCAAGAAATTTCATATTTGGTGCAATAATCTTAAAAACCTATGAATATGATGATATATCACTCTCATATTATTTTATGTTGATAGATATTCTAATTACCGGGATCTGTGATCCTTACACTTTGTACACATGTATTGAAGCATCACACGGTACTCCATAAATATGTACAATTATAATGTGTCAATTAAAATAATAATAATAGTAATGACAATAATAATAATAAAGAAAGCCCAGGTTCTCTCTCCTTTGGTGCCTATGGAAGATTCAAACCACACAAGCTCCTGAACATGCAGGAGTACAGTAGGACTTTCACACCACCCTCAGCCCCTAGCCACCATAGAAATCAAGGGCCTGTCCCACTCTCCCTAGAGGCCTCAATTATGGGAGCAATAAAACTTTCCATGCCCTCTCATCGTGTGTGTGGCATCATCGGTTTTGACACCTGGTCCAAATTTTGGGTGGGTGTCCATCTGCTTCTGTGAGTGACCATAACAATTGACACTGTGAACAGAGCTGCTAGATTCTGACTACAATCACCAGGGGTCTTTCTTCTTTTGCTTTGGCTTGCTAACCTGCTAACCCACTCCACTACCTGATACCTAGCATGCATTTTCAGCTGCTGCCTTCTAGCCAGCCTGTGCCTTGACCTGTGCTGCCTTGTATTTCATTGTTGAGTCCTACTGAGCCTCCATTAAAGACTTAGTAAACCTTGGTCAGAAGTTTTGTTAATTAATTGGCATTAAAAGACAGGATGATGGGATTAAGACCCTCTTTAATATAGCCATGGATCATGTGTCTCAGCCTGGACTTATCTGTGTATCTTAGAATGCACCTGTGAATGATGCTAGGCTCAGGAAAAAGACTCTTCCTTTCCACCAACTGGTATGTGTCTCAACCAGGCATTGGGCCCCAATCTATAGAGCACTCAGGTGAACGACTCTATTTGGTGTAATATACGGGCCCACTGGATAGTCATTCAAGAAACAGCAATCTTTGGAGAGTGAGAAAGAGACAGCTGGGTGCAAGGGCTCACACCTGTAATCCCAGCAATTTGGGAGGCCGAGACGGGTTGATCAACTGAGGTCAGGAGTTCGAGATAAGCCTGGCCAACATGGTGAAACCCCGTCTCTACAAAAAATTTAAAAATTACATGAGTGTGGTCGTGGGCACCTGTAATCCCACCTATTTAGGAGGCTAAGGCAGGAGAATCTCTTAAACCCAGGAGGCAGAGTTTGCAGTAAGCTGAAATCAAGCCATCGCACTCCAGCCTGGGTGACAAGAACAAGACTCCATCTTAAAAAACAGAGTAAGTCTCCGTCAAAAAACAAAAAGTGAGACAAAGAGAGAGAAGAGGGAAAAAAGCAGCCATTTGGTGGCATACTGAAATCCATGCTCCTAAGAGCAGATGGCTCACCAGGACCTCTGCCACTGCTGCCCATGCCTCTTTTGCAACAAAGATCCTGATCCTCAGGATTATAGGAAAATCATCCACAGGACCCGTGTTGCTCAGTGAAGGAATTAATTCAAATCTAACTTAAGCCCTATAAATCAATCATTAACATGGGTGATAACCCTGACAGTACGGATTTGAGGCCCCTGAAGGAAGAAATGTATAAATATGAGCAAGGCAGAGAAGCCATCCACCCACTCAGATGATATCCAATGATCAAGAAAACTTTAATCAGGAGCTGTTCCAAGATGGCCAAATAGGAACAGCTCTGGTCTGCAGGTCCCAGCGTGAATGATGCATAAGATGGGTGATTTCTGCATTTCCAACTGAGGTACCTGGTTCATCTCACTGGGACTGGTCAGAAAGTGGGTGCAGACCATGGAGGGTGAGCTGAAGCAGGGTGGGGCATTGCCTCACCCACAAAGTGCAAGCAGTTGGGGATTTTTGTGACAGACTGTAATGGGAAAATTGGGACACTGCCACCTAAACAATGCCCTTTTCCAATGGTCTTAGCAAATGGCATGCCAGGAGATTATATACCGCACCTGGCTCAGTGGGTCCCACACCCATAGAGTCTTGCTCACTGCTAGTCCAAGATCAAACTGCCAGGTGGCAAGCCTGGCTGAGGGAGGGGCGACCACCTTTGCTGAGGCTTGAGTAGGTAAACAAAGTGGCCAGGAATCTCTAACTGGGTGGAGCCCACCACAGCTCAACAAGGCTGCCTGCCTCTGTAGAATCCACCTCTGGGGGCAGGGCATAGCTGAACAAAAGGCAGCAGAAACTTCTGCAGACTTAAATGTCCCTGTCTGACAGCTCTAAAGAGAGCAGTGGTTCTCCCAGCATGGTGTTTGAGCTCTGAGACAGACAGACTGCCTCCTCAAGTGGGTCCCTGACCCCCATGTAGCCTAACTTGGAGACACCTCCAAATAATGGCCGATTGACACCTCATACAGCTGGTTGCCCCTCTGAGACGAAGCTTCCAGAGGAAGGATCAGGCAGCAATTTTTGCTATTCTGTAGTATTTGCTGTATTGCAGCCTCTGCTGGTGATCCCCAGGCAAAGAGGGTCTGGAGTGGACCTCCAGCAAACTCCAACAGACCTGCAGTGAGGGACCTGACTGTTAGAAGGAAAACTAACAAACAGAAAGGGATAGCATCAACATCAACAAAAAACACATCCCCACCAAAACCACATCTGTAGGTCACCATCATCAAAGACCAAAGGTAGATAAAACCACAAAGATGGGGAGAAACCAGAGCAGAAAAGCTGAAAATTCTAGAAACCACAGCACCACTTCTCCTCCAAAGGATCACAGCTGCTAGCCAGCAACGGAACAAAAAAGCACAGAGAATGACTTTGATGAGTTGACAGAAGTAAACTTCAGAAAGTCGGTAATAACAAACTTCTCTGAGCTAAAGGAGGATGTTTGAACCCATCACAAGGAAGCTAAAAACATTGAAAAAAGATTAGATGAATGGTAACTAGAATAAACAGCATAGAGAAGACCTTAAATGACCTGATGGAGCTGAAAACGTTGGCATGAGAACTACATGACACATGCACAAGTTTCAGTAGCCAATTCGGTCAAGTGGAAGGAAGAGTATCAGTGATTGAAGATCAAATGAATGAAATCAAGCGAGAAGGGAAGTTTAGAGAAAAAAAAGTAAAAAGAAACGAAGAAAGCCTCCAAGAAATATGGGACTATATGAAAAGACCAAATCTACATTTGACTGGTGTACCTGAAAGTGATGGGGAGAATGGAAACAAGCTGGAAAACACTCTTCAGCATATTACCCAGGAGAACTTCCCCAACCTAGCAAGGCAGTCCAACATTCAAAATCCGGAAATACAGAGAACACCACAAAGATACTCCTTGAGAAGAGCAACCCCAAGACACGTAATTGTCAGATTCATCAAGTTTGAAATGAAGAAAGAAATGCTAAGCGCAGCCAGAGAGAAAGTTTGGATTACTCACAAAGGGAAGCTCAACAGACTAGCAGTGGATCTCTCGGCAGAAACTCTACAAGCCAGAAGAGAGTGGGGGCCAATATTCAACATTCTGAAAGCAAAGAATTTTCAACCCAGAACTTCATATTCAGCCAAACTAAGCTTCATAAGTGAAGGAGAAATAAAATCCTTTACAGACAAGCAAATGCTAAGAGATTTTGTCACCACCAGGCCTGCCTTATAAGAGCTCCTGAAGGAAGAACTAAACATGGAAAGGAACAACTGGTAGCAGCCACTGCAGAAACATGCCAAATTGTAAAGACCATTGATGCTAGGAAGAAACTGCATCAACTAATGGGCAAAATAACCAGCTAACATCATAATGACCGGATCAAATTCACACATAACAATATTAACCTGAAATGTAAATGGGCTAAATGCCCCAATTAAAAGACACAGACTGGCAAATTGGATAAAGAATCAAGTCCCATCAATGTGCTGTATTCAGGAGACCCATCTCATGTGCAGAGACACACATAGGCTCAAAATAAAGGGATGGAGGAAGATTTACCAAGCAAATGGAAGGAAAAAAAAAATGGGGGTTGCAATCCTAGTCTCGAAGAAAACAGAATTTAAACCAACACAGATCAAAAGAGACAAGGCCATTACAAAATGGTAAAGTGATCAATTCAACAAGGAGATCTAACTATTCTAAATATGCACCCAATACAGGATCACCCAGATTCATTAAGCAAGTCCTGAGAGACCTAAAAGGAGACTTAGACTCCCACGTAATAATAATGGGAGACTTTAACACCCCACTGCCAATATTAGACAGATCATCAAGACAGAAGGTTAAAAAGGATATCCAGGACTTGAACTCAGCTCTGCTCCAAATGGACCTAATAGACATCTACAGAACTCTCCACCTCAAATCAACAGAATATGCATTCTTCTTAGCACCACATCCAACTTATTCCACAATTGACTACATAGTTGGAAGTGAAGAACTCCTCAGCAAATGTGAAAGAACAGAAATCACAACAAACTGTCTCTCAGATCACATTGCAATCAAATTAGAACACAGTATTAAGAAACTCTCTCAAAACCATACAACTACAGGGAAACTAAACAACTTGCTCCTGAATGACAATTGGGTAAATAACGAAATGAAGACAGAAATAAAGATGTTCTTTGAAACCAATGAGAACAAGGACACAAAGCACCAGAATCTCTGGGACACATTTAAAGCAGTGTGTAGAGGGAAATTTTTTTTTTATTTTATTATTATTATACTTTAAGTTTTAGGGTACATGTGCACAACATGCAGGTTTGTTACATATGTATACATGTGCCATGTTGGTGTGCTGCACCCATTAACTTGTCATTTAGCATTAGGTATATCTCCTAATGCTATCCCTCCCCCCGCCCCCCACCCCACAACAGTCCCTGGTGTGTGATGTTCCCCTTCCTGTATACATGGGTTCTCATTGTTCAATTCCCACCTATAAGTGAGAACATGCAGTGTTTGGTTTTTTGTCCTTGCGATAGTTTGCTGAGAATGATGGTTTCCAGTTTCATCCATGTCCCTACAAAGGACACAAACTCATCCTTTTTTATGGCTGCATAGTATTCCATGGTGTATATGTGCCACATTTTCTTAATCCAGTCTATCATTGTTGGACATTGAGGTTGGTTCCAAGTCTTTGCTATTGTGAATAGTGCCGCTATAAACATACGTGTGCATGTGTCTTTATAGCAGCATGATTTATAATCCTTTGGGTATATACCCAGTAATGGGATGGCTGGGTCAAATGGCATTTCTAGTTCTAGATCCCTGAGGAACCATCAAACCGACTTCCACAATGGTTGAACTAGTTTACAGTCCCACCAACAGTGTAAAATTGTTCCTATTTCTCCACATCCTCTCCAGCACCTGTTGTTTCCTGACTTTTTAATGATCGCCATTCTAACTGGTGTGAGATGGTATCTCATTGTGGTTTTGATTTGCATGTCTCTGATGGCCAGTGATGATGAGCATTTTTTCATGTAGAGGGAAATTTATAGCACTAAATGCCCACAAGAGAAAGCATGAAAAATCTAAAATCGATACCCTAACATCATAATTAAAAGAACTAGAGAAGCAAGAGCAAACACATTCAAAAGCTAGCAGAAGGCAAGAAATAACTAAGATCAGAGCAGAACTGAAGGAGATAGAGACACAAAAACCCTTCAGAAAAATCAGTGAATAAAGGAGTTGGTTTTTTTGAAAAGATCACAGAATTCATAGACCACTAGGAAGACTAAAGAATAGAGAGAAGAATCAAACAGATGCAATAAAAAATTATAAAGGGCCTCTCCCTCTCCCATTCCCTCCCCCTCCCCCTCCCCCTCCCCCTCCCCCTCCCCCTCCCCCTCCCCCTCCCCCTCCCCCTCCCCCTCCCCCTCTCCCTCTCCCTCTCCCTCCACGGTCTCCCTCTGATGCCGAGCCAAAGCTGGACGGTACTGCTGCCATCTCGGCTCACTGCAACCTCCCTGCCTGATTCTCCTGCCTCAGCCTGCCGAGTGCCTGCGATTGCAGGCGCGCGTCGCCACGCCTGACTGGTTTTCGTTTTTTTTTTTTGTTTTTTTTTTTTTGGTGGAGACGGGGTTTTGCTGTGTTGGCTGGGCTGGTCTCCAGCTCCTAACCGCGAGTGATCCGCCAGCCTCGGCCTCCCGAGGTGCCGGGATTGCAGACGGAGTCTCGTTCACTCAGTGCTCAATGGTGCCCAGGCTGGAGTGCAGTGGCGTGATCTCGGCTCACTACAACCTCCACCTCCCAGCCGCCTGCCTTGGCCCCGCAAAGTGCCGAGATTGCAGCCTCTGCCCGGCCGCCACCCTGTCTGGGAAGTGAGGAGCGTCTCTGCCTGGCCCCCCATCGTCTGGGATATGAGGAGCCTCTCTGCCTGGCTGCCCAGTCTGGAAAGTGAGGAGCGTCTCTGCCCGGCCGCCATCCCATCTAGGAAGCGAGGAGTGCCTCTTCCCGGCCACCATCCCATCTAGGAAGTGAGGAGCGTCTCTGCCCGGCCGCCCATCGTCTGAGATGTGGGGAGCACCTCTGCCCTGCCGCCGTGTCTGGGATGTGAGGAGCGCCTCTGCTGGGCTGCAACCCTGTCTGGGAGGTGAGGAGCGTCTCTGCCCGGCCGCCCCGTCTGAGAAGTGAGGAAACCCTCTGCCTGGCAACCGCCCCGTCTGAGAAGTGAGGAGCCCCTCCGTCCGGCAGCCACCCCGTCTGGGAAGTGAGGAGCGTCTCCGACCGGCAGCCACCCCGTCTGGGAAGTGAGGAGCGTCTCCGCCCGGCAGCCACCCCGTCCGGGAGGGAGGTGGGGGGGGGGTCAGCCCCCTGCCCGGCCAGCCGCCCCGTCCGGGAGGTGAGGGGCTCCTCTGCCCGGCCGCCCCTACTGGGAAGTGAGGAGCCCCTCTGCCCGGCCAGTCGCCCCGTCCAGGAGGGAGGTGGGGGGGTCAGCCCCCCGCCCGGCCGGCCGCCCCGTCCAGGAGGTGAGGGGTGCCTCTGCCCGGCCGCCCCTACTGGGAAGTGAGGACCCCTCTTCCCGGCCAGCCGCCCCGTCTGGGAGGGAGGTGGGGGGGTCGGCCCCCCGCCCGGCCAGCCGCCCAGTCCGGGAGGGAGGTGGGGGGATCAGCCCCCCGCCTGGCCAGCCGCCCCGTCCGGGAGGTGAGGGGTGCCTCTGCCCGGCCGCCCCTACTGGGAAGTGAGGAGCCCCTCTGCCCCGCCAGCCGCCCCGTCCGGGAGGGAGGTGGGAGGGTCAGCCCCCCGCCCGGCCGGCCGCCCCGTCCAGGAGGTGAGGGGCGCCTCTGCCCGGCCGCCCCTACTGGGAAGTGAGGACCCCTCTGCCCGGCCAGCCGCCCCGTCTGGGAGGGAGGTGGGGGGGGTCAGCCCCCCACCCGGCCAGCCGCCCAGTCCGGGAGGGAGGTGGGGGGTCAGCCCCCCGCCCGGCCAGCCGCCCCGTCCGGGAGGGAGGTGGGGGGATCAGCCCCCCGCCTGGCCAGCCGCCCCGTCCGGGAGGTGAGGGGTGCCTCTGCCCGGCCGCCCCTACTGGGAAGTGAGGAGCCCCTCTGCCCGGCCAGCCGCCCCGTCCGGGAGGGAGGTGGGAGGGTCAGCCCCCCACCCGGCCGGCCGCCCCGTCCGGGAGGTGAGGGGCGCCTCTGCCCGGCCGCCCCTACTGGGAAGTGAGGACCCCTCTGCCCGGCAAGCCGCCCAGTCCGGGAGGGAGGTGGGGGGTCAGCCCCCCGCCCGGCCAGCCGCCCCGTCCGGGAGGGAGGTGGGGGGATCAGCCCCCAGCCTGGCCAGCCGCTCTGTCCTGGAGGTGAGGGGCGCCTCTTCCCGGCCGCCCCTACTGGGAAGTGAGGAGCCCCTCTGCCCGGCCAGCCGCCCCGTCCGGGAGGGAGGCGGGGGGGGGGGGTCGGCCAGCCGCCCTGTCCGGGAGGGAGGTGGGGGGGTCAGCCCCCCGCCCGGCCGGCCGCCCCGTCCGGGAGGTGAGGGGCGCCTCTGCCCGGCCGCCCCTACTGGGAAGTGAGGACTCCTCTGCCCGGCCAGCCGCCCCGTCCGGGAGGGAGGTGGGGGGGGTCAGCCCCCCGCCCGGCCAGCCGCCCTATCCAGGAGGTGAGGGGCGCCTCTGCCCGGCCGCCCCTACTGGGAAGTGAGGAGCCCCTCTGCCTGGCCAGCCGCCCCGTCCGGGAGGGTGGTGGGGGGGTCAGCCCCCCGCCCGGCCAGCCGCCCCATCCGGGAGGTGAGGGGCGCTTCTGCCCGGCCGCCCCTACTGGGAAGTGAGGAGCCCCTCTGCCCGGCCACGACCCCGTCTGGGAGGTGTGCCCAGCGGCTCATTGGGGATGGGCCATGATGACAATGGCGGTTTTGTGGAATAGAAAGGCGGGAAGGGTGGGGAAAAAATTGAGAAATCGGATGGTTGCCGGGTCTGTGTGGATAGAAGTAGACATGGGAGACTTTTCATTTTGTTCTGTACTAAGAAAAATTCTTCTGCCTTGGAAAAAAAAAAAAAAAAAATTATAAAGGGGATATCACCACCAATCCCACAGAAACACAAACTACTATCGGAGAATACTATAAACACCTCTATGCAAATAAACTAGAAAATCTAGAAGAAATGGATAAATTCCTGGACACATACACCCTCCCAAGACTAAACCAGGAAGAAGTTTACTGAAACTTATGTTTACTGAAGCACTATTCACAATAGCAAAGACTTGGAACCAACCCAAATGCCCACCAATGGTAGACTGGGTTAAGAAAATGTGGCACATATACACCATGGAATACTATGCAGCCATAAAAAAGGATGAGTTCATGTCCTTTGTAGCGACATGGATGAAGCTGGAAACCATCGTTCTGAGCAAACTGTCACAAGGACAGAAAACCAAACACCACATGTTGTCACTCATAAGTGGGAATTGAACAATGAGATCATTTGGACACAGGACAGGGAACAACACACACTGGGGCCTGTCGTGGGGTGGGGGAATGAGAGAGGGATAGTATTAGGAGAAATACCTAATGTAAATGATGTGTTAATGGGTGGAGCAAACCAACACAATGCATGTAGATGTATCTATCAACCCTGCACGTTGTGCACATATACTCTAACACTTAAAGTATAATAAAAATAATAAATAAAACAAAAATAAAAACAAAAAAAAACTTTAATCAGTGGATCTCAGGGAGTCTGTGAGCTCCTGATAGCATATGCAGATTTTGGTCATATGTGACATTGTGCCTTTTTTTTTTTGGAGATTAGCTCAGATTTCATTATATTTATATATTTCTATGGTGGTTAAAAAAACCCACATAGTATAAAATTTACCATATTCACCAATTTAAGTTTCTGCAAGAGGACAGGCAAGCATTAGACTCTCATACTATTCTAGATGGCCTGGAGACCTGCATAGGACTTTGCCCACCTGTCTCTCTCCCCTTGTCTATGATCTTGTCTTTCTGTCTTTCTCTTTCTTCTTCCCTGCAAGACAACCTTCCCCTCAACTGCCCTTTGTGCAAGTGCATTTTTGCATGTTTGTGTCATTTTGTCCAATGGTTTATCCTAGATGCCTCTGCCATTTTTACCCTTATTTATACATCTGTGTGTGTGTGTGTGTGTGTCACTCTGGGTGCATGCTTGAGGTTTCTGTGTGCATGTATGTTTCAGCATGTCCCTGTTGATAGATGAATTTATGCATGCGCCAGGCTTTGTGGGGTGTGTGTTTGTGCTTGATAAGTGGGCATCCTTTCCAACTTATGTCTGCCCAAGCACATTTGTGTGAGTACCTGATGAGGTGCATGTGTGTTCATGCCACTGTTCCTGAATGCTTGCCAGTCTCTGGGTCTGTCTGTGCATGTCGCCTGAGTGCACATGTGCTTTGGGATATGCCACTTGGGGGAGGTCTATGACGTGCTTTTCTGGGTCCAGCTAGATGTGGATATTCAACAAATGTGCATATTCACATTTGTGTGTACGTGTGCACAACAGGTTGACTACATACAAGCGTATGGATGTTTTTGTGCATGCATTCTGGTGTCTGTATGCAGACACATGGGCCATGCTGTGTACATATTAACATCAGATATTTGCCTGTACCTGTCTGTGTTTGAATTCAAACATAGCCCTAGCCCACCTCTATTTCTCTTATATATAAAAAAAGAACTGTGTGAAGTTTTTAAGAGCATGATTGTAAGTCTGTGAGGTTGATTTTGTCATCTTCATTTTGCAAATGAGTTAGGTAAAGCCCCAAAAGTTGTAAATGACTTGCTTCTGGCTTCCACAGCTAATGAGGGCAGAGCCTGGGTATGATCTTGTGACTGTAAATTTTATGCTTTTAATCACTTCTTTGGACTGTCATGCCCCACCTCTTTTCTTTATGAGACATTAGAAAAGCTGCCCGTAATTTCTTATGGCTCTTGAAAAACTTCCCTGTATGTAACGCAAGATTTTGAAATGTTATTTTAAACAGTCTTTTACCAGGAGGGAGCCTTGACCTTTTACAGTTTTTGCATTCTTTGGAACCTTACCCAAAGACCTAGTTGGCCAGTGTATGCCTCAGGCTATTGGCAGTGATGCAGTGAAGGAGTTGGGGACCTAGTGGTTGTGGTCAGAGTGTGAAATGTTTGTTTCACATTTTAGAGTGATGACAAGGATTAGGGTTTCTAGACAAGTGGACTCTAAGTCTCTTCCACATTAACTGGTATGTTTTTTGTTTGTTTTTGTTTGTTTGTTTTTGAGACTGGGTCTCACTCTATCTCCCAGGCTGAAGTACAATAGCACATTCATAGCTCACTGCAGCCTTGACCTCCCAGGCTCAAGTGATCATCTTGCCTCATCTTCCTGAGTAGCTGGGACTACAAGTGTGTGCCACTGCACCCAGCTTACGTTAAGTTTAATATGAAACCTGGCCAGAAAGCTCAGTGAATTCTTAATATTTTCCCTTTTCTCCCATTCCAAAGCTTTCTCCCAGTAAGGCCCATCTTCTCATGACTGAGTTCTCCATAACCACATAGTCACCTAGTAGCCCTCCCCCTGTGGCCCCCAAGCCCTTGGTCTTCTGGAACTCCTCCAGTAGGTAGCTGGCTTCCTGGAGAAGCATCAAAGAATCTTCCATCATTCTCCATTGGCCAGAGCTACACCTCTGTCGTTCTCCTTTGGCCAGAGCTACATCTCAGTCTCATGCTTCTGCCTGCCTCCCCTCCTGTGTTCAAGTCTGTGCTAGACAGTGATAGGGAGGGATTATGAAAGCTCTAGACTGTGCTGTCAAGGAAGCCACTCCCAACCTTCAAGGTTCAATCAAGAAATCAAGAGAGTAAGGTTCTCTCCCTGCAGGATCCCCCCCCAAAAAAAACAAAAGTCCAGACTGAGTTGGAGGAAAGGGGAATCAGTCTAGGAATGATAGGGGCAGAGTAAAGAGTGTTTCTTACAGGAAGGAGACCTGAACCTTCTTACATATATAAATAAGTGGATGAATGCATAGGAAAGTGGGAGGAGGTATTGCGAGAATGCCATATAGACTGCCCTGGAATGGGGATGTTAATTCTATTTTCTAGACACCACTTGGATTCTCTGGATACATGCACATATGTGTACACAGAAGCTCACACCTGTACATTGATATGCCTACACAAAAGGGGTTACTGTGTAGTAAGAAACATTTAGAGATTACCAGAAGTGTGGATTGAGTCTTATTCCAATGCACTAGAAATTTAATGGAAATTTAATGAAATTATCTCGATTGATGGATGGATGTAAGGAAGCATTTATGACTAGAATGACTAACGGGTGGATGGATGAAAGATTTAATAGATGGGTGAAGGGTTAATTGATGGATGGATTGAAATAGATGAATAATAATTGGAAAGGTGGATGTAAATATTAATAAGTTGTTGAATGATGGAAGGGTTAATGAATGGATGGATGGAATATTGGATAGATGGATAAATGGAAAGTTAATTGGTACATGTATAGATAATAGAGCAAAAGATATTTATATAGAAGAAATAATTAGTGGATTTTTTGATGAATTTGTGGACATATGGACAGAAGGATGAAAATTAAAAGGATAGATAGATAGATAGATAGATAGATAGATAGATAGATAGATTGAAGGATGGAAAGAGTGTGGTGAGCCTGCCTCGACAGCCCGGGACAGGCTCAAATATATCAGGAAGTGGGTAAGAGATACTGAGACCTGTGGCTAGGGTGAGGAGATCCCTAGTGCTGAAGTGTAGGTGCTGGGAGTGTAAATCTTTTGCATTTTTCTCTAGTAGGTGGGGTAATGACTTATGGAATTTTCAGGTTCACTATAGTGACCAAGAAGTGCCCACACACACACACCCAAAAGGGGACAAGCAGCAAAGCCCTTTCTCTCTTGTTGAATTCCAGAGCCAGAGGGCTGGGAAGGAAGCCAGGCATCCCTCCTTCTGCTCTCAAAGGTCTCTGTTTTGGTGTTTTAGAAACTGGATTCCTCAGTCCTCAGCCCAGCTGAGTTGGGAGCTCCCCAAAGCCTCCACTGGCATCTTGATTCCACTGCTTTTCACCTTTTCTGGCAGCTGAGGGAGAGCCCTGAGGCCTGCCTGTCTCCTTTGGGAAGCTCCACCTGACTGCAGCCTGTCTCCCAGCCTGAGCCCCTCAATCCCTCTGGTTCTGTACGATTCATTCTCTGACCTTCCCTGGGGAAGGGAGGCAGTGATCTGACCTACCCACCCAATTCAGTAGCCATGGAGCTGGGGGAGGTGTCTATGAGGCCAGGTTGATGGATAGGTGAGAAGAAAGAAAGTATTCCTTCCTGATCTCCTCCTCATCCCTCACCCCACCCTCTGGAATAATGACAATTACATAATCACCTCCGCCTTACTCCTTCCCACAGGCAGAGAGCCAGAAGGAGAGGTATGTGGGCAAAGAGCATGGGTAAGAAGAGAGAAAGAGACAAAGGTTCCAGGGGGACAGAAAGCAAGAGAGAGAGAGAGCACCAGGGAGAGATGGGGGAGACAGAGAGAGATGGAGAGAGAGAGAGAAGAGAGAGAAAGGGAGACAAAAACACCAAGGAGAGATAGACAGGGGAGGAGAGAGACAGAGAGATGGAGAGAGAGAAAGAGAGATTGAGAGCACCAAGGAGAGATGCAGGAGAGAAAGAGACAGAGAGAGATGGAGAGAGAGAGAGAGGAAAGAGAGAGACAGATAGAAAAAGAGACAGATATCACCAGGGAGAGATGGGAGAGAGAGAGAGAGAGAAAGACAGAGACAGAGAGGGAGAGAGAGAGAAGACAGACAGAGATGGACAGAGAGAGAAAGAGAGACAAGGAACCCCAAGGAGAGATGGAGAGGGGAGGAGGGAGACAGAGAGATGGAGAGAGAGAAAGAGAGATTAAGAGCACCAGTGAGAGATGGGGGGGTGAGAGAGATGAAGAGAGAGAGAGAGACAGACAGAGAGCACCAGGGAGAGATGGCAAGAGAGAGAGACAGAGAAAGAGATGTAGAGAGAGAGATGGAGAGAAAGAGAGACAGATAGCACCAGGGGGAGATGGGAGAGAAAGAGAGACAGAGAAAGAAGGACAAAGAGCACCAAGGAGAGAGGGAGGGGAATGGAGAGAGACAGAGAGACTGAGAAAGAGAGAGACCGAGAGCACCAGGGAGACATGGGGTGTTGAGACAGATTAAGAGAGAGAGAGAAGAGAGAGAGACAGAAAGACAGAGGACACAAAGAAGAGATGGAGACAGGGAGAGATGGGGAGAGGAAAGAGAGATGGAGAGAGAGAGAGAGCACCAGGGAGAGATGGAAAGAAAGGGAGAGACAGAAAGAACCAGGGAGAGACAGAGAGAGAAAGAAAGACAAAGTGCCAGAGAGAGAGAAGGGGGAGAGGAAGGGAGGGAAGGAGGGGAAGGAGAGGGAGGGAGGGAAGAAGGTGGGAAGGGATGGAGGGAATAACTGGGACCCAGTGAAACAGGGAGAAGGAATCTGAGAAAGACACAGGACACTGCTAGAGGGAGAAGCAGAGAGAGATGGAAAGAGGCACACACAGAGAAAGGAAGAGGTGGACAGCTAGAGAGATGCTCACTCCGAAAGGTGTAAATGCAGATACAGACAGACCCAGAGCCCTGGATAGACTTAGACAAGTGAAAAAAAGAGACTCAGAGGAGAGAGTCAGAGAAGTACAGAGCGTCAGAGGCCCAGAGCTCTTTGGCTCTGCCTAATTTATTGGTTTACAAGCTCTTTGTTCTTAGGGCAGATGGGAGGGTGAGGAAGGGATGAGGAAAAGGATTAATCAATGAAGGAGAACTCGTGAGTCATTCAATAAGATGAACAGCAGTGGCGATTTCTGTGTATTTCCTTGAGCAAAGGCGTGTCTAAACTACTTAAGATCTTTAACTTATCAGAACTGAAATGGGTGGGAGTGGGTTTCAGGAGAAACCAAGATGTTTGATTATACTCCACTGCTTCTAGGGAGTGCTATCTCCCTGATCAACCTGTGAAATGCCACTGAGCGGTTATGCTCTCAGGGCATAAGGACATGAAGGCAATAAGGAGACTTTTCTCCTTAGAGGCTGCCCATGGCTCCCCATGGGTGTCTCACACGGGGGAGACCAACTCATCTGGCACTCCAGAAACTCTTTTTCCCGCAGGTCTCCCTTTTTTTGTCTCTATTAATTTTTTTTATTAATAACCGCTATTACTATCATGTCTCGTTCACAGTGTCTGGCTTCTCTCCGAAGGCGTCGTCTGCATCTGTAGACTAAAAACAAACAGCATAAACATACGTAAACCAAAATAAAATTTGCAATTGTTGATCCAGCTATGGTTTTAATCCACTTTAAAGGATTGGTATTAGAAAGGCCATCAGTGGCTCCAGCAAGAATATCAGCTCCGAGCAACAGGTTGAGACGAGCCTGAGATACCTCAAAAAGTTGTTTTTTCAGTTTAGCAATATCTAGGGTTAAATTATCTTCTTTTCCTTGTGGGTTACATCTAATCATCTCCCAATGGTGTACAGTGGCATTATAAAAGCTAGAAGTAATATAAAAATCAGAAGTATTCCAATCACATTGCTCCAAGCTCATAATCCAATCTCCCATCCAAATTACTGTTTGACGGAGATCACTAATTTGATTTGCCAATTTTTGATCTATTTGGCTTTGGGAATTCCAAAGCTTAGAAGAATTTTTCTGCCAACTATCCACAAAGCCCACAGTTTGAATAGAAGAGTGCAAAGCAACACCAGCAGCAGCAGCAGTAGCTGTGACAGCTATAAGGCCCATGATCACAGCTATTAAAGTAAATATGAATCATTTTGATCTATTAAGTATTCCTTTTAGTACTTCAGTGATAATATGTATAGAGGGAGAGGCCTCCCAAGGTCTATTGAGGGGAACAGGTATCCAAACTCCTTCTCGGGCCCTAAACAGTAACATGCTATTATCTTTATTAAAGGTAGAATTAATGCAGGTAAAAAGATGACAGTTGAGGCATGATATGGTTTGAGAATCAGCTAGGATATTAATTTTTCCCACTGCCAACATAAAAGGAGGTTTAACACAACTCTGCAATGGGACCATCTGATTAAAGGTCATGGCTACAACATTCCTTCCTCCTCTGGATGAGTAGGACCTTGGTTGTCTGTTGGTCCAGGCATCCAGACACTATCATTAATATAAACCTCTACTGGGGGGTCTAACAATGTAATAGGCCTAATCAGTGGTGGGAATGGAATTTAGGTCCAATAAGTGTAATTTTGATCTGCCTCAGCTACAAGGTGACACACCAAGGAGATTACCACCATCATAGCTACCATTAGATTACTGGTGGTCAGCGGCTTGTTCTGAGACCTCAGGTTCTCTTCTGCAACGTGAGCTAGTCTCTTCATCTGCCCCCAGGTCAGTGGAGTTGCTTGGTGAGTTTTACTGGTTTCCATCTGCTCAACAGAGATGTTCATCTGAGCCATCTGATGAACTGGGGGTGCAGAGACATTCCGAGGTCTTTTCCTCTTCCTTGGGTTCTGGCTCATGGCACAACTTAAGATGTCTTGTGGGTACCCAGACAGGAAGCTGATTCTCTCCTGGTGAGATACAAGCAAACCCTCAACCCCAACAAGACCCACTGGGGCCTTTTGTTTGGGCCACTTTTTTGGTCATTGATAAAGAGCTATGATGGACACATCTGCTCCTGTGTCGACCACACCCTCAAATTGTTTTCCTTGAATAGTGACCATACAAATAGATCTATTGTCAGAGACTTGATTTACCAATAGGGAGGCTTGCCTGCTGAATTTGTGCTTCCAAATTATTCTGTTCTTTTTTCTGAGCTTTCTTCTAAATTAATATACAGTAAAAGCCACAGTTGAGCTATTCTGTCACCTGGATTAGCACTCCAGGGAACAGTGGAGGAGATAACAATTTGAATTTCTCCCTGGCAATCAGAGTCCACTACTCCAGTGTGTACTTGAATTGCCTTTAAATTTAAGTTGGACCTTCCCACCTTGCCATCTGGCAATGGGTCATAAGCTCCCATTGGGACCTTCCTAGGAGGCTCCCCAGGAAGGAGGGATACAGCTTCAGTACAGCATAAATCTACTGCCCCACTTTTAGCTGTGGAGGGGAACAATTGCTGCACATTTGTACAGGGAAAGACTGGGCTGGGAACACCCCATTTGTAGTCAGGGACGTCCTGTCCTGAATTGGGAATGCCCCATTTTGAATTAGGGCCTGTGGCTGGCCCCTCTGTCCATTTCCTGGCAAGGGCTGTCCGCTGTTATCAAACTTTGAATGACAGTGATTAGCCCAGTGTTTTCCTTTTTTACATCTGGGACAGGTACCTGGTTCCCTGCTTTTTCCTCCTAAGTTTTGCCTTTTTTGTACACTCTCTTTTTGTATGTCCTATCTGTCCACAATTATAGCAAGATCTGGGGAACACTCATATGTTTTTTGTTACCCTTAGTCTAGCCATTGCCGGAGCAAGAAGGCTGGCCTTATTCAAGTGCCTCCAATGCCATCACAGGCTTTAATGTATTCACTTAAAGTTTTTTCCTCATTTAGATCTGCCTTTCCCTTAATAGGTCTAATTTCTGCCTGACATTCTGTATCAGCATTTTCATAAGCAAGCAGCTGAACTATCACTTTCCTGACATGAGAATCCAAAATAGCCTTTTGAGCCGTGTCTTGCAAATGGGTGATAAAATCTGGATAAGGCTCCTTTGGACCCTGTTGAACTGAGTTAAAAGAAGTATAAGTAGTACCAGGGTCGTGAATTTTTTCCCAGGCTCTGAGGCATATAGTTCTGAGCTGATCAACAGTCTCATCACCCATTACCATCTGTCAATTTAGAGTACCCCATGCCTGTCTGATTCCAAGCAAGTGATCAGATGTGATATTAACAGGAGGTTGGGCTTGAGCATTTCTGCATGCCTGATTTGTTGTTGCTTGATCTGTCCGCCAGGTTTTAAATTGGAGAAACTCAGTGGGGGACAGGGTAGAGTGGGCTAATGCCTCCCAATCCATAGGTATTAAATGCCTGTTATAAGCCACAGATTGTAACAAGGAATGAACCTAAGGAGAATTTGGCCCATATTGTCCAATTGCTTGCTTTAAGTCTTTTAATATTTTAAAAGGAAATGGCTCCCAGCATGCTTCAGCATGTTGTCTGGGCTCCTCAGCTGGAGAAATAATTACCAGAAACTGCCAAGCATCCAAATCCCCCACATCTCATGCCTGGTAAATAGATGCCTGGATTGTCCCTGCACCGTAATTTGTATTTGGACCTGCTCACAGCATTCCTCTACCATAATTAAAAGGTGGACAAGCCTGGATCATTCCCTCACCATAATTGGCTGTTGGGTGAGCCTGAAGCTTCCCTTCAACATAGTTAATTGTGGGGCATGCAACAATGGGAGCAGCAAGTCATGTCTCAGGCTCCCATTCCAAAAATTCATAAGGCTGAGGCGGGGGTGGCCATTCTGGACCTTCCCCTAAAGGCGCAGTGGGTGGCACTGTTTCTGCAGTAGGTGGAAATGTTTCTTCTATAAGTTTTTGGAGGTTAGCATATATCCCTTTCTCCCCCTTTTTAAAACTAAACTGTGATGGTTCACTTTGCAGATCATCAAACTCCTGATTATTAAACTTTTCTATGTCATCCTGAAACTTCTCATCCTCCTCAGTGTGGAAAGGCTCCAGTGGTATTTTGATTGCTGACCACACAGACCAAGCAGACAAGGGAATATTGTAGCCCTCTTGTTGTGCTCATTTTAAGTCTGCTCCGAACTTGTCGCAGTCTTTTACATTCATGGTTCCATATTCCGGGAACCAAGGGGAATACTTTTCTATGAGCTGGAACAAAGATGTGAGATTTTGGGTACTCACAATTGCCCCTCTGTGGCACAATAACTGCCACACCAAGCTTAAGTAATTAGCAAATTTACTCTCAGCCTGACCCGTTTTCCCGAGGTTACCGTGGAATTCTCCAAGCACACTACTTATCCACAGAGCTTGAAGTGAAAACATATTCAGGCACCCTTTTTCTGTCATCTTCCACTTTCCATGCTCTAGCATTCCTTCACCAGATTATTTGTAGAGATAACGGGGAGTCCCACGTTGGGCGCCAGATGTTGGGGAAACCAGCCCCACACCACCCTGCAGGTACCGCGAGTCCAACGGAGACTAAAGAGTTAGAAAGAAACAGAGTGAGAATTTAAAAGGTGGGTCCGGGGGACCAGAGTGTCAGAGGCTTGCTCATGGCCCAGAGCTCTTTGGCTCTGCCTAATTTATTGGCTTACAAGCTCTTTGTTCTTAGGGCAGATGAGAAGGCAAGGAAGGGATGAGAAAAAGGATTAATCAATGAAGGAGAACTCGTGAGTTATTCAATAAGATGTAGAGCAGTGGCAGTTTCTGTGAATTTCCTTGAGCAAAGGCGTGTGTCTAAACTACTTAAAATCTTATCAGGACTGAAATGGGTGGGAGTGGGTTTCAGAAGAAGCCAAGATGTTTGATTGTACTTCACTGCTTTAAGGAAGTGTTATCTCCCTGAGCAACCTGTGGAATGCCGCTGAGCAGGTATGCTCTGGGAGCATAAAGACATAAAGACAATAAGGAGACTTTTCTCCTCAGAGGCCGCCCATGGCTCCCCATGGGTGTCTCACATAGGGGAGACCAACTCATCTGGTACTCCAGAAACTCTCTTTCCCACACCAGCTTGGCCTGGGAAGCCTTGTGAGCAGCCGGCACGTCATTATTTTTCTGATACCACTTCTGTACCAGGCCCTGACAGACCTGATCTCTTTTAATCCCAACAAGAAGACTCAATGATAATTGTTACAGTGCATTCTTACAGTGCACAATGATATCCCAGACACTTTTTGGAAGTGCAAAAAGCTCTTTGCACATACCTCACTGAATCTTCAAACAGCCCCACATTAGAGGTGCTATGATGATCTCTGCTTACAGAGGCAGAAATAAGGCACACAGAGGGCTTAAGTCACTTCTCAAGGGCACCAGCAAGGAGCTGGGATTCAACATCCAGACAATCTGGCTCCAATCAGTGATATTATCTCCTTCATTCCTGACAGACGGGAAGCTGAGAACTCTAAAGATGTGGCCCCCAGATTTGGAGAAGTGGGAGTTCTTATATAGATGTCAAAATATCACCCAAAGGAGCCAATGAACACCCTGAAATAGTCATGCAGCTGGGTGGCATTGTACCCACCTAGAAAAACTCCATGCAAGTATTTTGGATCCCTTGAAGGCTCAGCTCTTATTTACTCCACAAATATTTATTGTGAACCCTACTATATGTCAGGCACTTGTTCTGGAGGGTGGGGGAACCCACAGGGACCAAAGCAAACCATGACAACAGTAATAATTAAGTAAATGAGAACCTGCCAGGTGCAATGGCTCACACCTGTAATCTCAGTGCTTTGGGACGTCAAGATGGGGAGATCATTTCAGACCAAGAGTACAAGACCAGCCTGGGCAAAATAGCAAGACTACATCCTTTCAAAATATTTAAAAGTTAGCCAGAGGTGGTATCACAAACTTAGTCCTCACTACTCAGGAGGCTGAGATGGGAGGATTGCTTGAATCCAGGAGTTGGAGGCCGCAATGAGCCATGATCACACCACTGCACTCCAGTCTGGGTGATATGGTTTTGCTGTGTCCCCATCCAAATCTCATCTTGAATTGTAGCTGCCATAATCCCTACATGTTGTGGGAGGGACCCGGTGGGAGATCATTGAATCATAGGGGTGGTTTCCCCCATACTGTCCTCATACTAGTCAATAAGTCTCATGTGATCTGTTGGTTTTATAATGGAAAACCCCTTTCACTTGGTTCTCATTCTCTCTCTTGCCAGCGCCATGTAAGATGTGACTTTTGCCTTTCAGCATGATTGTGAGGCCTCCCCAGTCATGTGTAACTGTGAGTTTATTAAACCTCTTTTTCTTTATAAATTACCCAGTCTAAGGTATGTTTTTATCAGCAGCATAAAAACGGACTAATACAATGGGCAACAGAGCAAGACTCTGACTCTATAAATAAATAAAGACAGATGGATAGATACATAGATGATAGATACATAGAAAGATAGGTGATTAGATAGACAGATAGATATAGATAGATAGATAGATGATAGATAGATAGATGATAGATAGATGATAGATAGATAGATAGATAGATAGATAGATAGATAGATAGATAGATGATAGATAGATAGATAGGAAATAAGAACCCTGCCCTCCCAGAGCTGTCATTTTACCAGGAGGAAACATTATCAGAGGCAATGCCTGCTTGCTCCCGGAAGGTGCCAAGTTTGCTTTCTCACCTCCGGGCCTTTTACCTTGCTGTTCCCTCAGCTGAGAAGGCTTCTCACCACACCTTCTCATGGCCAACTCTCAGAAGCCTTCTCAAAGAAGCCCTCTCTGACCACTCAATCTGAAAGAATCCCCCATGGAACCTTTGTACACTGTTGGTGGTAATGTATATTAGTAGAGCCACTTTGAGGAACAATATGGAGTTTCCTTAAAAAAAAAAGTAGAAATAGGCCAGGCGCAGTGACTTATGCCTGTAATCCCAGCACTTTGGGAGGCTGAGGTAGGCAGATCACCTGAAGTCAGGAGTTCAAGACCAGCCTGGCCAACATGGTGAAACTCCATCTCTACTAAAAATACAAAATCAGCCAGGCGTGATGGTGGGTGCCTGTAGTCCCAGCTACTTGGGAGGCTGAGGCAAGAGAATGGCTTGAACCCAGGAGGCAGAGGCTGCAGTGAGCTAAGATCATACCACTGCACTCCAGCCTGGGTAACAGAGTAAGACTCCATCTCAAAAAAAAAATAAAATAAAATAAAAATAAACAAACAAAAAAGAAAAACATTAAAAATCGAGCTACCATACAATCCAGCAATCCCACTGCTAAGTGTATTCCAATAAAAGGAAATCTGTATACCGAAGAGATGTCTGCACTCCCATGTATTTCGCAGCTCTGTTCACAACAGCCAAGATATGGAATCAACCTAAGTGTTCATATGGTGCCCATACAGATGGGAGTACTATTCAGCCATTAAAAAAGAAAAAGATCCTGATATTTGCAGCAACATGGATGGAACTGCAGGAAGTTATGTTAGGTGAAATAAGCCGGGCAGATTCTGCTGTCACTCTTAAAAGACATGTTTCTCTGTTTGTTGTTTTATTTCTGTGGTTGGTGAGGGAATGTGTGCCATGCATTTGCACAGGCAGAGTCCCTGCTAACTCTTCAGAGGCTACAAGGAGCCTAAAGCTGGCAGGTGCTGCAGAGGCCAAAAGGTTAGCATCTCAGGGCTGAGTCCCAGAACCAGCTTCCCATTGGCCACAGGCTGGCTGATGTATCCTTGCGATAAAGATATTAAACTTGCAACAACTCCCTCAGGGAAGGGTGGTGGTCCTGCTGGTGGAATATGTGGAGGTTGTATTTATTTATTTATTTATTTATTTTTGAGATGGAATCTCGCTTTGTCACCCAGGCTGGAGTGCAGTGGTGGGATATTGGCTCACTGCAACCTCTGCCTCCTGCGTTCAAGCGATTTTCCTGTCTCAGCCTCCCAAGTAGCTGGGACTACAGGTGCGTGCCACCACACCCAGCTAATTTTTCTATTTTTTTAGTTGAGACAGGGTTTCTGTATGTTGGGCAGGCTGGTCTCGACCCCCTGACTTGAGGTGATCCACCTGACTCGGCCTCCCAAAGTACTGGGATTATAGCCATAAGCCACCGTGTCCAGCCTGGAGGCTGAATTTAGAGTGGTTCCACTTCAAGAATAGCGCTAAGCTTTATCAAAAGGTGGCATTGCAGCACAGGGGATTGAGAGTAACTGGCAGGCAGAACTGGGGGCATCCTGGGCCCTTTGGGGATGATAATTTATTCTGGGCCAAAGAAGAAAGTGGGATATGGAGGAGACACAGTCTGATGGAGTAGCCTAGCTCCATTTTCTGTGGGCTGTGGGGGTAGTGGGTGGCTGATTTAGCCACTCATTCATTCATTCCTCACCAAATATTTTGAACACCTGTCATATGCCACATGCTGTATTGAGAGTACAGTGACGAGCAAGACAATGGTTTGGCCCTTCACAGAGTTGTCACTGAGGTGAGGGAGGCGTTCTCACCAACATTCCTTCCAGAAAAATCCCTAGGGACCTGACAATAAAAGAATCACACACAAAATGGCACAGATCACCTCTTGACGTGGGGAGGTCATGCTTTAGCGATGTTTATTTAATTCTCAGTGGATTTGAAGGAACATATCAGGGAATCCAAAGCACCAGTGCAGAATCCCACAGCTCAGGGAACCTGCGCCAAGGAGGCTTTTTGATAGAGGGAAACAGTAGGAGGAGGCAGCTGGGAATGAGGATGGGGGAAGACTACAGCAGTGTGTGACTGTGGTCTACAACAGGCACGAACCTCAAAAATAGCGTTCAACGTGAAAGGAACCAGACACAAAAGATCACATATTACGCCTGTAATATCAGCACTCTGGGACACTGAGGCGTGTGGATCACCTGAGGCCAGGAGCTCACAACCAGCCTGGCCAACATGTCCCTACTAAAAATACAAGAAAATTAGCCAGGCGTGGTACCACATGCCTGTAATCCCAGCTACTTGGAAGCTGAGGCAGGAGAATCTCTTGAACTTGGAAGGCGGAGGTTGCAGTGAACCAAAATCACGCCACAGCACTCCAGCCTGGGAGACAGAGCAAGGCTTAGTTTTAAAAAAAAAATCAAATATTGTGTGATTCTGTTTATAGGAAATATTCAGAATTGGTAAGTCCATAAGGACAAAAACCAGATTGACAGGGGCTGAGATGAAAAAGAGAATGGGGTATGGGGAGTGACAGCTTGATAGGTATGGGTTTTGTTGGGGGGAGATAATGAAAACATTTGGAACTAGGAGAATCACCTGACATCAGGAGTTCAAGACCACTGAACTCGAACCTGGGTGACAGAGTGAGACTCCGTCTCAGAAAAAAAGAAAATGTTTGGAACTAGATGGTGGTGGTTGTACAGCTTTGTGAATGAACCACACACCACTAAATTGTACACTTTAAAATGGCTAATTTTATTTTATGTGAATTTCATCTTAATTTTTAAAATTATATATATACATGGCCGGGCATGGTGACTCACACCTGTAATCCCAGCACTTTGGGAGGCTAAGGTGGGTGAATCACTTGAGTTCAGGAGTTTGAGATCAGCCTGGCCAACACGGTGAAACCCCATCTCTACTAAAAATACAAAAATTAGCCAGGCATGGTAGCACACACCTGTAATCCCAGCTACTAGGGAGGCTGAGGCAGGAGAATTTCTTGAACCCCGGGGGTGGAGGTTGCAGTGAGCCGAGATCACGCCACTGCACTCCAGCCTGGGCAACTGAGTGAGACTCTGTCTCAAAATATATATATATAATTTTGTATATTATAATTTTCAATAATCTCACTCCTCCACTCATTTGCACTGCGACCTCAGACAACTGGTGCCATGGAAGGGAAGGAAGCTGGCTTGCAGCAGGTCTCTCAGAGGCAGGAAGTTGCAGGGAGTCAGAGCCATTATCTACAGAGGTGGGGACACTGAATGACCCTGGAATCCTTTGACCCCCTTCCCTCAGCCCCTTCAGCGGGGCAGGAAGCAGATCTGGTATGTTGGGGGTATTTTGCCCACACCACACTCCTGGGGTGTCAGATCGATGTCTTCAGGAGCCACGGGGCTGGCCACGGAGAAGTTCTGGAGGATGGTGGTGAAGAAGAGGAACAATTCCGCACGGGCAATGCCTTCACCAAGACAAATCCGCTTCCCTGTGGGCACAGAAGGTCACCAGCATGGGCACAGGGCAGGTGCATACACTTCGCTCTGCCATGTCCCTAAGCCCAGACATGTATGTCCACTGCAAGAGATTTGCATAAGACTGGCCTTTAACCTACAATTCAGGGTGGACTTTTAGGAAGCTGCTCTGAAACCAGGTGCAAATCTTTGAATGGATGTGCCATGTTCATTTCTCTCTCTCTCGCTCTCGCTCTCGCTCTCACTCTCTCTCTCTCAATCTCTTTATTTATTTATTTATTTATTTATGTATTTATTTATTTATTTTTGAGATGGAATCTCTCTCGGTCACCCAGGCTGGAGCACAGCGGCGACATCTCGGCTCACTGCGACCTCTGCCTCTCAGGGTGTTGAAACGATTCTCATGCCTCAGCCTCCCAAGTAGATGGGATTACAGGCACCTGCCCCCACGCCTGGCTAATTTCTTGTATTTTTAGTAGACATGGGGTTTCACTATGTTGGCCAAGCTGGTCTCGAACTCCTGACCTCAGGTAATCCACCCACCTTGGCCTCCCAAAGTGCTGGGATTACAGGCGTGGGCCACCGCGCCCGGCGCCATGTTCATTTTTCTAGTAGAGAGTTTGTAGCTTCTGTTACAGTTCCAAAGGGTTTGGTGATCCCCACAGTGTATAATGACCCACTTCTGGTTGTGTGTGTGTGTGTGTGTACCTCTACATGTGTGTGAGCACATTTATGACAACATTCTTAGTGTTCACTTCTCATACGGGGAGAATGGCACCTCTCTCAAAGGGCTCTTCTGAGGTTAAAGGAGACAATTGTAAAAATTCTTAGAACAGCACTTGGCTTCTGCTAAGGAGCCTTAAGGTTTGGTTATCGCCTTGTGTTTGTTTCTGGGGGTATCTGTGGGGTATGTGTTTCTGGCCATGTGTCTGTGTCTGTGTCTCTAGGCTGTTTTCTGGTCTCAGCCTGAGATCCACAGGCTTCAAGAGCTCAGGGGGTAAAAAACCCAAATTGTATATAAATTGTGAATGGGACTGATGCATATGAGACAGGGAGGGTCTATGGCTTCCACCGATTCTCAGAGGTGCAAGGAACCCCCAGTAGGTTCTAAACCACAGATTGGGAGAAAAATGAGAACAAAGGGAGCTGGAAAAAGCTGAGGCAGAGACAAAGGGAGCCTTTCCCTTCACTTCAGTGTTTCATAATCTGCAAACCTTGGAAAGGCCATGTCAAGTGTGAGTTTTCAGGCATTCCCTATGCCTGCCAAGTTGTTGGACAAGTGTGTCTATGTGGAGGTGTCTGGAAATGGGTCCATGTCCCTTTGGCACATCCAGAAGTTGGGCAACATGAGCTTAGAAACAGGCAGGTCTCTGGGCCTGTTCTTCTGTAGCTCTTTGTGTGACCTAACATTTTCCACAACAGCCTGATGCTTATTATCTCCCTCTCATCACGCCCTCCCCATCTCTGGGGCCATCTGTTTGGACACCTTTCGAATTTCTTTGGCTGCAGTACCCTTTTGGCTTGGGTTATACCTTTCTTTCTGCCCCTGGCAGCCCTACTCCTGTCTTTTTCTCTGTCTATACCTGTCAGACACAGTTTTTCTTCTTTTCCTCTCCTTTTTTGGCTTTCTTCCATCTTGCTTAACCTCCTATCTCCATCTATTTGAATCTGATTGCTCCCCAATCTCTCTCTCTCTCCTTCTTTCTTTTCATCTCCCTCTAAAGATACCTTATTTGTCTCCTTCATTCTTTCTTCCTCTCTTCTTGTGTCACTCTCTCTTTTTCCTATCTCTTATTCTGTTTCTCTCCTTTCCCTCCTTCCTTCTCCCCTCCGCCTTCCTTTTCCTCCTCCCTCTCCTCTTATTCCTCCTCCTCCTCTTCTCCTTATGTGGCTCTCTCTGTGTGTGTCTCTCTCTCTTCCTCTCCGTATACTGCCTGATGTTCACCTGCTGTCTGTCCTTCTGCCACTGTCTCCCCATCTCTATCTCTCAGTGTGTTCCCTCTTTGTCCCCAACTATGTTTCTCAATCTTATTATCTTTGTTACTTATCTGTCTCTGTCCTTATTTCCCTACATCTCTGCCTCTCTTAAAACAAAATAGCAGGCCTGTCACAATGGCTCACGCTTGTAATCCCAGCACTTTGAGAGACTGAGGAAGGAATATCACCAGGTCAGAAGATCAGGACCATCCTGGCTAACATGGTGAAACCCCATCTCTACTAAAAACACAAAAAATTAGCCAGGCATGGTGGTACACACCTGTAGTCCCAGGTACCTGGGAGGCTGAGGCAGGAGAATCGCTTGAACCTGGGAGGCAGAGGTTGCAGTGACCTGAGATCATGACACTGCACTCCAGCCAGGGCAACAGAGCAAGACCCTGTCTGAAGAAAAAAAAAAAAAGAAACCTTAAGATAATGTCTCAGGCATGGTGGCTCACGCCTGTAATTCCAGCACTTTGGGAGGCTGAGGCGGGTGGATCGCGAGATCAGGAGATCAAGACTATTCTGGCTAACACGGTGAAACCCTGTCTCTACTAAAAAACACAAAAAATTAGCCGGGCATGGTGGCAGGTGCCTATACTCCCAGCTACTCAGGAGGCTGAGGCAGGAGGATGGCATGAACCCAGGAAGCAGAGCTTGCAGTGAGCTGAGATTGTGCCACTGCACTCCAGCCTGGGTGATAGAACGAGACGGTGTCTCAAAAAAGGAAAAAAAAAAAAAAACAAGACAGCAAAATTGAGAGAAGACATTGACCCTCAAGCCATCACCCCATGTGTTCCTAACTGTCATTGAAGATAAAATGTGGAAGGAGGTCACTGTACTGCACAAAACCAGGGGCTGGGCCAGGACCCTGGGTTGCTGAAGTCACTGATGAAACTCAAGACTAGGGATTTGTTTCTGGGGCCTTTCATGGATGGTGCGTGTTAAATTAAATTAAATTTGGCCTAAAGCAGCCTCCCTGCATAACAAACTGTAACGTAACTCAACATGTAAACAAACTGCAATGTAACTTGAGAGTATATTCTTGTAACAAGTAACCTTGGACAATCAGGGCAGCCAAGCTTCAGCCAGTCACAGGCTACAAGCTGCCCAGACATGCTCAGATAAGGCAAACACAGAGCTGTAACCAATCAGGCTGTTTCTGTACCTCAGTTCCTTTCCCTATGGATAAATAGTGCCTGATCACATTGCTGGGTGGAGCTCTCTGAACCTTTCCTGGTTCCGTGTGCTGCCCAATTCATGAATTGTTTCTTTGCTCAAATAGACTCTGCTAAGTTTAATTTGCCTAAAGTTTTTCTCTTAACCAGCCAAAGAGTGGAGGATGAGAACTGGGACAAGTCAGAGCACGTCAAGACCTTCTCCACCTCCCCAGTGCTAGACCATAAATCCAAACTCCTTCCACAGCCTTCAAGGTCCTGCCCAGCTGAGCCCTTTGTCTTATTCCCTTCCGCAATCTACACCCAAGGCTCACTGGACTTCCTATAGATTCTCAATGGTACCATCACATTTCCACCTTTAGCCTTTGCCCTTGCTGTTTCCTTTGCCTGGAACACACTTTGCAATCATTGATTGACGCCCACCCATGAACATCTCGGCTTGGAAGCCAGTTCCTCTGGTAAGCTTTTCCTTAATGACCCACCACAAGATTAGCTACTATTTCCTATTTTGTGCTCCCAAAGCTCCCTTTAGAGCACTTATCACAATTATGTCTAATTATAATAATAATTGCCCCGTGAGCATGTCCTTTGTGCCAGGCAGTTCCAAGCATGTTGCAGGCATTCATTCATTTCATGAGATGATTATTTTATTATTATTTGATGAATGTCCATCTTCCCTGCTGGACTTTAAATTTCCTGGGGCAGGAACCCTGTCTCCGTGTGACCTGTTTGATGCATTGTCTTCAGCCCCTAGTACAGCACTGGGCTTACAGCGGTGCTCAACAGATTTTTTTCTTTTTAAGAAAATGAATTCACTGAGGTTTAGAGATGTTAAAATACTTGCCCAAGTTCCTGCTTGCCCAGATGTGCCTTTGGGAATGTCATCTTCTTTCTCAAGCCTCCTTACAGGGTTGTAGTGAAGATGGAAGGGGATAAGGCAGGTGAAGCAATTGGAATATATTAAGTGCTCAATTAATAAGGACCTGTCATTTTTTTTCTCAAGTTGAGGATAGGACCTGCCCTCTGGTGTCTGGGAAAGAAACTGTGGGTCCAGCTTACCTAAGGAGAAGGGGATAAAAGCTTCATTCTTTTTCAGTGCCCCATTGGCATCCAGAAAGTGGTCAGGATTGAAGGCGTCTGGTTTTTCAAAGTAGTGTGGGTCACGGAGAGCAGTGCTCAGGATGAGAAATACTTCCGTGTCCTGAGGAAGGATCACAAGATCAAAAGATATTGCCATTCCCTGCCCACCCTCCACACACACAGCACAAAAAAGAAAAAGAAAAAAACAAAAACAAGGGGACTCAATTGAGAAGCTAACAAAAGGTTGAGTTTGGGGATTAAGAAAATCCAGGATGCCCACACAGGAGGGATGTGGGGGTGCAGCCAGTCTTACCTTGGGGATGGTGTACCCTCAGAAGCTGGTGTGTTGGGTGACAATGTGGGGCACACCCATGGGGAGAAGGTCAGCAAATCTCTGAATCTCACGGATGACTGCCTCTGTGTATGGCATTTTGGCTCGGTCATCAAGCGCTGGAGGGCGATGTGGGCCAACCACCTGTTCAATCTCCTTGTAGACTCTCTCTGCACAGAGAAGAAGATGAATGAATCTCATTTTAAAGAGGCATTTGAGGCCAGGCATGGTGGCTCACACCTGTAATCCCAGCATTTTGGGAGACTGAGGTGGGCAGGTTGCTTGAGTTCAGGAGTTCAAGATGAGCCTGGCCAACATGGCAAAATCCCATCTCTACTAAAAATACAAAAAATTAGCTGGGTGTGGTGGTGCAAGCCTGTAGTCCTAGCTACTCAGGAGGCTGAGGCAGGAGAATCGCTTGAACCCAGGAGGTGGAGGTTGCAGTGAGCTGAGATCATGCCACTGCACTCCAGCCTGGGTGACGGAGCAAGACTCTGTCTCAAAATTAAAAAAAAGAAAAAAGAAGGAAAGAAAATTTTTTAAAAAGAGACCTTTCAGCAGGGACACTACTTTCTATTGACCAATTAAAAACCTACAGTAAAGGCTTAGATCTTTGATACTCCTCAAAGCAATCAGCGTGGGGTGAGGAGAGCAGGAAGGAAGCAACAAGAATTCTCACTGCTTGAAATCTAATGACTATTATGGATCCTCTTCCCACATGCACAGGTACACACACACATATGCACACACATAACACGATTTTGCATGGAATTTCAGATTAAGAACTCCAGGCCACAAATCAAAACACCCTCTCTAAGATGAGTAGAAAATAAACTAATATTTATTGTGTGTATATTATAGGTGAGACACTATTCTTGGTCCTCAGGTATATAACAGTGTAATAGAACAATAGATGAATCCATGAACAACTGGATAAAAACATCAATCAATCAATCAATAGATCAATTCATGGAAGGAAAGATTGATGAAGAAATGAACAAACCAATAAATGGATGTATATATTTACTTACCAATTAATAGATGGATTGATTGATTAATTAATCACTAATGAATGGTCCATAGACAAAGAAATCAATGAACCCAATTAATGAATAATCACATGAATGGCTAGATTTATGGAAGAACAAGTGAATAAGTAAATTAGTGAAGTATGAGTAAATAAAGGAATAAATGAATGGCTGGATTGAATGATAAATAGATCAGAGGTGAATAAATGAGTGAATTATTGTGATAAATGAAGGAAAGCATGGATGGATTAAGGGTGAATTGAAAGACTGACTGATGGAAGGATAAGGGTGAAACCTAGTTCATAGAAGGATGGAAGAATGCATGAATGAATGAATAAATGAACCAATGAATCAATGACAAATTGTCCATCAACATATCACTGTTTCAAAGGATCAACTTGTGGATCAAGTAATCCAAATAAATGAATGACACAGTATATGTCCTTGGATGAATCATAAATGAAAAAATCAGTGAGTACACATTCTTTAATTAATAAATTAAACAAAGAATAGATGAAAAGATAAGTGGATGAACGGATCAATTTTTAAGTCATGGCACAGAAAGTCAAATATTCCATGTTCTCACTCATAAGTGAGTGCTACAAAATGTGTACACATGGACACAGAGAGAGGAACAACAGACAGTGAAGACTAAGAAGAGCGAGGGAGCAGAAGGGGGAGGTGAATGATGAGAAATTACTTAATGGGTACAATGTACACTGTTCGGGTGATAAATACCCTAACGGCCCTAACTTGACCATTACAAAACCTACGCACATAACAAAACTGCATATGTACTCCCTAAATTTGTACATCACAAGATCAGGAGATCGAGACCATCCTGGCTAACATGGTGAAACCCCATCCCTACTAAAAATACAAAAAAATAGCCGGGTGTGGCGGCGGGCGCCTGCAGTCCCAGCTACTCAGGAAGCTGAGGCAGGAGAATGGCATGAAACCTGGAAGTGGAGCTTGCAGTGAGCCAAGATCGCGCCACTGCACTCCAGCCTGGGTGACAGAGCAAGACTCTGTCTTAAAAAAAAAAAAAAGATCCTTGAGTGATGGAAGAAAACAATGGGAGAACGCATGGACAGATTCTTCATGCGTCCATGCATCCACCAACAGAATTGGCTTGATTGGAAGCTAGTCCAGAGCCTACAGTGATCCCGGAATAGGAAGCCAGCATCCCCTCTCTCATCCAGGTGGTACCCATAGCCCCATTTCTGCAGTCCAGAAGACCCCCTTGACTGGCTGTCCCTGGCCCACCTGCGACATGAGGGTATTTGAGCATGAGCAGGAAGCCGTAGCGGAGAGTGGTGCTGGTGGTCTCAGTGCCAGCAAAGAAGAGCGAGAGCGTGTTGATGATGAGGTTCTGGTGGCTGAATTCACTGTGTGGGTTGGATTTCTCCTGCGTCCACAGTAGGGAGGGGAGGGCAGGGTCAGGAGAGGCTGTAGCCTTGCTGTGCACACGCCTGTCTCCCTGGCTGCCCTCCGTTTGCCTGAAGGTCTTTGACATTATCTGGCCCAATTTGCTTTTCTCTGTCCTCTACATGTCCAGCTGCACATCTCTAACTCATCTCTCTCAGCCTCTTTTTACTCTGCCTGGCTCTGTTTCTATCTCTCTCCACATCTTTTTGATGTGTTTCTCTCTTTTTGTCTCCCAGTCTCTTTCTACCTCCGTGAGTCTTTTCTCCTGTTGCTGTATTTTTGTCTCTTGCCCCAAATTCCTTCCTCAGCCAGTCTTCTCTCTCCCTCTCTCTCTCTCCCCCACTTCCCACCACCACTCTCTCTCCATCTCAGTTCCTCCTATTTTCTCCTTCCTTTCACCTCATCTTTCTTTCCTTCCTCATCTGCTCTCCTCCTTTTCACTATTCTCCCCTCCCTAATCTTTGTTCTTCACTCCCCATCTTCCCCTTCCCTACCCCTTTTCCCTCCCTCTTCTCACCTCTCTATCTTGCCCTCCCTCCCCTCCCTTCCCTTTTTCCTCTCCCAGACCCCACTTTTTCCATGTGGAGCAGGTAGGTGTCGATGAGGTCCCTGGGGGCGCTGGGGTCCAGGGTTTCACGGTGCTTCTCCACACTGTGGCCAATGTAAGCATTGATTTCCTGTAGGTTTTTGTAAACTTGCCTGTGTGCCCCAGGAAAGTATTTCAAGAAGCCAGAGAAGAGCTCAAACAGCTGCAAGAAAGAAGGGGTGGTGAGGTTTGCCTAGGGCTGAGCTAGCAGGTCACAGGGAGAGAGCGCCTCCTGGGCCCCAATCCCTCCATGGGAACCCCACTTCCCCACTCCCCTCTGCCTCTGAACCCCTCACTCACTGACTCTATATCTCCTTTGATCTATCTCACATTTACCTCTTTCTGCATCTTCCTCCCTCATCCTTCTGTCTTTTTCTTGGCCTCTGCCCCATCTCCCTGCCTCTCTCCTTTCTATCTCTCTTAGTCTCTGTCTCACTTCCTTTCTGTGTCACCCATTGTCTACCTCGGCCTGTTTATTTGTCTTTCTCATACTTTTCTCTCCCTCTTCCCTCCTCTCCTCATCTCCCTTGCTGTGTCAGACATTAATAAAATGATTCTTACACAAGATAAGCCTGCTGACATGTTAGGACTATGTATTTTGGAGGTTATTTCTATTACTTTGATGAAGAATGGAATGCCTAATTTATTGCAAATAATTGCAAAAATGCAAACGTATATTGCGATGTAAAATTCCTTCTTAATCTCTCCTTCTAGAGATAACCATTGTTAACTGTCTGGTGGGTCTCCTTCCAGACTTTTCTCTGTGGTTCTCGGTGGGAGGAGAACATTAGAATTATTGGTCGGGCTTGTTACAAGTACTCACCTTGGACCCCATCCCAGACTTTCCAGATCAGACCGCCTGGAAAGTAGGGTCCTGAAAATCCATAACTGTGACAACCCCACATGTGAATCCAACATACACCCCTGCTTAAGAGCTGTAGCTATGTTGACCAGCCTGGCCGACATGGTGAAACACCATCTCTACTAAAAATACAAAAAAATTAGCTGGGTGTGGTGGCGCTCGCCTATAGTCCCAGCTACTCGGGAGGCTGAGCCATGAGAATTGCTTGAACCTGGGAGGTGGAGGTGGCAGGGAGTTGAGATCACACTACTGCACTCCAGCCTGAGTAACAGAGCAAGATACTGTCTGAAAACAACAACAACAAACTACAGCTATGCATACTGTTCTGCAGCTTGATATTCTTAAATTTAATATGTAATAGGCATATTTCCAGGTTAATCAATAAGGAGACATTTTATTATTTTCTTTTAAAAGAGCAGAAGATTACCTTTATAATCTGTGGAAAGTTTTTTTTTTTAAAAAAAAAAAAACAGGGAGAAGGAGCAATGGGAGAAAATGAAGAAATGCTGTTCCTTATTGTCTTGTATCCTTGAATTTCTTCAGGTGAGGAGCTTTACCAAAGACAGAGAAGCAAGCATACAGAAGAACCAGGAGTAGGCTGGACATAGTGGCTCATGCCTGTAATTCCAGCACTTTGGGAGGCCAAGGCGGGCAGATCACTTGAGGTCAGGAGTTCAAGACCAACCTGGCCAACATGGCAAAACCCTGTCTCTACTAAAAATACAAAAAAATTAGCTAGGCGTGGTGGCAGGTGCCTGTAATCCCAGCTACTCAGGAGGCTGAGGCAGGGGAATTGCTTGAACCAGGGAGGTGGAGGTTGCAGTGAGCCGAGATTGCACCACTGCACTCCAGCCTGGGCAACAGAGCAAGATTCCATCTCAAAAAAAAAAAAAAAAAAAATCTTAGCCAGATGTGGTGGCACATGCCTGCAGTCCCAGCTACTCGGGAGGCTGAGGCAGGAGAATCACTTGAACCCAGGAGATGGAGGTTGCAGTAAGCCAAGATGGCACCACTCCACCCCAGCCTGGCTGAGAGAGCGAGACTCCGTCTCAAAAAAAAAAAAAAAAAAAAAAAGACATCCAGGAGCAGAAGAGCAGAGATCAAGCCCAAAGCCTGATTCATTCTCTCTCTCCCTCTCTTTCACATTCATTCTCATCAACTCTGTCTCTCAGGATCTCTTGATCTCTGCCCTTCTTTGTCTTGTTTTTGCTCATCTTTCTTCTCTCAGTCTCTCTCTGACTCTGTTTCTGCCTCCCCATCGTGCCCCATTCTCTCTCTCACTGTCTCTATCCCTGTCTCACCGCCTCCCCTCCCTCCAGGTCTCCATGTCCCTGACTCCACGTGGTCTCTGCATTTCTTCCAGGGATAAGCTGCATTTCTGAGCCCCCAAGTCAGGTCATCCTTTTCTCGTGTGTCCTGGATGTTCACCTCACCCCCACCCTCCCTCTCCTTCTCCCTCTCCTGGACCTGGCTGGATATAGAGCTGATGAGTAAGAAACTCTGGCAGAACAAGTTCAGCGTCTTCAGGAACTCTTGATCTTGGTAGTGGAAGCGTTTTCCAAAGATGATGGAGCAGATGATGTTGGCGGTAATGGAATGGAAGAGGAAGGTGGGGTCCACGAGGGCTCCTAGGAAGAAGCAGCAGGTCAAGGACACAGACTGAAGGGCCTGGGGAACATCAGGCTGTCACCTATCTCTGTGTGATTGTCTGCCATCACTCAGTAATGGTAAACATGAGAATAACCATAACAGCTAATTATGTACCAGCACGTCACGTGTAATTCCACTGAACTCTCACTACAACAATGTGAGGCAGATGCAATTTGATTATTAGCTCCAAATTATAGATGGGCAGACAGAGAGGTTGAGTAATTTGACCAAAGTTGCACAGCTACTCATTCCTGAGGCCAGGATTTAGACCCAGGCAACACAGCTATCGAGTCCATGCAGCCGGTTCTCACTCTGCACCTCCTCTCCGGCCCCACCTCTGACTCTGGGAGTGAATACAGCTAAATCCCAGGGGTAGGGGCTGGGCAGAGTAGGTGTTTAATCAATTGCTTGTATAAATTAAAAAGCCCTGGGTGGGCACAGTGGCTCATACCTCTAATCCCAGCACTTTGGGAGCCTGAGGCAAAAGGATCAGGAATTCAAGACCAGCCTGGGCACCATAAGGAGAACCTGTCTCTACAAAAAAGTTAAAAATGTAGCCAGACATGGTGGCACATGCCTGTAGTCCCAGTTGAAGGAGTCTAGGGGGCTGAAGTGGGAGGATCACATGGGCCCAGGAGTTTGAGGCTGCAGTGAGCTATGATCGTGCCACTGCACTCCAGCCTGGGTACAGAGTGAGACCCTGTCCCTAATTTAAAACAAATAAAAAACCATCTTTCTACCCCCACCTGTTACTCCCCCATAATCTCTTCTTTCTACATCTAGGGCTCTCCAGTCATCCGGGCATTATTCTGCACTTGTTAAGTGATACCTGTATACACCAGGCTCAGCACTGGCCCCAGCTGGAGGGAGGGTGGTCTGTGAGCACCCAAGAATGTCAGGTTAGTGCAGCCTCTCTCTGGGTCTCACTTGCCTGTCTTCTCTCATTCCTCTGCAGACCCTTTCTTGAGCCTTGTCTGTCTGTCTCTCCTCTAATTTTTTCTGCCTCAATTTCTCTTTGCCTTTGTTTCTTTCTGTCTCTCTGTGTGTATATTTCTCTCTCTCTTTTTTTTTTTTTTTTTTTTTTTGAGACACAGTCTCACTCTGTCACCCAGGCTGGAGTGCAGTGGCATGATCTCAGCTCATGGCAACCTCCATTTCCCAGGGTCAATCAATTCTCCAGTCTCAGCCTCCTGAGTAGGTGGGATTACAGGCACGTGCCACCATGCGTGGCTAGTTTTGTATGTTTAGTAGAGACAGGGTTTCACCAGGTTGGCCAGGCTGGTCTTGAACTCCTGACCTCAGGTGTTCCACCAGCCTCAACCTCCCAAAGTGCTGGGATTACAGGCATGAGCCCCATGCCCAGTCTATATATCTCTTTGTTTTGGTCCCTCCATCTGTCTCTTTCCTCCTGCCTGTGTCACTCTGTTTCTTCCTGTCCTTCTCTTCAGTCTTCTTGTCCCTGTTTGCCTATAGCTCCTGTGTTTCTACCTCCCCACGCAGCCTCTGCATTTACGTCCCAGAGTCTCTTGAGAAATTTTGATAAGAGAGATGGTAAACACCTGGCATAAATGAGATGGAGGTACTAGCCAGAGACCCGTCACCTACATGTCCCACAGACACCCAGTTATGGAGAACTCAAAAATAACCTAGTGATTCTTTGATGACCCCTCCAGCTGCACCCGGGCAGAACATCCCACCTGGCCTGCTTGCTCACTGCCAGCTCATCAGCACTTCACCCAGGGCAAGGAAAACACAGGTCATTATTTGTTAAATGTCTGTAGTTTTTTCCTTTATCTCTTTGCTTTCTTTTACATAACTTCTGATTTTGCCTTCGATAGACACAATTGATCCATGAAAATATATGTCTTTCAGGGTTTGTTTGTTTCTTTGTTTGTTTGTCTGAGACAGGATCTTGCTCTGTTGTCCAGGCTGGAGTGCAGTGGCACAATCACAGCTCACTGCAGCCTCAACCTCCTGGGCTCAAGTGATCCTGTAGTCCCACCATAGCAAGTAGCTGGGACTACGGGCACACACCACCATGCCTGGCTCATTTCTTTTTTATATTGTGTAGAGACAGGATCTCATTATGTTGCCCAGGCTGTTTGCTTCCCAAAGTACTGGGATTACAGGTGAGAGTCATCGCATCCAGCCTCTTTGAGTAACTTTTGGACATTATACACCTGGCATCTCTCTCTTTCCCTGGCTCTGTTTCTCTCCTGCCAATCCCCGTCCCTCTCTATTCCCCTGTCTCTCTCACTCTCTGTCCCTATACCTCTGTCAGATCATGTCTCTGGTTTCGTCTGTCTCTGTCTCTGCCCATGTATACCTCTCTGCCTTTCTATTCCCGTGCCTGCATCTCTCAGTGTTTCATTGCCTTTCTTTCCTATTCGTCTCCCAGGACTCACCCTTGGATTTCCGAAGTTCCTCTATCAGACACTGAGCCTCGTCCTGAATCCGCTCCTCCACACTCCGCTTTCCCATCCCGAAGTCCCTCATGGTGGTCACAGAGAATCGCCGAAGCACCTTCCAGCGGTTTCCATTGGCAAAGAGCATGCCTGCAGTGCAGGGGAGGTGTGAGTTGGTTGCAGAAGAAGTTGGAAGAAGGCTCTGAGTCCTTCTTCCCCCCATATACTCCCTTCCCTGATGCACCCCCACCTGCCCCCTCCCAGTGCCTCTGAAGCCCTCACCATATCCCTGGTAGACTGGGTCCATGATGACGATTTTTCCCCGGCCAGAGAAGGCCTCAGCGTTGTCCACCAGGGCCTCCCGTATGGCCTCTACTCCACACAGCATGACCACGGGCCTCGGTCCCAGGTGTACCGTGAAGACGTCCCCATATTTCTCTCGGAACTGCCAATCACATCCACACCAGGGGTGGCTGTTAGTCAGCATACACCTCATTTGTAAAACTATCAAAATACTTACATACCAGATTGGTAATTAGCCCCTCCTCAACATCCGCCTCCCCAGGCTGCCCTTTCCCCTGCCAGGATCCAGCAAGTAAGGGTTAACAGTTAACGGTGTCCAAGGGAGAGAATACAGTCATAGGTTCTTAGTTTCTGTTTCTGATTGGGCCAGTAAAACCCCTTCCTCATCCTTCTTTTCTGTATATTACTAGAGACAAAATCTGAAAACCATGGCTTCAGGCTGCTGAAAGACTGAAACAAAACAAAACAGAACAACAACAACAAAATAAGGTGGGTTGGACAAGCTTAGGTTAATTGGTGGCCCAGCCAGGGTCTGCTCTAATTGGCTGCTGCCCTAAACAGTAGAGATGGTTGATAAAATACTACGAATATCACCCTCACCCCATACTTCTTATGATCTGTGGTTTTGCTTTTGCTTTTTTTTTTTTTTTTTTTTTTTTTTTTTGAGACGGAGTCTCGGTCTGTCGCCCAGGCTGGAGTGCAGTGGTGCAGTCTCGGCTCACTGCAAGCTCCGCCTCCCGGGTTCACACCATTCTCCTGCCTCAGCCTTCCGAGTAGCTGGGACTACAGGCACCTGCCACTATGCCTGACTGATTTTTTGTATTTTCAGTAGAGACAGGGTTTCACCACGTTAGCCAGGATGGTCTCGATCTCCTGACCTCGTGATCCACCCACCGCAGCCTCCCAAAGTGTTGGGATTACAGGCGTGAGCCACCGCGCCTGGCCTGGTTTTGCTTTTTGCAGTTTCAGTTACCTGCAGCTAACCACAGTCTGAAAATATTAAATAGAAAATTCCAGAAATAAGCAATTTGTAAGTTTTAAGTTGTGCACCATTCTAAGTAGGATGATGATGTCTCTCATCATCCACTCTGTCCCACCCAGGACATGAATCATCCCTTTGTCCACCCCGTCTGCACTGTGTATACCACCCTCCCTGTATAATGTGATTGTATAGGAAAAAAAGAGTATATATAGGGCTCAGCATTATTTGGGGTTTCAGGCATCCACTGGGGGTCTCAGAACATATCTCCGGTGGATAAGGTGGGATTACTGTGCAGCCACTTGGGGAACCGCTGGGCAGTATTTCCTGAAGCTGAACAAATGGATAACTGGGAAACCATCCACTTCACTCTCAGGTACATGCCCAGCACAAATGTGTATGTGTGTTCACCAAAAAATGAACAAATATTCACAGAAGCTTTCTTTATAAAATACTCATCAACACAGATATAGAGAAACAGTGAGAGTTCACACAATAGAATAGTATACAGCAACGAAAAAGAACAAACTACAGCTACATGCAATAACGTGGCTGAAACTCACAGGCATAATGTTGAGTGGAAGCAACTAGACACAAGAGAGTCCATGCATCATAATTTTATGTGTATGAAGTTCAAACACAGGGCCGGGCATGGTGACTCACACCTGTAATCCCAGCACTTTGGGAGGCTGAGACGGGCTGATCACGAGGTCAGGAGTTTGAGTCCAGCCTGACCAACATGGTGAAACCCCGTCTCTACTAAAAATACAAAAATTAGTCTGGCGTGGTGGCCCTCACCTGTAGTCCCAGCTACTCGGGAGGCTGAGACAAGAGAATTCCTTGAGCGTGGGGAAGTGGAGGTTGCAGTGAGCCGAGATCACGCTGCTGCACTCCAGCCTGGGTGACAGAGCAAGACTCCATCTCACAAAAAAGAAAAAAAAGTTCAAACACAGACAAAATCAACCCATGATCAAGATGGTAGGTGGATAGTGACTAGAAAAGGACGGGGTGTGGTGTTTTGGGGGACTCTTGCTACTTGGCCTGCATGTCAATTACATGAGTATGTTCAGTTTGTGAAAATTCATTGAGCTGTGCACTTTTTATAGTGATGTTCAATTTCAATAAAAACTTGACATAAAAATTAGAAAAATGTTTAAGTTTACTTACAAATGCCCTGCATTGATCTCTGCAAAGCCCCTTCACTGGTCTCCTGCCTTACATTCTTAGACCCCTTAACAACTGTTTCACTGCCCCACAAGCCAGGGTAACCCCACTAAAATGTAAAATAATTAATATCCCTGTGCTCACCAAGGCCTCCAATACTCCAACTTTGCTGAGAATAAGATCTGAAGTCTCCACCTGTGGTTGACATGGTCCTACATGATGTGGCCCCATCACCTCTCTGACTTCTCCTCCCACTGATTCCTCCATGTTGTTCCCTGAGATTTTTCCTGCTTCAGGATTCTTGCAACCACCCTGCCTCCTTCTGGCACCTTCCACCTGAATCTTTCCTGGTCCCTGCTAAGAAACAAAGCAAGGCGGAGTCTTTCCCTAACCACTCAATCTAATGTAGTTCTCCATCACTTTCTGAAATATCCTCCTGCTTTAGTTTAATCGTAGCTCTTGTCCACCTAACATTTCCTTATCTGTTTATTTTTTGCTTATCTGTCTCCACCAATGGAATGTCCATAAGCACAGTGTTACCTCGTATGTCTTGTCCAAGATGCCACATCATCAATTCATAGAATATTTCCTGGTACATAGAAAGTGCCCAGTGAATTGTTATTGGATTCATGAATAAATGAATGAGTGGATCAAGGTAGTTGCCATTTAATGAGCACTTATTATATACTAGCTGCATGCAATATCCCATTTAATTCTCACAACCACCTTAGGGGCACACATTCTCATTGTCATGGTCTTAATTGACAGAAGAGAAAACTGTGACTCAACGCATAAGAATTGAATCTGAGACACGAGCCCGCATCCCTCTGGCTCCAAAAGGAATCTGGAAGCTTATTGGGAAATGGAGAAGCAACAGCGCCACCTTCCTCAGCCTTGACACACACTTGCTCATGCCCTCCCTCTTTCCCCTACCCCCAAGAGATGCAATCATAATAGACGGTCATGAATACCTAGAGGACCCTTGGAAGGTTTATGAAAGAGTTTTAGGGAGTCTGTGAAGCCTCACAACTTTATGCAAACATGTATGTGCCTATTTGGAAAAGAGGGGGCCACAGCTTTAATCAAACTCTCAGAGGATTTCATAATCCACAAAATGTTAAGCAGCTTTAGTCTAGGAGGGCTTTGGAGACAGACCTCCTGCTGGAGCTCAGCTTCTCCTTTTCCTAGTTGTGTGCCACTGGACAAGTGCTTTCCCCAGGCTGAGCATCTCCATCCCTACTGTTTTTTTGTTATTGCTGTTGTTGTGTTGTTGTTGTTTTTTGAGACAGAATTTCACTCTTGTTGACCAGGATGGAGTGCAATGGTGCAATCTCGGCTCAGGGCAACTTCCGCTTCCTGTGTTCAAGCAATTCTCCTGCCTCAGCCTCCTGAGTGGCTGGGATTACAGACATGTGCCACCACACCAGCTAGTTTTGTGTTTTTTTAGTACAGATAGGGTTTCTCCATGTTAGTTAGGCTGGTCTCGAACTCCTGACCTCAGTTGATCTGCCTGCCTCAGCCTCCTAAAGTGCTGAGATTACAGGCATGAGTCACCATGCCCGGCCACCATCCCTACTTCTAAGATGAGGGTAGCACCTCACCTTGTCCACAGGTAGTTGTAAATGACACCTAGAAAATCCCCATGACAACACAGGTAATTCCCAGACACATTACTCTAGTGGGAAAACTAAGTCCATTGATTCACATGATAGCATGATATTCTCGTGACACATGGAAAATGATGAAAAGAAAACAATAGGCACTTGAGACCTTCACCTATGTGATGGGACTCTATTTGGTGGGGAGGGATCCTTAGATCTGCGACCCCCTACTGGGGGCCTGGTAGCACTTTGCAGGCCCCGGCCGACTGTCAGTTCTGCTGAGTCAGGCTTGGAGCTTTCACTCACTGACTCCTTCATTTGTTTCTATACACATATTTGCTAAACGCCTATTGTGTACCAGGCACTATGTTCAGCTCTGTGGTGAGTCCTCGCAGGCCTTCCTTGTCTGGAAGTGTGAGGGAGAGATCAGCCACAGGATCACAAGTAAATGCAGCATTGTCAAGGACATAGGCTCAGTAAGGAGGGGCAGCTGGTGTATGAGAGCCTATGGTGGGGACCTGGGGGTCAGGAAGTCTTCTCAAGGGAGCTACTGCTTGCCTGGATGGCTAAGGAACCCCAATAATGAGGAACGGACACTGTTCTTGCACTGACATTAACCAAGATGACCCACCCACATCCTCAAACAACAACAACAACAACAAAACAAACTATTTACCCCAAGCCCTCCCTGTGAGAAAATGGAAATCTTTGCTGCAACGAAGAAGGGGAGAGGGTCAAACATGTCTATTCAAAACTTATCCCAATGCTTTGGGATGTTGAAGCAGGAGGATTGCTTGAGGCCAGGAGTTCAAGACCAGCCAAGGCAATATAGTGAGACCCTCCCCCAACACGTCTCTACAAAAATAAAAAAAAATAGTGGGGCATGGTCGTTCACACCTGTAGTCCCAGCTACTCTGGAGGCTAAGGCGGGAGAATCTCCTGAGCCCAGGAGTTCAAGGTTGCAGTGAGCTATCACTGTGCCATTGCACTCCAGCCTGGGTAACAGACTGAGACCCTGTCTCTAAAACAATTTAAATGAAAAATTCAATATCGTTCCTGACAAGCCTCCACTTTCTATGAACTAACAAGATAGCCACAAAGATCCTTTTGAAAACTCATTTTAGGCAAATATGAATTTCATTGACAGTTTTGCTTGTTTCAGAATTTGTAAAGGATTGGGATATTCAATGACCATGCCAGCTCTCATAAAGAAAGGGGGCAGTGAGATACCAAGAGCTAGAAGGAGCAGCAAATTCTGTTAATAGAGGCATGATTGGTCTCCAGATAGTGTCTGCAGAGTTTAGAAAAAACCCTTAAAGAGAAGGTTCAGTGAATTGTGTAGGATGTCTTTGACCAGAATTTAAACCTATGCACACTTTCCTAAATGTTGTCACTCCTCACACTGCAGATGATTTTTTTTTTAAGAGACAGGGTCTTGCTCTGTTGCCCAGGCTGGAGTGCAGTGACGTGATCATAGCTCACTGCAACCTCAAACTGCGGGGCTCATGTGATCCTCCTGCTTCAGTCTCCCAAGTAGCTGGGACTACAGGCACAGGCCACCATGCCTGGCTAAATTTTTAAAAAATTTTTGTGGAGACAGGGTCTTGTTCAGTTGCCCAGGCTGGTTTTGAACTCCTGGCTTCAAGCAATCCTCCCACCTCAGCCTCCCAAAGTGTTGGGATTACAGGCATAAGCCACCACATCTTTGAGTGTTGCCCAGTGGGGTCGTGAGCCACCCAAACAATATTTTACCTAATCATAAGACTCCTTGGCTCCCTCCATGTCATTCCCCTGAAAAATCTAAGTGTTCCATAATTTGAGAGTCTATGACCCAATTACTTTGTATCTTCCAGCTAAAGTGACAGTGTCTAACTCATAACCAAAAACCACATGTTTTGACTAAGTGTCTAAGATAAATATATATGTATGACAATTATCACATTCATCATTTGTATGTCCACATATTCTGTCTAAGCAAATAATTTTAAAATTCATAGTACCATTGGCATATATACTCTGTATATATGCATATTTACTCTATCAGTAAAAAGACCATTGATCAGAAATAAAAAAACTCTATTAATAGCAAAAGGATAACAAGCCTAAGATTCAGGAGTATGGTCAACATGAGAGGGGGAAGGGGAAGGTATTGTCAGTATTCTAATTCTCCCATTGGAAAGTGGGTTGATTGATTAGTAATGATAAGTAGATAATTAATCATAAAATCAGGCATGGTAAGCAGTGATAACCCAGGTAAATACTGAGCCAGTGGCAGTTACCGGTATAGGGCACTATGTGTACTGTTGATGAGCACTCCCTACCCACACTCCTTTGCTGCTCTCCCTCTCTCCTCCACTCTCCTGGCACTGACATGGGCTAGTCTGCTCTCTCTCATTGGCACAGCAAAATCTATTTGATTCGTGCCACCACCTCTTTTACCTCATTCTTTCAGTGGCAGGCAGGTACCCAGGATGTAACAGAGGATGGCAGAGAAGAGTGAAATTCTACACCTGTGGCTCATACCCAGACACCTCGTCATGCCCACTCACCCCTCCAAGGACAGTGCCCCCGTGCAGTTCCAATTCAGAGACAGGGTCTCAATCTGTTACCCAGGCTGGAGTGCAATGGCACCATCAAATTACCTATGATAACCTATTTAATAAACCAGTGTTATGTACCTGAATTGGAGAAGCATAAATTGGTACTTATGGTATTAAAATTTGTATTTAAGAGGCTGTAATTCCAGTGTGAAGCATGCACTCATGGAGACACTGGATGGCCGCCTGATCCTTCCTGAGTTCTTAAAATTTCCATTACTAAAAGCTCTGCATTCCACGACTCATCATAGAAGAGATAAAATGATCCAAATTATGAAAAAATATTGATGAGGTGACTGTTCTAATGGTTTATAACTAATATTTGATTTATCAAATCCATAATTCTAGTAAGACAACAAAAACCAAAAACCACAGGTGATATATTTCTGGGACTTGGTAGATCATTTGAACACTTGAAGATGGAGTTAATTCAACTGCCACCTTCATTGCATGTTTTCTGGTTGTATTAAAGCTTTTTTATGCACAAAGATCAATGCCATAACAGTAGCTAAAATGTTATTAGAAAATGTATTTCCTTACTTGGCATTCCTGGAGAACTCTCCAGTGGTAGAGGTACTTGCTTCACTAGAGAAGTGGTAAAATACTTAAATAAGGTATTGAAGAAGGAATTAATGAAATCAACTATAACCTAATAGTAGTAGTAATAGAAATTTTAAAATCCTTTTAAAGTTGCTGCAAAGTGTGACCCCCACCTTACATTCAAGTTAAAAGAGAATATTAACAACCTTTCTTCTCTCTGTGGACAATGGACCTTATCTCTTCTTCCCAACTCCACATTCCTTAAAGTTTATTACAGGCCCAGTGAGTTCCTGCATGGCTGCAGGGTCATAAGACTGATAAGTTTAGGTTGCAACACATGTCTTTCTTAAGATGTAAGAAATGTTAATTAACTGCTTTGTTTCTCCCTTCTGTAACTTGCTTCCCACCTCATGTAGTTCCCACCTTAAGATGTTTAAAAGCAGGCAAAGCCCTTTGTTCGGGGCTCAGACTCTCTGGACATATTTCTGGCTGAGCCAGTGGTCACCTTAATTTAATAAACTCTCCTGAACCTTTTTTGGTCTCTCCAGTCTTTGATTGTCCCGCAACAGTATTACAAACAAAAGGCATTAGGCAAAGCATGCTGAATTGATTGGAGTCCCTTGGTCAAAGGTATTATTGATTGACGGCAATCAGATCCACTCCTATTGGAAAGACATAGATAGATCACTTGTAAAATAGTAATAGGAAGTCCTATGCCCCAATAATAGAATCTCATGTATCTCCCACTCTTATAAACTCTGATATGATTCAATAATGCAAGGCTTTAATACATTATGCCAAGGCATGTTTTCACCAGGTAAAAGGAGTCATTGATGACCCATCAGTTGATGACAACCAGACCTTTCACTATCTATAATTTAGAGGTTGGGCTCTTTGGAAATGACACCAGAGAAACTGTCCTTGAACTCCATTGGAAGTAACCATACCAGGTTCTTCTAAGACTGTCCTTGTACTCCATTGCAAAGGACAATGCCAAGTTCTTCTCTGTAGCAAAACTTCAGGGTCTGGGATCTTGGATCCACATCTCTCAATTGAAAAGGGTCCTTCTAGACTCCTAGAACTTTATGTCTGTTGAGACCTTAAGGCAAAGCTGACCAGGAAAGTTTTTCCCAAGAAGCAGTTGGCATCTTATATGTGGACAGCTTTTCCAAGACTGTGGATCAAGATTTCTCTTCCATCATGAAAGCATTATCTTTTATCCTTTCTTCCCTGTTTCTTGCTGTCCTAACCCTTTCCCTTTCCTTACAAGAAAATCCATAGTACAATAATCTGTGAATGGCTTTAGCAAAGGCTTATACCCTAGGAAAAAAGACAAGCAATTGTTGAGTTTGTGAGCCAGTTCCCCAAAATCAGGAAATAATTTCACTGGCGCCAATGCCTCTTTGTGTTCCCAATGGGAATCACCCGGAAACCCCAAAGGAGGAGTGGAAAGCTATATCTTGATATTCTAGACATCAATTGCCACTTGCTTTTTTGCACTCACTGGAAATATTTGATAGTGGTTATGTTATTAGTTATTTAATATAATAACAGTATGTAATAACATACTATTAACTAATAACTAGTTATTAGTTAATATAATACAATAACAGTATGTAATAACATTCTATTAACTAACTAATAATATAATCACTACCAAATATAGAAAATGTATCTGAATGATGGCTGCAAAAAGCATATTGTGCTTCCAGGCATCCCGCATAGGACCTGGGGACTACCTATGTGGGTACGGTTAATTGCATGTGTAATGTTACTGAATTAAATATGGTAAAGTGGCCAGGCATGATGGCTCGTGCTTGTAATCCCAGCACTTTGGGAGATTTAGATGGGAGGATCACTTGAGGCCAGGAGTTCGAGACCAGCCTGGTCAACATAGCAAGACCCCAACGCTATAAAAAATAATTAAATAAATAAATAAGTAAATACAGTAAAGTCTCTTTCCAACTAAATGTGGCTATGCACCCTTGCAGCATGATAGAAAGAGACCACAAAAAAAGTGAGCTTCCCACCTTGTTCAAGAGCTGTGCAGACTTATGTGTAAACAAATTTAACTGATATCTGCTCTAATGCCAGTAGGTGACCCTCTTTTCCAACCCCACAAGTGCCTACCTTGGGTCTGCTGAGGTTCGCTTACTCTGTTCTTTCTCCTCACTGGCCCGTAACTTGCTATTTGGCCTAGCTCACTGCTGCTTTCCAAATTTTTTCCTTGAGAGTTCCCTAATACCTCCCACAGTTAAAAGCCAAAACAGTCAATAACTGAAATTACTATCAACCTCAAAGTCGATGAAGATAAGTTGGTTTCTGCAGAGAAAAGGTTCCAATGGAGTCCCTGGGTGCTCACTTTTGGTGATATTGGGGTGACAGTTGTATGGAATCTGAGGCTAATTTATACATTAAGGGACATCTTGGATTATGTAGCCAATTGAACCTCCAAGGAGTTCAGATGGGTAGAAGCCACTCTCCAAAAGGAGGATGAGAACATTGTATTAAACAAAAACGCTTAATGGAACATCATGCAGTTTTAGATCTCCTCTTTGCCCATCTTGGAGGCTTGTGTATGGTGCTGAACAAAACCAAATATTGTTCTTATCTTTCCCGTGAATTTACTAGTACATATAACTTAATTTAAAATGTGGCTGACAATGCTGTTTCTCTAGACACTGCCACCAAATACACTAAGGAAAATTCTCAGGGGAAAAAGAAGATATGTATTTACGGGTGCAGGTAACAGTTGATTTGCAAGCATCCTGAATGGTGATGGCAAGTGATATGGTTTGGTTCTGTGTCCTCACCCAAATCTCATCTTGAATTGTAATCCTCAGATGTGGAGGGAAGAACCTGCTAGGAGGTAATTGGATCCTGGGGGCAGTTTCCCCCATGCTGTTCTTGTGATAGTGAGTGAGTTCTCACAAGATCTGATGGTTTTATAAGAGGCTCTTCCCCCTTGGCTCTCTCTCTCTCTCTCTCTCCTGCCACCTTGTGAAGAAGGTACTTGCTTCTCCTTCACCTTCCACCATGAATGTAAGTTTCCTCCTTCTCCCTCAACTTCTACCATGATTGTAAGTTTCCTGGGGCCTCCCCAGCCATGTGGAACTGTGAGTCAGTTACATCCCTTTTCCTTATAAATTACCCAGTGTCAAGTATTTCTTTATAACTGTGAGAATGGACTAATACAGCAAGCCTATCACAAGGTTTTCTACTCTTAATGTTTCTTCTAGTGGGTCTCCAAGGTACTATGACATGTGTTACCAGGTGAACTACAAAAACAAATGCCTCTGTAAATCAAGTTATTTTATAGCAAGCTCTAGTCCTTAATCACCATTGTGCTCTGAACAAAGTATATGACCAATTGGACTCTAATACTATTGAACTATCTTTATTGCCTGAGCTTTGAATTATTCGATTTTGATCAGTTTGGTTCATGGAGACTCCCGGTAAGGTACAGACTTCATTTTCTTTGTATTACCCTCCTGAGAGCCATCATAACAGTCTCCCTGATGTGTTGTATTTTCTTGAGAGTCTTGGCCGGGTGCAATGGCTCACACCTGTGCAATGGCTAGCACTTTGGGAGGCCGAGGCAGGTGGATTGCTTGAGCCCAGGAGTTTGAGACCAGTCTGGGCAACATGGTAAAACCCTGTCTCTACAAAAAATACAAAAAGTAGCTGGGCGTGGTGGCATGCACCTATAGTTCCAGCTACTCGGGGGGCTGAGGCGGAGGATCACCTGAGCCTTGGGAGGTAAAGGCTGCAGTGAGACATGATCATGCCACAGCACTCCAGCCTGGGTGACAGAGTGAGACCCTGTCTCAAAAAAAAAAAAAAAAGAGAGAGAGTCTTAAATGCTCATATGCAGCCATTCTTTGTACATCCAATGGCTTCATTACAGTATGAATAACAAAAACATGAAGAAAACAAAGAATCACTCAACTACTTTGACATTGTCCATTGTGAATTCCATACTGAGAGCAAACAAGTCCATTATGATGGTGACAGAAGTAATGTTGATGCCCAAGGTTTTGGTCAATCTCAAAATTTTGAGGCTCATCAAAAGGGGAGAATTGTTTAATTAAATTAAATTTGACATAAAGTTCTCTCTGCATAGAGTGAACTGCAACCTAACTTGGGAGGGAGTATATTCTTCTTTTTTTTATTTTTATTTTTTTGAGATGGACTCTTGCTCTGTCGCCCAGGCTGGAGTGCAGTGGCACCATCTCTGCTCACTGCAACCTTCGCCTCCTGGATTCAAGTGATTCTCCTGCCTCAGCCTCCTGGGTAGCTGGGATTACAGGCACACACCACCATGCCCAGCTAATTTTTGTATTTTTAATAGAGACACAGTTTCCCCATGATGGCGAGGCTGGTCTCAAACTCCCGACCTCAGGTGATCCACCGCCTTGGCCTCCCAAAGTGCTGGGATTACAGGCGTGAGCCACTGCACCCGGCCCAGATGAATAGATTCTTGCGACAAGTAGCCAAATGTTGGCTAATCAGAGCAGCTGGGCTTTCAGTCCACCACAGGCTGCTAGCTCCTCAGACTGTGACCAAGTAAGGCAAGCTGTGATCTGTGGCCAGCCAGGCTGTTTCTGTATGTCACCTCCTTTTTCTGCCTGTGAATACTGCTTGCCCATACTGCCGTGTGGTGTCTCTCCTGGTTTAGGGAGTTGTCCGATTCATGAGTCACTTCTTTGCTCAAATAAACTCTGCTAAATTTAATTTGACTGATGTTTTTCTCCTAATACTACCACCCATCATGCTTCACTATGCTCTGTACTCACCAACCATCCCCGTGCCACCCCTGACTCTGGAAGTCTGCCTCATTCTGTTTGGTGAAGGATCCCCAAGTACAGAGACAAGAAGCAGCCCACCCTCAGACCCCATTCGTCTGTGTCTTACCCTCAGAAAGGATTTGAGTAGGCCTCTTCTGTCCATCTGCAGAAGGTTCCCCAAAAGGGGCAGAGGGCGGGGCCCTGGTGGGAGGGTGCCATGGGAGTTAGGGTGACGCTGAACCAGGAGTAGCAAGAGGCCTGTGAGGAGTGCAAGGAAGAGGAGGACGCTGAGCTCCATGGTTCCAGTCTGACTGCCCTGCACCCCACTGCAGCCTCTAACTGGGCCTTTTATCCTGAACCTGCCTCTTCACTCAGTTATGAAACTTCATCCATTCCCCGCCTCCTTTCTCATTATCGTCAAGGAGCATTAGCTTAGAAAAAGGTGTTAGGGAACCCAGACTTCCTGCTTAGGCAACCCAGCGACCTAATGCCTATCCCTTATCCACTCTCTAGATGTTGGCAGGGATACAGTGGTAGAGATATCAAAGTCCACCTAAGCATGTGAACGTGTGGGTGTTTGTGTATGAGTATGTGTATTTTTGTAAGCACAGGTGAGCATGCACACTTTTTTACTTAGCTTTGTCTGTTTGTTTATGCTTCCGTGCATTTCTCCATGCTTGCTTGCATCCGTGTATGTGCTTATATGATTTTTATATGTAAAGTGGTGTTTGTATTTATGCAAATGTGCAGGCGTGTGTTTCTGTGGTTGAATCTGGGGGTGCTTATGTGTATATCCTTGCACGTGTGGAGCTTCCTTGTATTTATACAGTTTCATATATGAAAGTGCATTTACATTTGTGTGTTGTGGAGGTGGTGGTAGTGTGTGTTCAAAATTGGGAGGCTGGCTGGGTGCAGTGGCTCACACCTGTAATCCCAGCACTTTGGGAAGCTAAGGTGGGCAGATCACTTGAGGTTAGGAGTTCGAGACCAGCCTGGCCAACATGGCAAAACCCCGTCTCTACTAAAAATACAAAAATTAGCCGGGCGTGGTGGTGGGCACCTTTAATTCCAGCTACTCGGGAGGCTGAGGCAAGAGAGTCACTTGAACCTGGGAGGTGGAGGCTGCAGTGAGCCAGGATTATGCCACTGCACACTAGCCTGGGTGACAGAGCAATACTCTGTCTCAAAAAAAAAATTGAGAAGCTGATGAAAAGAAGGAATTGTTCAATTCAATCAAATCTGGTCCACTGCCTTTGTCGCATAGCAAACTGTAACCTAGCAATATGTGAACCAATTGTGTGTATCTGTGTGTGCTGGTGTATTTGTGCTTCTGTGTTGGTGCATCTCCTAGCCCCTCTCTTTGGAAGCCTGCAGACGCTTGTGGGGAAAAGAAAGAGAGATCAGATTGTTACTGTGTCTATGTAGAAAAGGAAGATATAAGAAACTCCATTTTGATCTGTACTAAGAAAAATTGTTTCTGCTTTGAGATGCGTTAAGCTGTAACTTTAGCCCCAACCCTGTGCTCACAGAAACATGTGCTGTATTGAATCAAGGTTTAATGGATTTAGGAATGTGTGGGATGTGCCTTGTTAACAATATGTTTGCAGTATGCCTGGTAAAAGTCATCACCATTCTCCATTCTCGATTAACCAGGGACAGAATGCACTGCGGAAAGCCACAGGGACCTCTGCCCAAGAAAGCCTGGGTATTGTCCAAGGTTTCCCCCCACTGAGACAGCCTGAGATATGGCCTCATGGGAAGGGAAAGACCTGACTGTCCCCCAGCCCAATACCCATAAAGGGTCTGTGCTGAGGAGGAGTAGTGAAAGAGGGAGGCCTCTTTGCAGTTGGGATAAGAGGAAGGCTTCTGTCTCCTGCTCATCCCTGGGAATGCAATGTCTTGGTGTAAAGCTGACCATTCCCATTCATTCTATTGAGATAAGAGAAAACCACCCGGTGGCTGGAAGCGAGATATGCTGGCAGCAATACTGCTCTGTTACTCTTTGCTAAACTAAGATGTTTGGGTAAAGAGAAACATAAATCTAGCCTGTGTGCACATCTGGGCACAGTACGTTTCCTTGAACTTATTCATGATACAGATTCCTTTGCTCACATGTTTCTGTGCTGACCTTCTCCCAACCTGTTGCCCTGCTACACTCCCCTCACTAAGATAGTAAAAATAATGATCAATAAATACTGAGTGAACTCAGAGGCCGGCGTCAGTGCAGGTCCTCCGTATGCTGAGCGCTAGTCCCCTGGGCCCACTGTTCTTTCTCTATACTTTGTCTCTGTGTCTTATTTCTTTTCTCAGTCTCTCGTCCAACCTGATGAGAAATACCCACAGGTGTGGGGGGGCTGGCCGCCTTCAATGCTCAGGGTCTATCTCCAGTGTCCCCTCCTTTATCAGTCCTTCTGTGACAGCCATAGGTGGAAGTGATGGGAGAAACAGAAGGAGGGGCAAGAAATGCAGAACCAGTGAGTCTCAGAGGAAGAGGTGGTCAGTTGGAGGGAGACAGAAACTGAGACTGGCAGGTGCAGTGATCGGGTCCCCTTGGTTTCTGATCACTCTAACTAGCGCTGAGGGGGTTCTTCCCAACTATCTTCCTGGTGCAGGAAATTTCTCTGGCTCTATCTCTCTCTAACTTTATGTCTCTGTTTTCCCCCTGGAGACTCTTGAGCTCCATGTGTGTGGAAACTGGGTCCAGTTTGATTGATGTCTACTGGACTCCCATATGTCTCTATCTTCACTGTGAGCCTGCACCCACACAGCCTCTGACAGGGTCAGTCCATATTTGCACAATTTGGATGTGAATGTGTCCGTGTCTGCCTGTCTCATCCTAGGCCTGACTTTTGACCATGAGGCAACATCTTTCTTGCAATGTTAACCAAACTCTTTGCTGGATCCAGGATCCTGACCCTGAAGTTACTTTGACCCAGCAGGAGAAGACAAACAGTCCTGATTTTTAAGAGGTGGAAGCTGTGCTTTCCTGACCCTGGAGAGGTGCCAGCACAGACCTGTCCAACCCAAGGACCTGGGTCTTGCTGTGCTGTGTCATCTGACACTAAGATTGAGTCCTCATTCCAGCCCCAGCGTGAAGCACCGATGGGGAGGCGTGAAGTGCTTTACACACAGTGACTCAGTGTTTACCCTGAGCCCAGAAGTTACTTTGACCCAGGAGAAGCAAACAATCCTGACTTTTAAGAGGTGGAAGCTGTACTTTCCTGACCGGGGAGAGGAGGCAGCATGGACTTTTCTGACCCAACGACCTGGGTCTTGCTGTGCTGTGTCATCTGACACTAAGATCGGGTCCTCATTCCAGCCCCAGGGTGAAGCACCAGTGGGGAGGCGTGAAGTGCTTTACACACAGTGACTCAGTGTTTACCCTGAGCCCAGAAGTTACTTTGACCCAGGAGGATAAGATAAACAATCCTGATTTTTATGAGGTGGAAGCTGTACTTTCCTGACACTGGAGAGGTGCCAGCATGGACTTTTCTGACCCAAGGACCAGGGTCCTGCTGTGCTGTGTCATCTGACGCTAAGATTGGGTGCTCATTCCAGCCCCAGGGTGAAGCACCAGTGGGGAGGCATGAAGTGCTTTACACACAGTGACTCAGTCTTTACCCTTTTAGGGAGGTATTGTTGCCATCCCCATTTTATAGATGGAGAGATTGAAGCAGTGACAGTTTGCAAGTCTTACCCAAGGTCATATAGTGGGTTGAGGCTACATTGTCCAATATGGTAGTAACTTGCTGCATGTGGCCACTAATTAAGTACTTGAAATGTGGTCCAAATCCTATTTACAATAGCAAAGATAGGGAATCAACAGATGAATGGTTAAATAAAATGTGGTATATATACACCATTGAATACTATTTAGCCATAAAAAGGAATAAAGTCTTGTCTTTTATAGCCACATGGATACAACTGGAGGTGATTATCTTAAGTGAAATAAGCCAGGCACAGAAAGTATCACATGTTCTCATTCGTAAGTGGGTGCTACACAATGTGTACACATGGACCTAGAGAGTGGAATAATAGATAGAACCTCCAGCGCGATTTTGAATCAGAGTGGTAAGAACCGCCATTCTTTACTTGCTCCCAATCTTAGAGGGAAAGCATCAAGTCTTTCACCTTTAAGTATGATGTTGGCTGCAGATATTTTTGTAGATGCCTTTAGTCAGGGTAAGAAATTCTGTTTATTTCTAGCTTGCTGATAATTTTTAATCAGGAATGGATGTTGGATTTCCATCAAATGTTTTTCATGTCTGTATTATTATTGGGAGAACCCACCCTCAATATTTCAACATAGGTTCTTTCTATTTTCCATAAGTGTTGGCCAGCTGAGAAATAAAGAGAGACAGTACAAAGAGAGGAATTTTACATCTGGGCCACCAGGGGTGACATCACATATTGGTAGGACCATGATGCTCACCTGCGTCTCAGACCAGCAAGCTTTTATTAAGGGTTTCAAAAGGGGAGGGGGTGTAAGAACAGAGAGTAGGTACAAAGATCACATGCTTCAAAGAGCAAAAAGCAGAACCACTGATAAGGGTCCAACAAAGATCACAGGACAAAAGGCAAAAGCAGAACCACTGATAAGGGTCCAACAAAGATCATAAGGCAAAGGGCAAAAGCAGAACCACTGATAAGCGTCTATGCTCAGCGGTGCACATATTGTCTTGATAAACATCTTAAATAACAGAAAACAGGGTTCAAGAGCAGACAACCAGTCTGACCACAAATTTACCAGGGTTAAGTTTTCCCAACCCTAGTAAGCATGAGGGTTCTGCAGGAGACCAAGGTTTATCTCGGTCCTTATCTCAACTGTACAAGGCAGACATTCCCAGAGCAGCCATTTATAGACCTCCCCCCAGGAACGCATACTTTTACCAGGGTATTAATATTAATATTCTTTGCTAGGAAAAGAATTTAGCAATATGTTTCCTACTTGCACGTCCATTTATAGGCCCTCTGCAAGAAGAAAGAAAGAAGAAAAATATGGCTCTTTTTGCCTGACCCCACAGGCAGTCAGACGTTATGTTTGTCTTCCCTTGTTCCATAAAAATCACTATTATTCTGTTCTTTTTCAAGGTGCACTGATTTCATATTGTTCAAACATACATGTTTTACAATCAATTTGTACAGTTAACACAATTATCACAGAGGTCCTGAGGTGACACACATCCTTAGCTTCTGAAGATAACAGGATTAAGATACTAAAGACAGGCATAAGAAATTATAAAAGTATTATTTGAGAACAGATAAATGTCCATATTAAGATGAAATCTTCACAACTTTTTTTATGTTTCAAAAATAATTGTAATAAGTGGAGAACAGTTTTGCTCCTTCCATTAAACATATGAATTTTACAAATTATAGTGATATATTTTTCTCTCTGGGTAAATATGAGTAATACAGAGAACAATGTGTAAAACAAATGGTTCCTGGAAAAATAGGAATAAACAAAAAGTACTGATCAGTACCGGTGGCTACCCATAATTAACACCACTAGTCAAATTCTCAATAACCACATAGAAAAAGGGTTTAACTGTATATGCTGAGGTAAGTGTCTTACAGAGCATACCTCTGTATGACACTTACATACAGCATGTAAGTGTATAGAGAAAGCATGTACTTTCTCTATTTCTTCTTATATATATACTTTAAGTTCTAGGGTACATGTGCACAACGTGCAGGTTTGTTACATATGTATACATGCGCCATGTTGGTGTGCTGCACCCATTAACTCGTCATTTACATTAGGTATATCTCCTAATGCTATCCCTCCCCATGGTGTATATGTGCCATATTTTCTTAATCCAGTCTATCATTGATGGACATTTGGGTTGGTTCCAAGTCTTTGCTATTGTGAATAGTGCCACAATAAACATAGGTGTGCATGTGTCTTTATAGCAGCATGATTTATAATCCTTTGGGTATATACCCAGTAATGGGATGGCTGGGTCAAATGGTATTTCTCGTTCTAGATCCCTGAGGAATCACCACACTGTCTTCCACAATGGTTGAACGAGTTTACAGTCCCACCAACAGTGTAAAAGTGTTCCTATTTCTCCACATCCTCTCCAGCACCTGTTGTTTCCTGACTTTTTAATGATCACCATTCTAACTGGTGTGAGATGGTATCTCATTGTGGTTTCAATTTGTGTTTCTCTGATGGCCAGTGATGATGAGCATTTTTTCATGTGTCTGTTGGCTGCATAAATGTCTTATTTTCAGAAGTATCTGTTCATATCTTCACCCACTTTTTTTATTATACTTTAAATTTTAGGGTACATGTGCACAACGTGCAGGTTTGTTACATATGTATACATATGACATGTTGGTGTGCTGCACCCATCAACTCATCATTTAACATTAGGTATATCTCCTAATGCTATCCCTCCCCCCTCCCCCCACCCCACATGATGAGTTCATGTCCTTTGTAGGGACAGGGATGAAGCTGGAAACCATCATTCTCAGCAAACTATCGCAAGGACAAAAAACCAAACACTGCATGTTCTCGCTCATAGGCGGGAATTGAACAATGAGAACACATGGACACAGGAAGGGGAACTTCACCCACTTTTCGACTGGGTTGTTTGTTTTTCTCTTGTAATTTTGTTTGAGTTCTTTGTAGGTTCTGAATATTAGCCCTTGGTCAGATGAGTAGATTGCAAAAATTTTCTCCCATTCTGTAGGTTGCCTATTCACTCTGATGGTAGTTTCTCTTGCTGTGCAGAAGCTCTTTAATTTAATTGGAGCCCATTTGTCCATTTTGCCTTTTGTTGCCATTGCTTGTGGTGTTTTAGACATGAAGTCCTTGCCCATGCCTATGTCCTGAATGGTATTGCCTAGGTTTTCTTCTAGGGTTTTTATGGTTTTAGGTCTAACATTTAAGTCTTTAATCCATCTTGAATTAATTTTTGTATAAGATGTAAGGAAGCGATCCAGTTTCAGCTTTCTACATATGGCTAGCCAGTTTTCCCAGCACCACTTATTAAATAGGGAATCCTTTCCCCATTGTTTGTTTTTGTCAGGTTTGTCAAAGATCATACGGTTGTAGATGTGTGGTATTATTTCTGACGGCTCTGTCCTGTTCTGTTGGTCTATATCTCTGTGTTGGTACCACTACCATGCTGTTTTGGTTACTATAGCCTTGAAGTATAGTTTGAAGTCAGGTAGCATGATGCCTCCAGCTTTGTTCTTTTGGCTTAGGATTGACTTGGCAATGTGGGCTCTTTTTTGATTCCATATGAAATTTAAAGTAGTTGTTTCCAATTCTGTGAAGAAAGTCATTGGTAGCTTGATGGGGATGGCACTGAATCTATAAATTACCTTGGGCAGTATGGCCATTTGCATGATATTGATTACTGCAATCCATGAGCATGGAATGTTCTTCCATTTGTTTGTGTCTTTTTTATTTAGTTGAGCAGTGGTTTGTAGTTCTCCTTGAAGAGGTCCTTCACATCCCTTGTAAGTTGGATTCCTAGGTATTTTATTCTCTTTGAAGCAATTGTGAATGGGAGTTCACTCATGATTTGGCTCTCTGTTTGTCTCTTATTGTTGTATAAGAATGCTTGTGATTTTTGCACATTGATTTTGTATCCTGAGACTTTGCTGAAGTTGCTTATCAGCTTAAGGAGATTTGGGGCTGAGACAGTGGGGTTTTCTAACACAATCATGTCATCTGCAAACAGGGACAATTTGACTTCTTTTCCTAATTGAATACCCTTTATTTCTTTCTCCTGCCTGATTGCCCTGGCCAGAACTTCCAACACTATGTTGAATAGGAGTGGTGAGAGAGGGCATCCCTGTCTTGTGCCAGTTTTCAAAAGGAATGCTTCCAGTTTTTGCCCATTCGGTATGATATTGGCTGTGGGGTTGTCATAAATAGCTCTTATTATTTTGAGATACATCCCGTCAATACCTAATTTATTGAGAGTTTTAGCATAAAGGGCTGTTGAATTTTGTCAAAGGCGTTTTCTGCATCTATTGAGATAATCATGTGGTTTTTGTCTTTGGTTCTGTTTATATGCTGGATTACATTTATTGATTTGTGTATGTTGAACCCACCTTGCATCCCAGGGATGAAGCCCACTTGATCGTGGTGGATAAGCTTTTTGATGTGCTGCTGGATTCGGTTTGCCAGTATTTTATTGAGGATTTTTGCATCAATGTTCATCAGGCATATTGGCCTAAAAGTCTCTTTTTTTGTTCTGTCTCTGCCAGACTTTGGTATCAGGATGATGCTGGCCTCATAAAATGAGTTAGGGAGGATTCCCTCTTTTTCTATTGATTGGAATAGTTTCAGAAGGAATGTTACCAGCTCCTCCTTGTACCTCTGTTAGAATTCAGCTGTGAATCTCTCTGGTCCTGGACTTTTTTGGTTGGTAGGCAATTAATTATTGCCTCAATTTCAGAGCCTGTTATTGGTCTATTCAGGGATTCAACTTCCTCCTGGTTTAGTCTTGGGAGGGTGTATGTGTCCAGGAATTTATCCATTTCTTCTAGATTTTCAAGTCTATTTGCATAGAGGAGTTTATAGTATTCTCTGGTGGTAGTTTGTATTTCTGTGGGATTGGTGGTGATATCCCCTTTATCATTTTTTATTGCGTCTATTTGATTCTTCTCTTTTCTTCTTTATTAGTCTTGCTAGTCTATCAATTTTGTTGATCTTTTCAGAAACCCACCTCCTGTATTCATTGATTTTTTGAAGGGTTTTTTGTGTCTCTATCTCCTTCAGTTCTGCTCTGATCTTAGTTATTTCTTGCCTTCTGCTAGCTTTTGAATGTGTTTGCTCTTGCTCCTCTGGTACTTTTAATTGTGATGTTAGGGTGTCAGTTTTAGATCTTTCCTGCTTTCTCTTGTGGGCATTTAGTGCAACAAATTTCCCTCCACACACTGCTTTAAATGTGTCCCAGACACACTGGTATGTTGTGTCTTTGTTCTCATTGGTTTCAAAGAACATCTTTATTTCTGCCTTCATTTTGTTATGTACCCAGTAGTCATTCAGGAGCAGGTTGTTCAGTTTCCATGTAGTTGAGTGGTTTTGAGTGAGTTTCTTAATCCTGAGTTCTAGTTTGATTGCACTGTGGTCTGAGAGACAGTTTGTTGTGATTTCTGTTCTTTTACATTTGCTGAGGAGTGCTTTACTTCCAATTATGTGGTCAATATTGGAATAAGTGCGATGTGGTGCTGAGAAGAATGTATATTCTGTTGATTTGGGGTGGAGAGTTCTGTAGATGTCTTTTAGGTCGGCTTTGTGCAGAGCTGAGTTCAATTCCTGGATATCCTTGTTAACTTTCTGTCTCATTGAACTGTCTAATACTGACAGTGGAGTGTTAAAGTCTTCCATTATTATTGTGTAGTAGTCTAAGTCTCTTTGTAGGTATCTAAGGACTTGCTTTATGAATCTGGGTGCTCCTGTATTGGGTACATATATATTTAGGATAGTTAGCTCTTCTTGTTGAATTGATCCCTTTACCTATGTAATGGCCTCCTTTGTCTCTTTTCATCTTTGTTGGTTTAAAGTCTGTTTTATCAAAGACTAGGATTGCAACCCCTGCTTTTTTTTTTTTCATTTTCCATTTGCTTGGTAGATCTTTCTCTATCCCTTTATTTTGAGCCATACGTGTCTATGCACGTGAGATGGGTCTCCTGAATACAGCACACTGATGGGTCTTGACTCTTTATCCAATTTGCCAGTCTGTGTCTTTTAATTGGAGCATTTAGCCCTTTTACATTTAAGGTTAATATTGTTATGTGTGAATTTGATCCTGTCATTATGACATTAGATGGTTACTTTGCTCATTAGTTGATGCTGTTTCTTCCTAGCATTGATGGTCTTTACAATTTAGCATGTTTTTGCAGTGGCTGGTACCAGTTGTTCCTTTCCATGTTTAGTGCTTCCTTCAGGAGCTCTTGTAAGCAGGCCTGGTGGTGACAAAATCTCTCAACATTTGTTTGTCTGTAAATGGTTTTATTTCTCCTTCACTTATGAAGCTTAGTTTGGCTGGATATGAAATTCTGGGTTGAAAATTCTTTGCTTTCAGAATGTTGAATATTGGCCCCCATTCTCTTCTGGCTTGTAGAGTTTCTGCCAAGAGATCTGCTGTTAGTCTGATCGGTTTCCCTTTGTGGGTAACCTGACCTTTCTCTATAGCTGCCCTTAGAATTTTTTCCTTCATTTCAACCTTGGTGAATCTGACAATTATGTGTCTTGGGGTTGCTCTTCTCGAGGAGTATCTTTGTGGCATTCTCTGTATTTCCTGAATTTGAATGTTGGCCTGCCTTGCTAGGTTGGGGAAGTTCTCCTGGATAATATCCTGAAGAGTGTTTTCCAGCTTGTTTCCATTGTCCGCGTCACTTTCAATTACACCAATCAGATGTAGATTTGGTCTTTTCACATAATCCCATATTTCTTGGAGGCTTTGTTCATTTCTTTTCACTCTTTTTTCTCTAAACTTCTCTTCTCGCTTCATTTCATTCATTTGATCTTAATCACTGATACCCTTTCTTCCACTTGATCAAATCAGTTACTGAAGCTTGTGTATGCATCACGTAGTTCTCATGCCATGGTTTTCAGCTCCATCAAGTCATTTAAGGTCTTCTTTACACTGTTCATTCTAGTTAGCCATTCATCTAATCTTCTTTCAAGGTTTTTAGCTTCTTTGTGATGGGTTCAAACATCCTCCTTTAGCTCAGAGAAGTTTGTTATTACCGATTGTCTGAAGCCTCCTTCTCTCATCTCATCAAAGTCATTCTCTGTCCAGCTTTGTTCTGTTGCTGGTGAGGAGCTGCATTCCTTTGGATGAGAAGAGGCGCTTTCATTTTTACAGTGTTCCGCTTTTCTGCTCTGGTTTCTCCCCATGTTTGTGGTTTTATCTACTTTTGGTCTTTCATGATGGTGACGTACAAATGGGGTTTTGGTGTGGATATCCTTTCTGTTTGTTAGTTTTCCTTCTAACAGTCAGGACCTTCAGCTGCAGGCATGTTGGAGTTTGCTGGAGGTCCACTCCAGACTCTGTTTGCCTGGATATCACCAGCGGAGGCTGCAGAACAGCAAATATTGCAGAACGGCAAATTTTGCTGTCTGATCCTTCTTCTGAAAGCTTCATCTCAGAGGGGCACCTGGCTGTATGAGGTGTCAGTGGGCCCCTACTGGGAGGTGTCTCCCATTTAGGCTACTCAAGGGTCAGGGACCCACTTGAGGAGGCAGTCTATCTGTTCTCAGATCTCAAACTCCATGCTGGGAGAAGCACTACTCTCTTCAAAGCTGTCAGACAGGGACATTTAAGTCTGCAGAAGTTTCTGCTGCCTTTTTTTCAGCTATGCCCTGCCCCCAGGTGGATTCCATAGAGGCAGGCAGGCCTCCTTGACCTGCGGTGGGCTCCATGCAGTTTGAGCTTCCTGGCCACTTTGTTTACCTACTCAAGCCTCAGCAATGGCGGATGCCTCTCCCCCAGCCTCGCTGCCACCTTGCAGTTCGATCTCAGACTGCTGTGCTACCTGTGAGTGAGGCTCCATGGGGGTGGGACCCTCCAAGCCAGGCGTGGGATATAATCTCCTGGGGTGCCGTTTGCTAAGGCCATTGGAAAGGCACAGTATTAGTGTGGGAGTGTCCTGATTTTCCAGGTACCATCTGTCACGGCTTCCCTTTGCTAGGAAAGGGAATTTCCCGACCCCTTGCACTTCCCGGGTGAGGCGCTGCCCTGCCCTGCTCCATGGGCTGCACCCACTGTCTGACAAGTGCCAGTGAGATGAACCCAGTACCTCAGTTGGAAATGCAGAAATCACCCATCTTCTGCATCACTCACGCTGGGAGCTGCAGACTGGAGCTGTTCCTGTTTGGCCATCTTGGAACCTCCTCCTCAAATTGGGATTATTTTGAAGAAAATGCCAGACCTTGCATCAATTCACCTATAAATGTTTTCACCACGTATCTCTAAAATTATCCCCATTTACCACTGGGGAAACCAAGGCATGAAGAGATCACATAACTTAATCAACGTCACTTTTCTGATAGCATTCAGAGCCAGGATCAAAGCCCAGCTCCCTGGATCCAGGGCCCTTGCCATTAACTGTTGAGATGCCTCTGGAAACTTAGATGTGAGTCTTTTTTTTTCTTTGTGTATTTTGTTTGTTTGTTTTCTTTTTTGTTTTTGTTTTTGGTAATGACAGGGTCTCAATGTGTTGCATGGGCTGGTCTCAAACTCCTGACCTCAACCAATCCTCTTGCCTCAGCCTCCCAAAGTGCTGGGATTACAGGAATAAGCCACCACGCTGAACCATGAGTGAGTCTTAAGTGTGGCATCACTCAGGCAACAAAGAAACTACCATTTCGTTTCAAAGTTGTCAAATTACTTCTCAAACCAACAGTTGGAATATAAACCTCAGGGATGAAAGTATTGCATCAACGTTAAATTTACTATAGCTGATAAATGTAACTGCAGTTATATCAGAAAATGTCCCCATTTTTAGGAGATACTCTCCAAAGTATTGAGAGGTAAAACCTATGTTGTATGTAATTTACCCTAAGTGGTTCAGAAAAAGTACTAAATAGATATTGCTATGGTTTGAATGTTTTTTATCCATGTTGGAATGTAATCCCCAATGCAACAGTATTGGGAGGTGTGGCCTATGACAGGTGATTGGGTCATGAGGGTTCCATCATCATGAATGGGATTAGGTACCCCTACAAAAGGGCTTGATGGATGGAGTTCACCTCTCTTGGTCTTCCACCTTCCACCATGTGAGAACGCAGTGATCCTCCCCTTGGAGGATCCAACAGCACGGAGCCATCTTGAAAGCAGAAACCTGATCCTCACCAGGCACCGAACCTACCAGCTCCTTGATCTTGGACTCCCAGTCTCCAGAACTGTGGGAAATAAATTTGTATTCTTTATAAGTAGACTGGGTGCTACTGCTCACGTCTGTAATCCCAGCACTTTGGGAGGCTGAGGTGGGCAGATTACTCAAGGTCAGGTGTTCAAGACCAGCCTCACCAACATGGTGAAACCCTGTCTCTACTAAAAATACAAAAATTAGCCAGGAGTGGTGGTAGGCGCCTGTAATCCCAGCTACTCTGAAGGCTGAGGCAGGAGAATCACTTGAACCCAGGAGGCAGAGGTTGCAGTGAACCAAGATCATGCCATTTGCACTCCAGTCTGGGCAACAAGAGCACAACTCCATCTCAAAAAAATAAATAAATATGTTACCTAGTCTGTAGTATTTTGTTATAGTAGCATAAAACAGAGTAAGATAGATAGATGATTGATTGATAGAATAGAACAAGTCATATTGGGAATGGGTTAAAATGTTAAGGTGAATCTGCATAAAGAGTACTTTTTTAAACATTTTAATCTGGGCCTCAGCCAGGCGCGGTGGCTCACGCCTGTAATCCCACCACTTTTGGAGGCTGAGGAGGACGTTCAAGACCGACCTGGCCAACAAGGTGAAACCCCATCTCTACTAAAAATGCCAAAATTAGCTGGGCATGGTGGTGCATGCCTGTAATCCCAGCTACTCGTGAGGCTGAGGCAGGAGAACTTCTTGAACTGGGGAGGTGGAGGCTATAGTGAGCCAAGATCATGCCACTATACTACAGCCTGGGTTACATAGCAAGACTCCATCTCAAAAAAAAAATAAATAAATAAAAATAAATAAATAATAATCTGGGCTGTTTGCAGTGGCTCCCACCAAAATCCCAGCACTTTAGGGGGCTGGAAAAGGAAGATTGCTTGAGCCCAGGAGTTTGAGACCAGCCAGGGCAACATGGCGAGATATAATCTTTACAACAAATTTTTTAAAACATTAGCCAGATGTGGCGGCATGCCTTGAGGGCAAGAGGAGTGAGGTTGGCCTAAAGCCCCCTCTCCCTGCAGGAGGAGAAGAACCCCAACACAGAGTTCTACTTGAAGAACCTGGTGCTGACCACGTTGAACCTCTTCGTTGGGGGCACTGAGACCGTCAGCACCACCCTGCACTACGGCTTCCTGCTGCTCATGAAGCACCCAGAGGTGGAGGGTAAGGCTGGAGGGGAAGGGAAGTGGAGGGTCCCAGACCCTCAAAACTCCCCTGAGCCTGGTGCAAAGTCCCCACCTGTCCCAGATCCCAGGACCCTGAGACGTGCCTTGCTGTCCAGAGACAGGGCAATATTCAGCTGATAGGCATCAGCTGAGTCTCATTAGCTATTTAAATATTGAAAATGTCTGCAATGATTGGTCAGTCACTCCTGTCCCAAGCCCACTGAGTGCCCGCTGCCCGCTCCTCTGGATCATCCCCTGAATTCCTCCCTGTGCCTCCCCTGTGATTCTGGCACGACCTGGTTAACGTGATCCTGCGCCAACAATGCTAATTGCTGACATCTGTTATGAATGGTCTACCTCCGTGTCATACACGGAGCCAAGTCATCCACCCCGTTTTACCTATTCAGGCTATCATCCCTGCTCTGAGACCCCTAGATACCTAAACGCATTCCCCTTCCTCCCCCAGCAAAGGTCCATGAGATTGACAGAGTGATCGGCAAGAACCAGCAGCCCAAGTTTGAGGACCGGGCCAAGACGCTCTACACAGAGGCAGTGATCCATGAGATCCAAAGATTTGGAGACTTGCTCCCCATGGGTGTGTCCCGCAGGGTCAAGAAGGACACCAAGTTTCGGGATTTCTTCCTCTCCAAGGTGCTGCATGTCCCCCCACCAGCCTAGGACTTCCAACACACTCTCTGTGACCTCAGCACCCCATCTCCATGAGAAGCTTTCTAGCCCCTGTCTCACTCTCTCAATGAAAGATTTTTTGAACCACCACATCCCTTCCATCTTCCCTCTCAGAGACTCCTGAATCCTGTATCTCCCCCAGAATTTTTGCCACATGGAGAGGAATGAACTCCATGTCCACAAACTCCCTGTCCCAAGGGACATGAGTCTCCTTTTCCTTTCCCCTTGCCTTTTTGCTTTAAGGACATAAATTTCATGTTCCCTGAACACCCTGCCTAAGAGGACATGAACCCCATGTCTCCCAAACTTCCTGTCTCAGAGACGTGAAACTTCTATCCCCCAAGGCTCCTCCCTCAGAGGTCCCCAATTCCCATGCCTGCCACTTCCCCTCACCTGGGGCACCCTAGTTCCCCCTCCAGCCCCTGTGTACTCTCAACAATCCCCCAACCCGCCTCATCACATACACCTTCCTCCTCCCTCCCAGGGCATAGAAGTGTTCCCTATGCTGGGCTCCGTGCTGAGAGACCTCAGGTTCTTCTCCAACCCCCGGGACTTCAATCCCCAGCACTTCCTGGGTGAGAAGGGGCAGTTTAAGAAGCGTGATGCTTTTGTGCCCTTCTCCATCAGTAAGAGACCACTGTTTGCTGCCAGGCTACTACTCACACCAGCAGGGGCCTCCCTTACCCAGCTCCCCTCTCTGCCGTGTAGCCTAGTATTTCCCCAGCTTGGAAGTTCCTGTTAGAATCTACCGTTGAGCCACCAGCTGATACTCCCTTAACTACCAAGCACCCAGTACCTGTGCCCAGGCAAAAGGAAAGGAAACATCATACCCCTTTCAGAGGCGGGGAAAACCAAAGCCCAGAGAGAATCAGAGATTTATTTCCCTAGGGTCACACAGCAGATTCTTCAGATCCCTAAAAAGGAGATGACGGCACAGCAGTCATATTTGCGAGTGTTATCTGGGGGAAGGGGCATCTAAACCTCCCATTGTGACACCTGGCATCGATCACCCCATCTTTTGTACATCTTTTGTACACTCAAGGAAACTGAGGCTCAGGGAGGATCAGAGCCTCCTCTGAAAGTCTCTCAGGCCATAATATTCCACCCCTCCTCCCTGGGAGAGCCGCAGCTGGAGGTCTGTAGCGGGGCAAGGCTGCACTAAGAGTGGGCTTCACCTCCACCCCTCCCGCCTCTCCTCCTCAGGAAGGCGGAACTGTTTCAGAGAAGGCCTGGCCAGAATGGAGCTCTTTCTCTACCTCACCACCATCATGCAGAACTTCCGCTTCAAATCGCGGCAGTCGCCTAAGGACATTGTTGTGTCCCCCAAACACGTGGGCTTTGTCACAATCCCACGAAACTACACCAAGTGCTACTTGCCTTGCTGAGGGAGGGCTGTGCTGGTGCCGGCGTGGTGGGCGGGATCAGAGGAAGGGCGGGGCCAGGAGCGGGCCTGCGGGAGGGGCGGGGCTAAGAATGGGGGCAGGACAGGGGGAAAGGAAGGGGCGAGGTGGTTAGGGGGAAGAGAAGAAACAGAAGGGGCTCAGTTCACCTTGACGATGTCCTTCAGAGCTGGGATGAGAGGAAGGGAAACCTTAAACTATGCTACAAAGAGTAGTAATAATAGCATCTCATTTCTTGAACAAGTACCTCCGTGTCAGCTCTGTTCAAAAACCGTTGCATGCTCACCTCACTTAATGCCCACAAACCTCTGCAAAGGGGAACAGCATTCATGCCCATTTTACACATGACAAAGCTGAGGCTCAGAAAGTTGTCTGTAGCTGAGGTGTCACAGAATATAAGTGCCCAGCAAATCTTTGAACACAACCCTCTGGGCAGATTCTTAAAAAGCACCCCTTCCTCAAGTCAAACAGCTTAGTATAGCATCACACAGCCTGAACAGCCCTGTCCTGGGGTTTTCTCCAGAGACCTGGCCGGCGGTTGTCCTGGCTTCACTGCACACTTGCCCACTCTCACCTACTCAAGCACACTTTGTGCACCAGGGTGTAGCCTGCACCCCCTACCAGGTAAGGCCACTGTCGTCCATTGAGAGTCAGTTCAGGGACACAATGAGACCGCTTAATGAAGAAATTGACAGAGAGAAACATTCTGAGAGAATGCTGGGAGAACTCTGGATCAGGACATACCATATGCATGTGTGTGATCATGTACAGTTGTGCATGTGAGCATATGACTGCATACTCTCCCCATGTATGCATGAAAAACATTCCACTATGGGTTTCTGAAGGTTGGGTTCTCTTGATGGATCTAGGGTCTGTTGTAAGACCCAGCTAAGAGTTTCACAATTACCTGCCCTCTCTCAAATAAGTTAGTGTGTGTCCCCCTTAGAAGCTCCCTTACAGCTTTCACGAAAATTAACTCCAAGTTTATTGTAGACCTAAATAAAAAATGAGTATAAAACTTCTAGAAGATAACATAGGAGAAAATCTAGATGACCTTGTGTTTGCTGGTGACTTCTTAGACACAACACCAAAAGCACAATCCATGAAAGAAACAATTGATAAATTCTACATCATTAAAATTACAAATTGCTCTGCAAAAGAATTGTCAAGAGAACGACAATACAAGCTACAGACGGAGAGAACATATTTACAGGGCACATACCTGATAAAGGACTTACATTCAAAATACACAAAGAACTGTTAAAACTCAACAATAGAAAGCAAACAACCCAATGAAAAGTGGGCAAAAGATCTGAACAGACACCTCACCAAAGAAAATATACACATAGCAAATAAGCATACGGAAAGATGCTCCACATCATATGTCACTAAAAATTTCAAATTAAAACAATAATGATATACCACTACCCACCTATTAGAATGGCTAAAATCCAAAACTGATCACCAAATGCTGGCAAGGAGGTGGTCCAACAGGAACTGTCATTCATTGATGGTGAGAATGCAAAATGGCGCAGCTAATTTGGAAGACAGATTTGCAGTTTCTTGCAAAGTTAAACAGATTCTTACCATGTGATACAGCCATCAGGCTCTTTGGTATTAACCCAAATGAGCTTTATATCCACACACAAAAACTTATATCCACACAAAATCTTACACAGAAATGTTTACAGCAGCTTTATTCATAATTGCAAGACTTGGAAGCAACCAAGATGTCCTTTAACAGGTGAATGAGGAAACAAACTGTGGTACATCCATACAATATTATTTAGCAATAAAAAGAAATGAGCTATCAATCTATGAAAAGACTGGGAGGAACCTTAAATGTATATGGCTCAGTAAAAGAAGCCAGCCTGAAAAGGCTTCATACTGTGTGATTCCAACTATATAATATTCTGGAAAAAGTGAGACTGTGAAGACAGTACAAAGATCAGTAGTTGCCAGGAGTTTAGGGAGGAGGGATGAATAAGTGGAGAATATGGGATTTTTTCTTTCTTTCTTTCTTTCTTTCTTTTTTTTTTTTTTGAGACGGAGTCTCGCTCTGTCATCCAGGCTGGAGTGCAGTTGAGGATCTCGGCTCACTGCAAGCTCCGCCTTGCCTCCCATTCTCTCCTGCCTCAGCCTCCTGAGTAGCTGGGTCTACAGGCGCCCACCACCACGCCTGGCTAATTTTTTGTATTTTTAGTAGAGACGGGGTTTCACTGTGTTAGCCAGGATGGTCTTGATCTCCTGACCTTGTGATCCGCCCCCCTCAGCCTCCCAAAGTGCTGGGATTACAGGTGTGAGCTGCTGTGCCCAGCCCATTTCTGTTGTTTTTTTAAGCCACTCAGTTTGTGGTACTTTGTTATATGTACCTAGGTTCCTAGGCAGCCCTAGGAAGCTAATAAATCCATCCCTGGATAAACTGATAAATAAAAGGTGATATATCCATACAATGCAATTTCGTTCAGCCACAAAGAGGAATGAAGCAGAACTTCATGCTACAACTAGCATGAACCTTTAAAAAAGTATTAGTGAAAGAACGCAGTCAGAAAAGACCACATAATATATGACTTAATTTATATGCAAGTCAGGAATAGAGAATCTAGGCCAGGCATGGTGGCTCATGCCTGTAATCCCAGCAGTTTGGGAGGCCAAGGCCGGACGATCATTTGAGGTCAGGAGTTCAAAACCAGCCTGGCCAACATGGTGAAACCCCATCTTTACTAAAAATACAAAAATTAGCCTGGCGTCGTGGTGGGTGCCTGTAATCCAAGCTACTCAGGAAGCTGAGGCAGGAGAATCTCTTGAACCTGGGAGGCAGAGGTTGCAGTGAGCAGAGATTGTGCCATTGCGCTCCAGCCTAGGCAACAGAGCGAGGCTCCATCTCAAAAAAAAAAAAAGTGAATCTACAAAGAAAAGTAGATTCGTGGTTGCTCAGGGCAGGGAATTGACTGTGGGGGAAAAGGGGTAAGACCTAGAAGGTATGAGGTTTCTTGTAGAGGTGATGAAAATGTTCTAAAATTGACCATGGTGATGGTTGCAGTATTGATTAATACACCCAAACCCACTTAATTGTACACTTTATGATCTGTAAGTTATATCAATAAAGGCTTTTTCAAAAAGAAAAGAAACAAATATAAAGAAAAAAACCTCACAGTAAAGAAAATGTCCTCTCTGACTTGTAGGTCTTGATTAGTTCTAGGAAGAAAATTGATTCACCTAGTTTCTGAGAAATGTTTACTCTAATTAAATGAATTACTTCCAGGGGATAGCAGGAGTACGGATTCCCTCTAACCTGCCTCATACTTCCTGGTGTTACCTAATCCACCTGGGCTTCCTCCATCACAGTCCTCCACATTCTACTCCGTGCTTCCTTCATCAGAGCTATGCTGGGCTATGCTGGGCCGTCACTGTAAAGGATGGAGCACTCTTCCCTGCTGGGCTGTGAGCCCTATGTGGTGAGTCACTGAGCTTTTCCTGGTCACCATTATGTCATTAGGTCCTTCCGTGGGCCCCTTGGAAGGACCCGATGTGTGTTGAATAACTACAATGTCTTAGATTCTCAGAATTTCTAGGAACTTTTTTTTTTTTAACAGAATCTCACTCTGTCGCCAGGCTGGAATGCAGTGGTTTGATCTCAGCTCACTGCCACCTCCACCTCCCGAGTTCAAGCGACTCTCCTGCCTCAGCCACACGAGTAGCTGGGACTACAGGCACGTGCCACCACATCCAGCTAATTTTAGTATTTTTAGTGGAGACGGGCTTTCACCATGTTGGCCAGATTGGTCTCAATCTCTTGACCTCGTGATCCGCCCACCTCGGCTTCCCAGAGTGCTGGGAATACAGGCGTGAGCCACCGCGCCAGCCTCTAGGAACTTTCTAATAGGCTCACGTCATAAATAGAAATGAAGGCTATTTTGAGGACCTATAGCTCTTCTGTGCTTTACCTAAAGAGAGATCAACAATTCTCTCTCCTGCTTATTCTTTTTTTTTTTTTCCTTAAGACACAGTCTTGCTCTATCACCAGACTGGAGTGCAGTGGCGTGATCTCAGCTCACTGCAACCTCTGCCTCACAGGTTCAAGCAATTCTGCTGCCTCGGCCTCCCTAGTAGCTGGGACTACAGGCACGTGCCACCATGCCCGGCTAATTTTTGTATTTTCTTGGTAGAGACAGGGTTTCATCATGTTAGCCAGGCTGGTCACGGACTCCTGACCTCAGGTGATCCACCCGCCTCAGCCTCCCAACGCCCTGGGATTACAGGCGTGAGCCATCGCGCCCGGCCTGCTTTATGTATTCTATTTGCAAGTAAGATCATTTTAAAAAACGTTTCACAGCTAAAAATGTTTGATGCCCATTGTACTGTGTACTTGCGAGGTGTGTTTGTAGCTCTGAGATGCTGCATTTATAGAAGGGGGTGCCAAGGCTTTAATGATGTGGGTTTGTATGTTGGTGTCTGTGGTGGGCATAGGGATGTGCTACTTGAATCTTCATTCATGGAGAACTTTCCAATCAGCTTCAATAAGGGCAGTGAGCTGAGAGTCTCCAGTTGCAGCACCATTAGGACCCACCTCAGTGTGGAGCGGAACCCATGCTTTTCCAAGGAAGCCCCAAATAGTAATTAAGGACTCTGGGATCCAGGGCATGACCCTATCTGTCCAACATAAACCATCCCCAACAGCATTTTTCTCTGGATTATGGGTCTGTTATCTCTGCCTGGTGGTCTTGGCCTGTCTCTGTCCAATCCTCCTTCCTTCCTTCTTTTCTTTCACAAGTGTTGGATCTGCATCCTGTTCTGAAGACTTTTCTGCTACCAGTGTCATCTGCTTCCTTCCTTTTTGGTCTTTCACATGCATTACCCTCCTCCCTCCAATAAAATGATGGACCCCTAACTCCGTCTAAATCTCAGCTTCCCGGAGGATCTAATTCCCATAATGTATATAATGGCATTTATTGTTTGTTTGTTTGTTTGTTTTGAGACAGTCTCACTCTGTTGCCCAGGCTGGAGTGCAGTGACACTATCACTGCAACCTCCACCTCCCAAGTTCAAGTGATTCTCATGCCTCAGCCTCCTGAGTAGCTGGGATTACAGGGATGCACCACCATGCCTGGCTAATTTTTTTTCTATTTTTAGTAGAGATGGGGTTTCACTGTGTTGGCCAGGCTGGTCTCGAACTCCTGGCCTCAAGTGATCTGCCCACCTTGGCCTCCCAAAGTCCTAGGATTACAGGCGTGAGCCACCATGCCTGGCCGCATTTATTGTTTATTATACACACAGTCTCAAAACTCTTTTCTGATTTTCTGAGTACCTCCTATTGTGTGGCTCTTGATCAGGGACAAGGCTTTGCCTCCCACTACAACAGCTGAAGGAGGTATTCATTCTTCCTCACCTCACCTTGAACCCTAAGGTTTTAACATGTGGCTAGATGTCTGGAACTCTTAATCATGAGGATGTGAGACAAAAACACAGACACAATCAGGAAATCATCTATAGTGGCATCAGTGGGTCTAGAGTCCCATGGCAGTACCCAGGGGGTGGGTCAGGTGTTCAGTACCCAGGAGATGGGTGGTGTGGCAGCAGGTCCTACCAGATAGCTTTGAACATTACCTTGGCTGTTGGTCCCCTACCACAGCCTCTTTTTCCTACTCATATTCTTACCCTATTTTTCCAGAATTGCTGTTAATTTTGTGAGCTAAACAATCACCTTCCAGTAGCTAACAGCCTTTCTATTTAAAATAACCAAAGTCACTTTATATTGCTTAAAAATAGGAACCCTGGCCGGGCGCAGTGGCTCAAGCCTGTAATCCCAGCACTTTGGGAGTCCGAGATGAGTGGATCACCTGAGGTCAGGAGATAGAGACCAGCCTGGCCAACATGGTGAAATCCAGTTTCTACTAAAAATACAAAAATCAGCCAGGCGTGGTTGTGCGTGCCTGTAATCCCAGCTACTTCAGGGAGCTGAAGCAGGAAAATCACTTGAACCTAGGAGGCAGAGGTTGCAGTGAGCTGAGATCATGCCACTACACTCCAGCCTGGGTGAGAGAGTGAGACTCTGTCTAAAAAAAAAAAAAAAAAAAAAAAGGAACCCTGACTGTCATGGGTCCCAAGGTTCCCTGGAGGTGACAGGTTGAAGAAGAGGTGATCAAAGATGAGATCCTATCCTTGGACTCCTGCCTGAACTCCCTCTTTCTCTCACACCCTATATACAATACCGTAGCAAACCCCACCATCTCAGAGAGTGAAACAGATTTCAAATCTACCATATTCTGCCCAGCTTCACTGCTGCTGCTGGGTCTGAGTCAACACCACCAGTTGCAGTAGCCTGCTAATAGGTCTTGGCTTTTGTATCCATCATATGATAGCTAGTGTGAGCCCTGTAAAATATGTCTGTACATGTCATCCTCTGCTCACCATCCCTCCAAATACCTCAATCACTCTCAGGGTAAAAGCCAAGACCTCACCTTGGCCCACAAGACCCCACACAGTCTGGTCCCCATCGCCTCCCTGGCCTCGTTTCCTTCACTCCTACTCTGTCTTCCTCCTCCATGCGAGCTACACCTGCTCCCTGTGGATTCCTGGATGCACACAGCCTCCTGCCTTAGGACTCTGCTGGTTTGTTTGTTGCTTTGTTTTTTGAGACAGAGTCTCACACTGTCACCTGGGCTGGAGTGTAATGACACAATCTCAGCTCACTGCAACCTCTGCTTCCCGGGTTCAAGCAATTCTCTGTCTCAGCCTCCCAAGTAGCTGGGATTCAGGCACCTGCCACCACGCCCAGCTAATTTTTGTATTTTTAGTAGAGACATACGTTTCACCATATTGGCCAGGGTGGTCTCAAACTCTTGACCTCAGGCGATCCGACCACCTCGGCCTCCCGAAGTGCCGGGATTACAGGCATGAGCCACCACGCCCGGCCACTGCTGTTGGTTAATCTTTCTGCCAGGAACACTCCCTTCCCAGATATCTTCATAGCTTGTTGCCCCATCACCTTGTGAAACCACCCCTAACCATCCATTTGCAATTCCAATCACAGAATGCATATCCCACTTACCAGCCTTGCTTTTCTAATGCAGTATGTCATTTGCATATTTGTTTCATGTATGCTTTATTGTCCACCTTCCTTACTAGAATGTTAGCTCCCTGAAGGCAGGAGTTTTTGTCTGTTTTGCTTACTGATGGATCCCAAGTCCCTGAAGACTACGCTGGCACTTGTTGGGTATTCAGTAAATATTGGCTGAATAAATGAAAAAGAGGGAACGTTTTTGTCAGTTAATGGAGTCTGGAAAGGGAATGATAGAAGCTGGGGATAACTGAGCTATCCTCAAAAATGGAGTGGGGAGGCCGAGCACGTTGGCTTATGCCTGTAATCCTAGCACTTTGGGAGGCCAAGGTGGGTGGATGGCTTGAGGTCAGGATTTCAAGACCAGCCTGGGCAACATGGCGAAAACCCATCTCTACTAAAATTACAAAAATTAGCCAGATGCAGTGGCACGTGCCTGTAATCTCAGCTACTCGGGAGGCTGAGGCATGAAAATCCCTTGAACCCAGGAGGCAGAGGTTGCAGTGAGCCTAGATGGTGCCACTGCACTCCAGCCTGGGCCACAGAGTGAGACTCCATCTCCAAACAAACAAACGGACTGGGGAGTATTTGGAATTGGGAGTTGTGCTGAGAGCAACTGGAAAGGAAGATTAGAAGAAGAGATGATGGCGGAGAAAGGTAATGAGTCAGCAAGATGGGTGAGGATGGGGCATTTTACCCAGGGGAAGTCACTGGAGAGCAGCTGGCAGAAACTATAACTCATAACAAGTCAAGAAAGACATTTCAAGCTGTTGGCTGTGCCCTACATCGCTGTCACACACCATACTCAATAAACTTGCTACGCTCAACAGACTTGAGGTCTTTGTTCACTTTTCGGGGGCTGGTGGGTAAAGATGAGAACCAAGGAGAAAGGATTTTAGACTACATTTTGGTCAAAATCAGAGCACACACAAAAAGGGACAACATGAAGACACAGGGACTGCAGTAATAATTTGATGCAGCCAGAAACCTAAGCAACGGTGACCATGTGACCATGAAACCTGCAGGCAGAGGTGCAAATCTTGCACAGGGCGTTGCTCTTCTACGGGAGAGGAAGACACGCAGCTGTACATTCTCAGGTGACCCTGGCTGACTCTGTAATCATAGTGCCTCCTCTTAGGGATGCTTGAGGATTAGTAAGATGAGGAAGAGGGGGTGCTCCTGAACACGAGAGGAGAGCTGCATTCTTCACCACTTCCTCCTTGCCCCGCAGGAGGTGTGGCTCAGCGGGCCACAAGGCAGAGCTCATAGGTCGGGGTGATGTTGCCAAAGCCTGAGAGCTTGGGGGTGATATCGATGTCCACAAGTGGCACCAGCGAGCATAGAGAGAAGTTCTGAAGGGTGGAGGTGAAGTAGAGAAAGAGTTCCATGCGGGCCATGGCCTCGCCCAAGCAGATGCGCTTTCCTGCAGGCACAGGGGAGGGCAGAAGGAAGGGTTGCACCTGCACAGGTCATGGGGGTGCCAGGGGTGTCTGGACTGACCACCCCACTGGGCCTCAGCTGCCTCATCCGCACATCAGGGCTCATGACTGTGACTGCTTTATAAAGGGGTGTTACACAGGCTTAGTGGGTATCTATAGTTAGTGCTCAGCTAGGACCTGCTACTTCTCTGATGGCTGGGATTCCATCCCGTTCCAAGACGGAATGGTTCTATAGGATCCATGAGTTTCAAGGTTGTGTTCATTTCAGTTCCTCAAGGGTTTGTCAAATGCCTATTAGGTGCCAGACACTGGTGAGGAAAAAAAGTGAAAACTCACCCGTAATAACACTTACTGTTTATAAGCCACTCTTCCAATTGTTTGGAGGGATTAATCTCTGTTTCACAGATGGGGGCTGAAGTGACTCACCCAAGACCCCACCATTTCTAAATGATGGAGTGGAGTCCAGATTCCCAACCACTGTCCTGACTCCAGGTTCCAAATGACATACACTTTTGGTTGTTGTTTTTTGTTTGTTTGAGACAGGGTCGTACTCTGTCACCCAGGCTGGAGTCCAGTGGCATGATCTCGGCTCACTGCAACCTACACCTCCCGGGTTCAAGTGATTTTTGTGCCTCAGCCTCCTGGGTAGCTGGGATTACAGGCGCCTGTCACCACGCCTGGCTAATTTTTGTATTTTTAGTAGAGACAGGGTTTCACCATGTTGGCCAGGCTGGTCTCGAACACCTGGCCTCAAGTGATCCACCTGCCTCGGCCTCCCAAAGTGCTGGGATTACAGGCATGAGCCACTGTGCCATGCCAACATACACTTAAAATGTTGCTGCATAAAGATTTTATGACATGAGTAGGCAAATGAGTGTCTGTTGGGCAAATTTGCCCTGCTGCTTGTGTTCATACAGCCTGCAAACTAGGATGCTTTTGGCATTTTAAAATGGTTGGGGAAAAAAGACTCTTTTGTGATATATGAAGATAAAACAAAATTCAAATTTCAGTGTCCGTAAACAGTTTTTCAGGCTCACACACATGCTCATTCATTTACATATTGTCTATGGCTGCTTTCATTGATCAATGGCAAAGGTTCAGAGACTATCTGGCTGGAAAAATAGAAAATATGTCTTATTTTGTTCTTAACAGCCAGCCAGTTGGTTTATGCCCTGTTTAGTGCTATTACCATCCCAACTTTTTTTTTCTAATTATCAGAGTCAAACATCCTAATATTTACTAATTCTGGGATTCTAAAACTTTATGGTTCTATGATATAACCTTCAAATTCACACTGTGACTTGAACTTCAAATACAGACCAGTGGCTTGGGGGTGGATTTAGCACATGCCTGGAGGAAGTCAGACCAGAGAAACCTACCAGAGGAAAAAGGCACAAAGGCTTCATTCTTCTTGAAGCGGCCCTGCTCATCCAGAAAGTGCTGGGGATAGAAGGCATCTGGGTAGCGGAAGTATTTGGGGTCTTTGAGGACAGAGCCAAGCAGGGGAAATACGTCTGTGCCCTGGGGTGAAAATGAGGGCAGTTAGGAGAAATCAGTGTTGGGCTACAGAGGTAGGGAACCAGGGAGAGAGAGGAGTGCAGTGGAAGGGAGGCAATGAGGGTGCAACCCCACCTTGGGCAGAAGGTAACCTCGAAACTGAGTGTCCTGGATGATGTTGTGGGGGACACCCATGGGCACGATGTCTACCAGTCTCTGTATTTCATGGATAACGACATCTGTGTAGGGCATCTTGACCCGGTCATCCACCCTTGGGAGCCGGTGTGGTCCAATCACCTGGTTAATCTCTTCGTGAATCTTAGCTGGAAGGGGCCAGAAAATATAGCGGACAAGGGCACAAAACAAAACAAAACAAAATAAAACAGGTGTTTTTGTTAGGGAAGCCAGGGCAAATCATGCATTCCAAGCTCCAGCAGAAAGAGATCTCAGATGCAAGCCATGCATGTTTGCTCCCTTCTTTTTTTTTTTTTTTTTGACAGCCTGTCACCCAGGCTGGAGTGCAATGGCACAATCTCGGCTGACTGCAACCTCCGCCTCCTGGGTTCAAGTGATTCTCTCTCCTCAGCCTCCAGAGTAACTGGGATTACAGGCACCTGCCACCGGCCCAGTTAATTTTTGTATTTTTAATAGAGACAGGGTTTCACCATGTTGGTCAAGCTGGTCTCAAACTCCTGACCTCGTGATCCACCCACCTCAACCTCCCAAAGTGCTGGGATTATAGGCGTGAGCCACCACACCAGGCCTGTTTGGTCGCTTCTTTAACTTAACAACTGACACACTGGTGATGCTCAATTACTCATCAGACATCGGGAGACAGGCAGCTTGGAGTCTTGAACGCTGCCAGGACATTTGGTCTTTACTTAAAAGAACCAAAAAGCCATGGTCCCAGCTTGGCTCTCATACATGGGTTTTTTAAAGAATGGGAAAGAGGCATGCTAGGTGACTAGGACAGGATTGACACAAATGACAAGCGGTTATGTGACTGATTAAGATCACCACTGCTGGAGTTACTCCTCTGCACTTTAGGGATGAGTGACTTCACCTTCTGAACTTGTTTCATCATCTTCAAAATGAGTGTGCTGTTTGGACAAGGTCATAGAGTTGTAAACATTACATAAAGTCTGGTATGCAAGGCAAGGAACTAGGACAGTGCTTGGCACATAGAAGCATCCAATAAATATTTGATTTTCTTTTCTTTTTTTTTTTTTTTTTTTTGAGACGGAGTCTTTCTCTGTACCCCAGGCTGGAGTGCAGTAGTGCAATCTTGGCTCACTGCAACCTTTGCCTCCTGGGATCAAACGATTCTCATGCCTCAGTCCCCCAAGTAGCTGGGATTACAGGTTTGCGCTACCATACCTGGCTAATTTTTGCATTTTTAGTAGAGAAAGGGTTTCACCATATTGGCCAGGCTGGTCTCGAAGTCCTGGCCTCAAGCGATTTGCCCATCTCTGCCTCCCAAAGTGTTGGGATTACAGGCGTGAGCCACTGCACCCGGCCTGATTATTTAGACCAGTGAAAGACAACTCAGACAATGGAGGTGACACTAGAAACATTTGAGTGGAAGTGTGTTAGCATCTCTCATCTGCACCAGGAGAAATCCTTTGGCTTGTTTTGAATTGCATTATTAAGGAGAGGGGCCAAAACTGGGAATTTTCCTTAAGCAAGTAGTGAGTTCCTCATTACTAAAGTTACCCAAATGGACCAGATCAGAAGTGATTGGAGACGGATTCTATTTAACTTTGGCAGGGCAGTTGGCTCGATAATGTCCATCAAAGATAACCACCTCCAAGTCTCTAAAACCTAATGCCTGGAAGGCTATGTATACAAGGGTAACAAAAACACAAGAGAGACTTTGAAAATGCCAGTAAATTAAGAATCTTGGGATGAAGAGATTAGCCTGGGTTGTCAAGATTGGCCTTCAATATAATATTGTGTGTCTGTATAAAAGAGAGGCGGGAGAATCGGAGTTTGAAAAAAAAGATGTGAGGCTAGGCGCAGTGGCTCATACCTGTAATTCCAGCATTTTGGGAGGCCAAGGAGGGTGGATTACCTGAGGTCAGGAGTTTGAGACCAGCCTAGCCAACATGGTGAAACCCTGTCTCTACTAAAAATACAAAATCAGCTGGGTGTGGTGGCACATGCCTGTAATCCCAGCTACTCAGGAGGCTGAGGCAGGAGAATCACTTGAACCCAGAAGGCAGAGGTTGCATGAGCTGACATCACGCCACTGCACCACAGCGTGGGCAAGAGAGGAAGACTCTCCAAAATAATGAAAAAGAATAAAAGATGTGATGCCAGAAGCAAACAGAGGCTTGAAGAAGCTACGCTGCTGGCTTTGAAGATGGAGGACAGAGTCGTGAACCCAGGATTACAAGGAGTACAGCTTTAACACCCCGAAAAGGCAGAGAATCAGATGGTCCGTTGGTGTCAGCTAGTGAAAGCCTATTTGAACTTCTGAAATTCAGAACAGAAGGATAATACATTTGTGTTGTTTTAGATGACTAAGTTCCTGGTAATTTGTTACAGCAGCCACAGGCCGCAGACACCAAGTAGAAGATTAAGTTAAATGACCTCCCAAAGTCGGGGATTTTGTGTTTCCACGTCCTGAAGTTCTAAAGGGTGAAGAGTCATGAGGATTCAGTATCATTATCCATATAAAATAATTAGCACAATGCCTGGCATACAGTAAGCACTCAAGAAAAGCTAGTTGAGCTTAATCATTATTTTTTATTATTATTACTTAAATGTGTTGATGTTAGAGACTCATATTTGGAGAAAAGTGGGATAAGGGACACATTATAAAAGTTCCTGAATTCTGTCTAGTTCTACCGATAATTCCATTTAGGCAATTTAAAAAATCCTTCCGGGCTGGGCGCGGTGGCTCACGCCTGTAATCCCAGCACTTTGGGAGGCTGAGGCAGGCAGATCATGAGGTCAGGAGTTGGAGACCAGCCTGGCCAACATGGCGAAACCCCGTCTCTACTAAAAATACAACAATTAGCCGGGCATGGTGGCAGGTGCCTGTAATACCAGCTACTCAGGAGGCTGAGGCAGGAGAATCGCTTGAAACTGGGAGGTGGAGGTTGCAGTGAGCTGAGATCATGCCATTGCACTCCAGCCTGGGTGACAAGAGCAAGACTCTGTCTCAAAACAAAACAAAACAAAATCCTTCCCTTGCCCTCACCTACACCTTCCGTAAAACAAGATCAGTAGATCTGGGAACAATTTCTCTAGAATAATGCACATATTCACAAATACACAATTTTATGAATAATTTCTGGGGTACATGGGCATTTGAAGCTTTTATATAGACCTGTTAATCACCCATAGAGACCAGGCAAGGAGCCTCAGGTGTAGAGAAAATGTGTCTCTATTTCTACCTCTTATCTAATTTTCTCTGTTTGTTTGTTTGTTTGTTTGTTTGTTTGTTTTCAGCCTGTCTTTTCTCTATAGACCCCAGTGTTTCTAGACCTTATTTTTTGGTGGAACTGAACTCCTTTAAAAACACAATGAAATGAGTATAGAGTTTCACATTTGCAAGATAAAAAAGTTCAAAAGATTTTTTTCACAACATGAATATACTTAACACTACTGAACTGGACACTTAAAATGGTGAATATGGTAAATTTTATGTTATGTATTTTTTTTACCACAATACAGATATACAAATGGAATGAAATTTGAGACTCTCTTCAAGAAGAGTCACAAAGTCATATGTCACCAAAATCTGTGTAGGATATCGAGAGCTCACAGACCCACCCTGAGATCCACTGATGAAAGTTTCTAGATAAGTGGTCTCTAAGGGTCTTCCATGTTAATTGTTTTGTTGTTGTTGTTTTAAGAGATAGAGTCTCACTGTGTCTCCCATACTGAAGTGCAGTGGCATGATCATAGCTCACTGCAGCCTTGAACTCCTGGGCTCAAGCAACTTCCAGCCTCAGCCCCACAGGCGGCTGACACTACAGGCATGTGCCACCATGCCCAGCTCATGTAAACTCTTTTTTTTTTTTTTTTGAGACGGAGTCTCGCTCTGTCGCCCAGGCTGGAGTGCAGTGGTGCAATCTCCGCTCACTGCAAGCTTCACCTCCCAGGTTCACACCATTCTCCTGCCTCAGCCTCCCGAGTAGCTGGGACTACAGGTGCCCGCCACCACACCCAGCTAATTTTTTTGTATTTTTAGTAGAGACAGGGTTTCACCATGTTAGCCAGGATGGTCTTGATCTCCTGACCTCATGATCCGCCCGCCTTGGCCTCCCAAAGTGCTGAGATTACAGGCATGATCATGTAAACTCTTAATATGGAAGCTGCCAGAAATCTCAGTGGATTCTTAATATTTTCCCTCTTCTTCCATTCCAGAGCTTTCTCCCGCCAAGGCCCATCTTCTCGTGACTGAGAGCTCCATAACCACCCAGTCACCTAGTGGCCCTCCCCCTTGTGGCCCTCATACCTTGGTCTTCTGGAACTCCTCCAGTAGGTAGCTGGCCTCCTCCTGAATTCGCTCCTTAATGCTCTGCTTTCCCATCCCGAAGTCCCGAAGGATGGTCAGGGAGAAGCGTCGGAGAATCCTCCATCGTTCTCCATTGGCCAGAGCTACACCTGCCAAGATCTCAGTCTCAGGCTTCTGCCTCCCTCCCCTTGCTGTGTTCAACTCTGTGCTTAGGCAGTGATGGGGAAAGATTATGAAAGCTCTAGACTCTGCTGTCCAGGAAGCCATCCTCAACCTTCAAGACTCAATCAAGAGAGTAAGGTTCCCTCTCTGCAGGATCCTCGGGAAAGAAAAAAAAAAAGTCCAGACTCAGGTGGAGGAAAAGGGAATCAGTGCAGGAATGATAGGGGGAGATCAAAGAGTGTTTCTTACAGGAAGCAGAGGTGGAACTGGATAAATAAAAAAATAACTGAGTGAATAACAGTTGGAGAGTGGATAGAGAGATTGATAGATGTATGAATGATGAAAGCATTAATGAATGGAAGGAATGATGACTAGATGAATAAATAGAAAGTTAATTGACAGAAGTATAGATAATAGAGTGAAAGATATTTTTATAGAAAGAATAATGAATGGATTTTCTGATGAATATAGATCAATGGACAGAAGAAAAAAGGTAATAGAAAGATAGATGGATAGATAGATAGATAGATAGATAGATAGATAGATAGATAGATAGATTGATAGGCAGAATGTGGTGAGCCTCCTTGGAATTGAAGGATGTGGGCAGTTAGAGATGGATGCATGAGAGAAAGAGATCTACCTAAGTGAAGGAGGCAGAGACCTATGGGTTAGGTATGTGTATAAGTATAGGAAGATGAGAAATAAGGTTAGCTATAAGGGGTATGAGGGTTGGCTATGGGTGCATAAAGAATATCACTAATCCCCCGGGCTCAGTGGCTCACACCTGTAATTCCAGCACTATGGGAGGCTGAGGCAGGTGGATCACCTGAGGTTGGGAGTTCGAAACCAGCTTGACCAACATAGAGAAACCCCATCTCTACTTAAAATACAAAATTAGCCGGGCGTGGTGGCGCATGCCTGTAATCCCAGCTGCTCAGGAGGCTGAGGCAGGAGAATGGCTTAAACCCAGGAGGCAGAGGTTGTGGTGAGCCAAGATCATGCCATTGCACTCCAGCCTGGGTAACAAGAGTGAAACTGTCTCAAAAAAAAAAAAAAAAAAAAATATATATATATATATATATATATATCTCACTAATCCATTAAAAATAGGAGCAGAAATAACACAGAAAACAGTTTGGAGTCAGATGGCATAGGCTCAAAATAAAATTATCCTACCACTTACTGTGTGACATTATCTAACCTTTATCTTAGCTTTTTCTTTTTTTTTTTGAGACAGAGTTTCACTCTTGTTGCCCAAGCTGGAGTACAATGGTGCAATCTCAGCTCACTATAACCTCCGCCTCCAGGGTTCAAGTGATTCTCCTGCCTCAGCCTCCTGAGCAGCTAGGATTACAGGTGCCCACCACTATGCCCAGCTAATTTTTTTTTAAATTTTTAGTAGAAACGGGGTTTCACCACGTTGGCCAGGCTGGTATCAAACTCCTGACTTCAGGTGATCTGCCCGCCTCAACCTCCCAAAGTGCTGGGATTACAGGCATGAGCCACCATGCCTGGCCTATCTTAGCTTTTTCATTGACAACATTAGTATAATGTTAACAGCTCTCCTAAGGGAGTCAATACAGTAAGTCATGTGGACTACTTACCAAAGAACCTGGCATATAGGGAGTGCATTGCAGTCATTTCCGGTTTTATTGTTTTTGTTGTTGTTGCTACCTACCATGACCTTGGAAGTTTTGCTTTATTGAAGCCAGTTCTCCACGGCCACTGAACTCATCCGCTTGGTCTATCAAGGCTTCCTTCACTGCTTCGTGTCCACATAAAACCACCACTGGCCGGGACCCATGTACACAGTGAACACAGGGCTGTATTTCTCCCTGAGCTTGGAGTGAAGGAAAACACAAGAGGAGGGGCTGACTGGAGTACCAAGCATAGGCCAGTTGAGGATTTTAGAGGATGGCGATTTTAGAGGGATATAAACATGGTACTAAGGAACCAAGGTAAATCTGGGCTTGGAAGGAATACTGGGAAAGAGGCACGGAAGTCTTGGCTTCTGTCATTCTCGGCAAAAGCTCATCCCTTCCCACAAGAGTTACTGTCTGCATCTCCAAAATAAGGGACCTGGATTCGATAAATTCCAAGATTCATACTTCTCTCTCTGAAATGTTAAATTTCTAGAATCTTAAGACTTCATGATACCAAGTCTCAAAGTGCTAAGACAAGCTGAGTCAAAGAATCCTGTGTTTAAAAATATAATGTACTGTGATTCCAAAGTCCTGAGATCATGAAAATCTTATTTCAATGCACTGAGAATGTGTGTTTCCAACATTTTAGGATTCTGGAATTTCAGAATTCTAAGATTTGCAAAGTCTGTGTTTCTGAGAGTCTATCTTTTAGAAGTCATAAGTTTCTATGTGAATCTGGCTATAGGATTAGTTGCTTTTAGCCCTATTAAAGGAGACAGACAGACTCACCTTCATGAAAGACTGAAACGTAGCATCAGTTCGAACTTGCAGCAGGTGCCCCAGGAAAAGAATTGGTGTAGGACCTGGGGGCAGCTTTCCTGCCTTATCCATTCGTTTCCAGGCAATGAGGATGAGCAGGCAAGACAAGCGGAGTGCCAGAAAGATGGTGACAGCCCCTCCCAGCTCCATGGTGCCAGGTCAACAGGTTCTGTCCTGGGCACCAGATCCTGCCTAAGTAGGTCCTGGGAGATCAGCTTATACCAAAATCTGAACACCCTGGGATTCAAGTTTTCCGGGTTTGAGTGTCATCGGGGAAGAGATTGCTTTATATTGGGGGTGGTTATATAACCTATAATCTCCCACCTGAATAAAGGTAAATTGAATTCACACAGGGAAATCCTCTGGGGCCATTCCCCTTTCTTCATATTTCCAGTCTCCCTGTTCTTCCCTCTCAGCTCAACAGAATTGAACAGAATTTCTTGGTGGGGTGTAAGAGGCAAATTATTATCTTTTTAGGCTATTGATTTTAGGATCCAGACAATCTGGGTACAAGTGGCAGCTCTGTCTTTTCTTCACTGGGAAAGTCACTTAACCTCTGGGACTTGTTTCCCCATCTATCAAACAGGGAAACCATGTTGTTTTATTTTTTTTTATTGTTTTATTTTTTGAGACAGATTCTCACTCTGTCACCCAGGCTGGAGTGTAGTGGTATAATCTCATTTCAACTTCTGCCTCCAGGGTTCAAGCGATTCTCATGCCTCAGCCTCCCAAGTAGCTAGAACTACAGGCGCACACCACCATGTCCAGCTAATTTTTGTATTTTTGTAGAGATGTGGTTTCACCATGTTGGCCATGCTGGCCTCGAACTCCTGGCCTCAAGTGATCCACCACCCGCCCCCCCGTTAGCCTCCCAAAGTGCTGGAATTACAGGCGTGAGCCACCACAGCTGGCAGACCATGTTGTTTTAGAAAGTCTTGATAGACAACAAGGAAAACTCTTTGTTCGTTACTTAATTAAGTATAACCCTAATTAAACAGTTATTAAATTTTTTTAATTGACATAATAATTGTACATATTTGTGGGGTACAGTGTGATGTTTTTATACATGTATGCGATGTATAACAATCAAATTCGGGTAATTATTATATCCATTACTGAGACATTTATCATTTCTTTGTGGTAAGAACATTCAAAATCCTCTCTTCTAACTATTTTGAAATATGCAATGTATTATCGTTAACTACAGCTACCCTACTGTGTAATGGAACACTAGAATGTTAATAAGGAAAGTAAGCTGAAGATTTAGAAAACAAGAGAAATAAATCAATTGAACAGGTTTTGTTCAAAAAGTTCTTGTTTTCTACTCAAGATGTTAAATAACAATAATCAAAGATTACTTGTGTTGGTGTATCAGAACTTTGCTGTATCAAATTTAAAAAAGAAAAAAAGAACTTTGCTGTATTGTGTGTTGGTGTGTGTGCGTGTGTGTGTTTTAAAACTCTAAGGTGTAGGGATCACCTCTGAACCCCAGTCTCTGGAGGAGAACATCTCCTCCAGCGCAATTAGTGATTGTGTTCCTTAATAATCTAAAAAGTGATTCACTACCTTTTCCGCACCAAATATTTTCAAAGCCTTATTGGCCTGAAATGAACTTCCTGGATATTATATCCTACCCACATATACTATTTATCAAAATTCAATGTCCTTTTCACACGACTGTATTCTCAGACTTGGAAACTGAATCCCTCAAGGTATCTGTAAGTTTTGGGAATGGGGTTTGGCTGGCTGAGCTGAGGCATCCTGTGTCCAGAAGCAGTGGAAATTCTACGAAAACTGAGTGACTCACACACAGTGCCACGTTCTGTCTCTTGGATCTGCTGCTAGAATGTCTTTCTTGGAGTAGAGACTCAGCTCAGCCCATCTCCTTTGACTCTCTTAGATTTCACCTCCCCATCCCATTCTGATCCTCACACCCCAGCATTTAACACCCATTCAGGGTGGTGGCATGTGTGTGGTGATGGTGAGTCTGGTTTTCCTACTCAGACGGGAAGGGAGAGAGCAAATACTCTTAGAACAGCTCCCTTCACCATTCCACCTCCAGATAGGAAGCCAGGAGTGGAGGAACTTGAACTAAAAAGTAGAAGCAAGCTAAAGAGGAAAAATAATTGCAGAGGACTTGAGGCAGAGAAATTCAGAGCATGGCAGATTATGCCAGGTATTATGTGATGGAGACAGAAATCAAGATTGAGACAAAATCGAGGTGCATAGAAACAGAACCAGAGTGAGATCAAAATAGAGATGAGGACAGGCACAGTGACTCACACCTGTAATCCCAGCACTTTGGGAGGCCAAAGCAGGTGGATCACCTGAGGTCAAGAGTTCGAGATCAGCCTGGCCAACATGGTGAAACCCTGTCTCTACTAAAAATACATGCACACACACACACACACACACACACACACACACACAATTAGCCAGTCATGGTGGCGGGCGCCTGTAATCCCAGCTACTCAGGAGGCTGAGGCAGGAGAACTGCTTGAACCCGGGAGGTGGAGGTTGCAGTGAGCCAAGATCGCACCACTGCACTCCAGCCTGGGCAACAAGAGCGAGACTGTCTCAAAAACAAAACAAAGCAAACAAAACAAAATTGAGATGAGAGAGAGAGAGATTCAGTGAGTCAAAGATAAATGTCAAGGAGGACACAGAGACAAAAGACAATTCAAAGAAACAGAGAGAGGGAGATAGAAGCAGAAAGAATAAAAGACAGGAAAAAAGTTTCAGTGAGACAGAGACTGAGAAAGTGACATACGGCTGAGAAGAGAATCAAGAGGAACCCAAAGAGTGGACGCACCCATGGCTCACAGAGAAATCCAACTAGACAAAAAGTTGGAGGTGGAGATGAACAAAGAGAAAGGCAACGAAACAAAGAGATACAGGGACAAGAGAGAAACCCAGGTCTAAGTGGGATAGAGAGAAGGAGATTTGTGCTCCAGAGGGTGTGTGCATGAAATGGAACCTGGGTCATTTTTTGCCTAGTCACATGGCCCTCCTTCTGGGACTAAGAAATGTGATGCTGCCAGAATATTTTTTTTTTTTGAGATGGAGTCTTGCTCTGTTGCCCAGGCTAGAGTGCACTGGTGTGATCTTGGCTCACTGCAACCTCCACCCCCGCCCCCGGGTTCATACTTTGTTTTGTTTTTATTTTTAATGTTTTTGATTTAAAATGGTTTTTTTTTTTTTTTCCTGAGACGGAGTCTCGCTCTGTCGCCTAGGCTGGAATGCAGTGGCACGATCTCTGCTCACTGCAACCTCTGCCTCCCAGGTTCGAGTGGTTCTCCTGCCACAGCCTCCCCAGTAGCTGGGACTACAGGTGCACGCCCGGCTAATTTTTGTATTTTTAGTAGAGACAGGGTTTCACCGTGTTGGCCAGGATGGTCTCGATCTCCTGACCTTATGATCCACCCACCTCAGCCTCCCAAAGTGCTGGGATTACAGGCATGAACCACCGTTCCCGCCCGGCCTTAAAATCTGTTTCAACTGGTATAAGTTATAGCTACTACTGCTTGCTGTTGGTTTTTGTCTACATGGAATATCTTTTTCCATCTATGTACTTTCAGTCTATATGCATCTTTACAGGTAAAATGAGTTTCTTATAGGCAGCATATAGTTGCATCATGTTTGTTTGTTTTTGTTTGTCTTGTTTTTGAGACAGAGTCCCTACTAAAAATACAAAAAATTAGCCGGGCGTAGTGGTGGGCGCCTGTAGTCCCAGCTACTTCAGAGGCTGAGGCAGGAGAATGGCATGAACCCGGGAGGTGGAGCTTGCAGTGAGCCAAGATTGTAGCACTCCACTCCAGCTTGGGCAACAGAGCAAGACTCCATCTCAAAAAAAAAAAAAAAAAAAGATTGCACCATTGCATTCCAGCCTGGGCAACAGAGCAAGACTCCACCTCAAAAGAAAAAAAAAAAAAAAGCTGTTCATCCCTATCATCTATCCAACTTCTTTCCCATCTCTGAACTCTAAGTCCTGCCATTTTACTGGTAGGGAGGAACTTCATGGCCATGGATGTGAGCTATCCAAACACTCAGAAAAAAAGAATCTTGACTGTCTTCTCTTCTTTGACCTTCTTCACTCTATTTTCAGCCAACATTCCCACAGCCCCACCCCCCAAATCCTTGTCATCAATCTGAAATGTGAAACACAGACATTTCACTCTCTGGCCACAACAACTAGTACCCCAACTCCCCCACTGCTTCATTGCCAATGGCATGAGGGGTATACTGGCCAACTAGGTCTTTGGTTAAGCTTCCAAAAAGTGCAAACACTACAGAAGGTCAAGTCTCCCTCCTATTAAAAGACTTTTTTTTCTAACATTTTGAAATCCTTTGTTACATGTTTACATGGAAGTATTTGAAGAAACACAAGAGAGTACAAGCAGTTTTTCTAATGTTTCATAAAGAAAAACAGGTGGGGCCTAGCAGTCCAAAGTGGTGATTAACAGCATGAAACTTACATTCACAGCCAGGCATGGTAGCTCATGCCTGTAATCCCAGCACTTTGGGAGGCCGAAGTGGGCAGATCACCTGAGGTCAGGAGTTTGAAACCAGCCTGACAAACATGGTGAACCCCGTGTCTACTAAAAATACAAAAATGAGCTGCGTCTGGTGGCTATAATCCCAGCTACTCGGGAGGCTGAGGCTGGAGAATCACTTGAACCCAGGAGGCAGAGGTTGCAGTGAGCCAAGATCGCACCATTGCACTCGAGCCTGGGCAACAAGAGCAAAAGAGCGAAACTCCATCTCAAAAAAAAAAAAATTTACCATCACACAAGACCATACTAAGACTCTACACTCATTAGCTGTGAAATGCAGAAGCAAGTCACTTATGACCGGCTTTGGGGGAACTTATCTAACTCATTTGCAAAATGGAGATGATAAAGCTAACCTCAGTCTTGCAATCAGGAGTTCAATTAAGATTATGCTCATAAAAAGCTTCCTGCAGTTCTGGGGGTTTTTTCAAGCAGATAAATGGAGCTGGGATAGGACTGTTTTAATCCAAACACAGATGAGCACAGGAAAATATCACATGTTCACGTGTATGCAACATGGCCCACAAGTCTGCACACACACACCAGAATGAACACATGAAAACATCCACATACTGGCCGGGCACGGTGGCTCACACCTGTAATCCCAGCACCTTGGGAGTCCCAGGCGGGCGGATCACGAGGTCAGGAGATCGAGACCATCCTGGCTAACATGGTGAAACCCCATCTCTACTAAAAATACAAAAAATTAGCCAGGCATGGTGGCAGGCGCCTGTAGCCCCAGCCACTCAGCAGGCTGAGGCAGGAGAATGGTGTAAATCTGGGAGGCAGAGGTTCCAGCCGAGACCATGCCACTGCCCCCCAGCGTGGGGACAGAGCAAGACTCTGTCTCAAAAAAAAAAAAAAACAAAGAAAAAAACATCCACATACTTATATGTAGTCACCCAATTGTGAATGTATACACACAAATATGAATATGCAGCATTCATCTTGTTCTACACAGAAATACACATCGTAGACACCCCTAAATCATGTGTGCACACATGCTGTATGCAGAGACAGACACAGATTGGCAAGCATTGAGAAACAGTGCCACACCCTGTCAGGCACACACACACATGTGCATGTGCAGACATAAGTTGGAATGGATACCCATTATCAAGCACAAACATACACACCACAAAGCCTGGTGCACACATAAATTCATGTATCAACATGAACGTGCTGAAACATACATGCACGTAGACACTAAAAGCATGCACCCAGAATGACACACACACAGTTGTATAAATGAGGATAAACATGGCAGAGGCATCCAGGAGAACCCACTGGACAAAATGGCACAAAACAAAGATGCACGAGCACACAGGGTGATTGAGGGGAACACTGACTTGCAGGGAAGGAGAAAGAGAAAGATAGAAAGATGGGATCCAAGACAAGCATAGACAGACAGGTGGGCAAAGTCCTGTGCAGGGCTCCAGGGCCAACCAGAATAACCTGAGAGTCTAATGCTGGCCTGTCCTTCCGCAGATACTGCCTAACTCAGCACCACACTCCAGGAGGCCATGAAGGATTAATTTCCTATTCACAGCTCCATGGGGTAAAGCTTGGCTGTGCTGAGGAAGGGATGGCGAAGGAGGTTCCCAAAGACTCTGTCCCTTTCCTCCTTCCCAAAGGAAAAGATTTGTGAGCTTTAGACTAGAGAATGTAAAAGCAAGGAATGTGCTTAGGGAACATCTCATCAATCTGCTTCATCCTACAGATTAAAGAGAACAACTACCATTCATTGAGCACTTACTGCCATGTACCTCATCTGCATTAACACATATACTTCTCCCCTAAATAGCCAAAGAGGTAGGAGCTGTTCTTGGCTCCATAAGACTCAGAGAGATGAAGTCAGCTGTTCAAAGCCACACAACAAAGAAAGGATAAGGTTAGGATTCCAATCCAGGCCTTAATCATTGCACCATCCATTCAGAAAGGGAAACTGAGGCCCAGCAAAGGAAAGGGATCTTCCTGGGCTCGCCACTAACTCACTCTGAAAGCCTGTTCCCAAGACACTGCCCACTGGGACAAGTCCCTCCCACATGATTTCAGACACCATTCTCTCACTCCATGCTCTAGGGTAATCAACAAGTCCAAAATTCATTGACCTCTATGTCCACAAATACTAGAGTTCTCCCAACCTGTCTCTCCCCATCCCCTCCCTGGCCAGGTCATGGCAACCTGCTGATCACTCAGTGCACTTCTTAGTGCCAACCCCACTGAGAAACAAACTCCTCAGATTTCTGTCTCCCACCTTTTTAAGAAACAAGAAGGAAAAGGAGGAGCCAGGCCCAGGTGCAGGCTGGTGAACAGGATTAGAGGGATTGATATCTGCCAAGCTGGTGCTAATCTTCCTTTCCACCTCTTCCCCTCCAAAATCAACAAACAACTTTCCTCTCTCTGCCTTGTTCTCTGACCTTTGTTCCCTCCACACAGGTCTCAGAGCTCAGCATCCTAGAACAGTTTGAGCAAGATGTCAGTCCTGGGGGTGCCAACCTCACCCACCTCCACTTGTCCAAAGTTGGTGACCCAGAGGACAGGTGCAACCCTAAATGGTCCAACCACCAGAGCCTGTCCTGTGGCCATCTGGGGCCCCTCTCAGGGTCTGGCTGAGGCTCATCTCAGACCCACATAGGACCAATATCAGCACCTGCCTCATGCTCATGTCAGAGCCCACTGGGACCAACCTCAGACCCTATATGGTGCCACCCTTATGCCCTCCTGAAGCAGGACACTCTTATGCCCTCAATGACACCTGAGACAACACACAGAGCCCTCTTGGCACCAAACATGACTTCAATATTCTCCTGGTGTCAAGTTCAGTGCCAACTTGTTTCCCATCCTCGCATACACCTGGGGGCAGTCCCAAAGCCAACACGATGCCTTTCCCTCCCTGGCCATACCTGATGCTGATATCAGAACCCGCCAATGTCATCAGTGTGTCCACTGCTGATGCCAGTCTCAGCACTCACCTCCTGCTAAGGCTGGCCCGCACTTGACTCCCAGGGTGATCTAGGCCAGTCAATGAAGGGGGGCGAGGAGAAAGTTCACATCCCAGCTCCCTCACTTACTCCCTGTGTGACCTCACTCAAGAGGGTTTATGGAGTCTAGATCTGCTCATCTTCAAAATGAGGATGATCACGATGAACCAACCTCACTGTTACAAAGATTCAACCAGATCATACACACCTAGACTTAATCTTCCCATATATGACCATGCTCACCAAAGGGTAACTGTCCTGTTTACTAAGGAAGAATTTCCCTGAAGGAAGGACAGGAGGGCTACTCATCCCTTCTCCACTCACACCCACCCCAGGATCTGCCTCTGTGCCTAACACTGGAGTTTACCCCAATCTCTTCTGCGACTGTTCCCTCTGCCTGCTAATAGTAGTAGCCCCTGACAAAGCAGGAATCGCCCTTAAAGGAGACTTAACTCACCCTCAAATGTGATCTTCTCTTCCCAAACACTCCCTTTCCACTGGCAGGAAAACCAAATCCAGAAAGGGGAACTAAGTACACAGAGCAGGAGAGATGGGAGTTCAGGGCCACTCACACATGTCCCCTGCCCACTGTCTGTTTTCTGTCCTCTGTAGATCTTTATATAAAATGAGAAACATAAACAACAATCATAATATTAATAGGGATGATACAATCAATCTAGTGGGTTTCCCTGAGGATCTGGGTTGGAAACCAGCGGACAACCCTTGGGACACTTGAGATTTTTCCACCATTTGGGGGTTGTTATTACTATTTCTCCAGACCTAGCCAATCCCTCTGCCAACCGCTAACTCCAGGTACTCTTCTCCAGGTGTGGGGAAAGTTCCCCTGAAATATGGCCCTGGTCTTCCACCCCTTTCCCAACCAGAGATGGGCAGTGGAGGTTCCATGGCACCCATCCTGGCCTCACTCTGAGGTTCCAATGAGGATTCTGGGCATCAAGAGATAGCTCTGGGCAAAAGCAAAATCAAGTCAGCCCCTGGGCCCATTGCTGGGCTGCTGGGCTTTCTGGGAGCACCTGCTGGCTTGCTACACACTCCTCCTCCCAGAAACTCCACACCCACAGCCCTGGGTCTTCCTAGCCCCGAGACTTTCAAGTCCATATGCCTGGAGTCCCCCCTCCTGAGACCCTTAACCCTGCATCCTCCGCAACAGAAGACCTCCAGATGCACAGCCACACTTCCATCTCACCCTAATAAAACCCAGACCTTTGGATTCCTCTCCCTTGGAATGCCCAAATCCACAACTTTGGGGTGCATTCTCACTCTCAGACCCCAAATCCAAAGCCCAAGTGCTCCCCTATGCAAATATTCCAAACTCTTCAGTTCTACAGTTTATCGGTTGCCCCCTCCTAAATCCACAGCCCTGCGGCACCCCTCCTGAAGTACCACAGATTTAGTCTGGAGGCCCCCTCTCTGTTCAGCTGCCCTGGGGTCCCCTTATCCTCCCTTGCTGGCTGTGTCCCAAGCTAGGTGGCATTCATGGTGGGGCGTGTAGTTGGGAGGTGAAATAAGGTGATTATGTAATTAGCCAAAGTCCATCCCTCTTTTTCAGGCAGTATAAAGGCAAACCACCCCACCCATCACCATCTGTCATCTCACTACCACCATGCTGGCCTCAGGGCTGCTTCTGGTGGCCTTGCTGGCCTGCCTGACTGTGATGGTCTTGATGTCTGTCTGGCAGCAGAGGAAGAGCAGGGGGAAGCTGCCTCCGGGACCCACCCCACTGCCCTTCATTGGAAACTACCTCCAGCTGAACACAGAGCACATATGTGACTCCATCATGAAGGTGTCCCAAGGCAGGAAGATGGGTGGCACAGGGTGGGGGCTGCCTAGTTGGCTGGGGCTTTGTGGCAGGGGATTGACCAGTGTGGACCAGAGTCTTAGGAAAGGGAGTTTTGGAGTTTCAGCATCCGGGTCCTAGCCAGGAAAGACAGGATCTTGGGATGTCCAGCTCCCTGACTGTGAGAACCTGGGGGTGAAGGATCCCAGTACTTGACATCTCGGTGCTGGGCCCCATTCAGAGTGGGGGCTGCTCCCTCTAACCACTCCCACTCGCCTCCATCAGTTCAGTGAGTGCTATGGCCCCGTGTTCACCATTCACTTGGGGCCCCGGCGGGTCGTGGTGCTGTGTGGACATGATGCCGTCAGGGAGGCTCTGGTGGACCAGGCTGAGGAGTTCAGCGGGCGAGGCGAGCAAGCCACCTTCGACTGGGTCTTCAAAGGCTATGGTGAGGGGGTGCCCAAGATGGGGAAGGTGGCCAGGCGGACACGATGGTCTCAGTGTTGCCAGCCTTCTCCCTGACTCTCCTGCCCACTGGAGGCTATGGCAGAACCCCCGGTCTGGTCTTATCTCCCCATCTCCCTTCACTGTGGCCTCTCCATGTGTATCCCTCACCTGTCTCCAGCGTCCCTGTCGTGATTCCTCCCTGCCTCTCTCTGCCCCACCTCCTTATTCTCTCTCACTGGAGTCTCCTCTTTCCCCTCTCTCTCCATCTCTGAGGACATCCTGGGTTTCTGTTTTCCAGCCCTGGTCCTCTGTCTTCATTTGTCTTTTTGTTGCTCTCAGCTTCTGTGCTTCTCCATGTTTCTCCTCTCTCCACTTCCCTCTCTCACTTTTTCCTCTCCCTTAGGATTTCATGCTATTCTTACTTCCACATCTCCAGCCTCCATCTCCTGGTAACAGTCTCTCTTCCTTCCAGACCCTCTCTGTTTCTGTCTCAGTATTTTTCTCTCTTCTCCAGCTCAGCTTAAGAATGTTTCACCATTTTTATTTCCTCCTCCCAGATCTCCCCATATCTCACTTCCCCTCCCTCCATCCTCTTCCTCCATCTCTCTCTTTCTCTCCCCACTTCCTACCCTTCCTCCATGGAGTATCCCCTTATCCCTCTGTTTCTCTGCGCATCTCTATCTGGCCTTTCTGTTTCTCTTCTGATTCTCTTATTCTTTCTACCCGGTCTCTCTCTCTCTCTCTCTCTCTCTCTCTCTCTCTCTCTCTCTCTCTCTCTCTCTCTCTCTCTCCCTCGTGTTTCTCTGACTGAGTTTGCACCTGTCCTGGGCACTGGCACTGAATCCATCTCTCTCCCACCCCACTACCCCTCTGCTCCACCCTTGGGGAGCCCCTTGGAACTGGTCCGCTCCTGCCACCGCCGCCCCCTGACCTCTCTCCACCCCCGCCTTGACCTCCCCAGGCGTGGCGTTCAGCAACGGGGAGCGCGCCAAGCAGCTCCTGCGCTTTGCCATCGCCACCCTGAGGGACTTCGGGGTGGGCAAGCGAGGCATCGAGGAGCGCATCCAGGAGGAGTCGGGCTTCCTCATCGAGGCCATCCGGAGCACGCACGGTGAGTAAGGTTCCCCGAGTGCGGGGGCAGGAGAAGGAAAACACCCAGGACGAGGAACCCGCGCGCGTTCTGCCTGCGGATGGGGACTAGGTGGGGAAAGGCGCCCGCACTTCCAGCCCTGGAGTCTGGCGCTGGGAATTTGGCTCAACAAGGCCCTGCCTCCTGGAATTCTGATTCTCCTCAGACCTCTGAGTTGACTCTCTCCCCAACCCCCTTCTCCCTCCACACCCGCAGGCGCCAATATCGATCCCACCTTCTTCCTGAGCCGCACAGTCTCCAATGTCATCAGCTCCATTGTCTTTGGGGACCGCTTTGACTATGAGGACAAAGAGTTCCTGTCACTGCTGAGCATGATGCTAGGAATCTTCCAGTTCACGTCAACCTCCACGGGGCAGGTAACTGGCTGCAGCCCGGCCCGTGACGCCCCTACCACAACCTGCCAACTGCTCCCCTACCTGGAGACAGGTGCCCCAAACTCCCACCCCGCTCCAGACAGTGTCCCCTCAAAATCAGCCCCCGATATTGGACAACTGGACAGTTGCACCAGAAGCCTGTCTCCAAGGACACCTGGATAGCTCAACAGATGCTCCCCAAAACAGAGCCTGCTGGTAGGATACATACCCTCAGCTCAGCTCTCTCACCTGGGCACGTGTTCCCATCCCCAACTTACCGTAATTTCTAACAGATGCTCCCTACCCAGTTCTTCTGAATATTTTAACACCTGGACAAATGACTGCGTCAACCCGCCTCCTGCATGCCTGAACACCTGGTGCTGCAAAATCCAGCCCATCATAATCATTTCACATCTACACAAATGTCCCAGATTAGCCCACTGGAATATCTGGCCAAGCGCCCTCTACTTCACCCACTTAAATGCCTGAAAACATGGACAGCTGCCCTAACCAACACCTTAAACACACAAATATCTAGACAGATTGTTCCCTGACACACAAATAAGTGTTCCCCAACCCTTTCCAATCACACACCTTACAGAGGTGCTCCCTGTGCATCGCACTTGGATAGGTAAACACCTCAACAGGTATCCCCTGCACTTCAACATCTTCACCAGCCCCACTTTAATACCTGAACACCTGAACAAAAGCCCCCAATCCAGACCCAGTAAGTATCTGGACAGCTGTCTCCAACCAAGCCTACTTGAATGCCTAAATACCTAGACAGGTGACACTCACCTCATACCAGCCCCACCTGAAGAGCTAAACACCTGGACAGGTGTCTTCCAACTCAACTTCACTTGAATATCTGAACACCTAGATGTGTGCTCCAATCCAGCCTCATTTGCATACCTGAAACCTGGATATATGCCTCAGTTCTTCTCACCTAAATTACTAGACCGTGGCCCTGGTACCTAACCTTCCTGAAAACTTAGATATAAGTTCCTATCCGACCCCACTGAAATACCTAAACAATGAGACAGATGCCTTTAACTCAGTTCCTTCCTTGCTATGAAACAAATCCCATTCCCATCAGCTCCTGCCCCGTGACAGCTGTCCTTCCCTTCCCATCCTCTCTCTGCAACCCCAGCTCTATGAGATGTTCTCTTCGGTGATGAAACACCTGCCAGGACCACAGCAACAGGCCTTTAAGTTGCTGCAAGGGCTGGAGGACTTCATAGCCAAGAAGGTGGAGCACAACCAGCGCACGCTGGATCCCAATTCCCCACAGGACTTCATCGACTCCTTTCTCATCCACATGCAGGAGGTACACCCCAGCAGCCAGTGCGGGGAGGTGCAAAGCCAGGCAGAGGGAAATCAGACTGGGAGTGGGGCGGGCAGACGACACAGACCCGTTCAAATTAGCCCTCATCATAATAATCCTCACAATTGGCTGGGCGCCGTGGCTAACAGCCTGTAATCCCAGCACTTTGGGAGGCCGAGGCAGGTGGATCACCTGAGGTCAGGAGTTCAAGACCAGCCTGGCCAACATGGTCAAACCCTGTCTCTACTAAAAATCCAAAAATTAGCTGCACGTGGTGGCGCGAAGGGGGGCAGAGGTTGCAATGAGCCAAGATCACGGCACTGCACTCCAGCCTGGGTGACAGAATGAGACCCTGTCTCAAAAAAAATTAATTAATTGTTTAAAAAGTAAGTGAGCCTGCATGGTCATGCGCGTGTGCAGTTCCAGCTACTCAGGAGGCTAAGGGTGGAGGATTGCTTGAGCCCAGGAGTTCGAGTCCAGCCTGTGCAACTTAGCAAGACCAAGTCAGTGTAAGAAAAAAAAAACTGACAGCTAAGTTGATAATTAAAGGACAGATGGTCAGCAACGTAAAGAAGGTGAGAAGAAAGAGCATTTTGGGCAAAGCCAGCAGCCAGGGCAAGGGCTGGAACCTAGAGCGAGTCTGGTAGATCTAGGGTCCCTCTTTCCACCTTTGGTCTGGACCAAAGAGAGGTAGATCCAAAGGAAAAGCCCTAGAAGGGCCCTGAGGGCAAGAGGAGTGAGGTTGGCCTAAAGCCCCCTCTCCCTGCAGGAGGAGAAGAACCCCAACACGGAGTTCTACTTGAAGAACCTGATGATGAGCACGTTGAACCTCTTCATTGCAGGCACCGAGACGGTCAGCACCACCCTGCGCTATGGCTTCTTGCTGCTCATGAAGCACCCAGAGGTGGAGGGTAAGGCTGGAGGGGGACGGAAGTGGAGGGCCCCAGACCCTCAAAATTCCCCTTCGACTGGTGCAATGTCCCTACCTGTCCCAGATCCCAGGACCCTGAGACGTGCCTTGCTGTCCAGAGACAGGGCAACATTCAGCTGGTAGGCATCAGCTGAGTCTCATTAGCTATTAAAATATTGAAAATGTCTGCACTGATTGGTCAGTCACTTCTGTCCCAAGCCCACTGAGTGCCCGCTGCCCCTTCCCCCGGGTCATCTCCTAAGTTCCTCCCTGTGCCTCCCCTGTGATTCTGGCACAACCTGGTTAACAGGATCCTACTCCAACAATGCGAATGGCCGATGTCTGTTCTGTTATGAATGCTCTACCTCCGTCTCATAGGGGGAGCCGTATCATCCACCCCGTTTTACCTATTCAGACTATCATTTCCTGCTCTGAGACTCCCAGATACCTAAACACATTCCCCCTCCTCCCCCAGCCAAGGTCCATGAGGAGATTGACAGAGTGATCGGCAAGAACCGGCAGCCCAAGTTTGAGGACCGGACCAAGATGCCCTACATGGAGGCAGTGATCCACGAGATCCAAAGATTTGGAGACGTGATCCCCATGAGTTTGGCC